>NC_000007.14:96143142-96446172 GCF_000001405.40 Homo sapiens | reverse complement strand
CTAAAGCTATCTGGAGCTCATTAGTCCACAGAGCTTTCTCTGCCGAAGAACAGTTGGTTGTGAATATTTTTCTGTTACAAGACTGTTAGGAGTCAAGGCAGTTTTGTCTAAAATTTTGATTTAATGGGACAAGAGAGGATGATTTTGAAATATGTCCTCTTGTTTCCATCTCTTCTGACAGAAACTCTTTTTAAAGCAATGGAATTAGGTAATTCATCTGTAGCCATTTGGTGGGGGATGGGGGGAGCGAGACTGGGATGGCAGTTATTAACCATAAAAGATCTTAGAGAAAGCTCTTAGGACAACCTGACAAGCCTGCCAAAGAGTAATAATTTAAACCAAGGTCCTCTGATTGATTGTTCTAATCTTGGACCTCCCACTTTCAGTGGAAATTCTGTGTAGAGCATCCCCTCCATGTCTAGACTAGAGCTGAATCTGACCGGATTGAGATATTTCACTGGACCAATTTGCTGTTCCCTGTCTCCCCATTCTTAGAAAAGTCTAGGACAGAAAAGTACAAGCCCTGGATCTTGGAAGCCCAGTCACCAGGCCATGGTCTGTCTGCCACATGGCATGTTTCAGAGTTTTATTTACCTCACCTTCACTTTTCTCCTTGGGAATATTATAAAAAACTCCTCTATGCTTAAGCCATGTTAGCCACTACATAGGATATAAAAAGAACATAAAAGTAGAAATGAAAATGGAGGCAACAAGTCCCATCTCATCATGGAGTTTTGCTGAAGTTGTCACCAATAGTAGAAGTAATGGTGTTGACCTTGTTGGTACTGAAAGGACCTAATAAAGAGCATCCCTGCCTTCTTCCCCCTGAGTTCAGAACCAAATGAAAAGCAAGACAAAAAGTTAAGGTGAATGGGCACCCATATCGCCTGTACTTTAAATTGGTAGAGTTCAACTCAGATTTTACTATACTCTCAGGGAAATTACCTCCATATTTTTAAGAAATCAAAATGTACCACTACCCGCCAAGTGTGGTGGCTCATACCTGTAGCCTCAGCACTTTGGGAGGCCAAGTCAGGAGGATCACTTCAGCCCAGGAGGTCGAGGCTGTAGCGAGCTGTGATCATGCCACTGCACTCCAGCCTGGGCTACAGAGAAAGACTCTGTCTCAAAAAAAAAAAAAAAGTAACTATATTAAACATCATATTAGAGAATGTGGCTTCTATCACAGGCTTTCTGATAGGACTTAGACCCCAGAATTAGAATTTACCCACTCAATGCCTGAACTGCTAGACCACGTCTTGTGGGAAAACTGTCTGAACCAAGGAGCTAAGAAGAAGATATGCTCCTGCTGGTGGCTGCCTGCTGAAGAAAAAGGAGTTGGCTTTGCAGGCCTAGCTTCTTTTTCCAAACTCAGTAACCAAATTAAGTCTCTCCTCCTCCAAGGAAGCAGCTAGGATGGGGCAAGAATACAGGCATGTTCTCCAAGTAGAATTTCCTCCACTGTAATAGGCAAGAACTATGCCTCCTCACAGATGTTACAGACAAAAGCTTTCTATATAGTTACATTTTCAGTGATTCATTAAGAAATTGAGTCCAATAAAATCTGAATTAAACCTTATTAATTTTAAAATTAAAGCGATTAACTTTTGCATTGTCAATAACCAATCCATAAGGCAAATTAATAATAGTTTCTATAGAATTCTTGAGGGATTATTTTAATTCTTAAACAAATGCACTAATTTTAAGACCTTTCAAAGGAAAGTGGCCCTAAGTATCTGTGGGGAATTGGTTCCAAGACATTCTGAGGATGTCAAAATCCAAAGATGCCCAATTCCTTATGTATAATGGTGTAGTATTTGCATATAACTAAGCACGTGCTCCCAAATACTTTAAATTATCTCTAGACTACCTAGAATACCAAATACAATGTAAATACTATGTAAAAAGTTGTTATACTGTATTGTTTAGGGATTAATGATATGGAGAAAATCTATATACATCAGTACAGGTACAATTTCTTTTCCAAATAGTTTCAATCCTTAGTTAAGTCCATGATACAGAACCTGGGACACGGGGGCCTACTATAACACTCAGATGAAAAAGGATCATGCTAAAATATGACACTTTTAGCTGTTAAATTAGCTAAACATGCATATGTATTTTGTTATTACCAGGAGAGTGGAAATGATGCACAAAAGTCAGTTTTTAATTTTACTTCTCAATATGCACATATTTTACCAACATGCCCTACCCTCAACTTGCGGATGAGTAAAGAAAGAATGAAAGGAAAAGGTACTGTGAGTTGCCCCATGTTTCCCTTTCCTTCTATGCTATTTTTAGCACAACTGATTTACTAATACAGGGAATTAATAAAACAAAAGATGTGACAAGGTTCCCTGGTTATATGTTTCTTAGAACATTGCATTCTTCCTGTGTTTGAAACAAATTCTGGTTTGAACAGAAAATGTGGTCTTTTGAGACCATTTGCATACCCTACACACACACACACACACAGACACACACATACACACATACACACACACACACACGAGTCCTGGATGTAGCACCCTCACCTTATACTTGCTTTGAGTCTTGCTGAATTCGCTTGTTTCATGGGTCCACCAGAATTCTGTGTGCCTGGGGCAGTGGGAATGCTATCTGCAGATGGGACAGCTAGGCAGAATGGAGAAGCTATACTGCATGGATCTCCTATGCTCAGATGCAAGCTTTATTGTCCCATCATACTTTATGAAACACAAGTTCAAAGATAAAAATTCTTAAAAATTTCCAAACAGAGGCAGCAGAGCATGAGTGTGGGACACTTTTGAGCATGGGACCATGTGCAATGGCACAGGTCACATGCTTATGAAGATCACATGCCCTAAACGACATAGGCCACATGCCCATGAAGAAAGATCACATGCCCTTGAAGCCAGCCCTGAGTAGAGGATAGGATTAGACCTGAGAAAGTTTGGGCCACAGATTAGTAGCAGGGAAGCCTGAGTTCTGGGGATAGTGAACAACTGAAAGAGAGGAGCAAGTGTTGAAACAAGCCCCCACACACAGCCTTTTTTTTTTTTTTTTTTTGACATAGTCTCACTCTGTTGTCCAGGCTGGTGTATAGCGGCACAATCTCGGCTCCTTGCAACCACTGCCTTCCAGGCTCAAGTGATCCTCCCACATCAGCCTCCTGAGTAACTGGGACTACAGGAACATGCCACAACACCTGACTAATTATTGTATTTTTTTGTAGAGATGGGGTTTTACCATGTTGCCCAGGCTGGTCTGGAACTCCTGGGCTCAGGAGATCTCCCCATTTGGGCCTCCCAAAGCCTAGGGACTACAGATATGAGCCACCACACCTGGCCAACTCCCTATTCTTATTTTAAGCAATTCCTCTCACTTTTGCCAGGAGGTAAGAATATCAACAACAAATGGGCCTTGTACCAACAGAGCACCAGGCTACATGCAATTGCTAGTTACAGTATTAGGGATTATTTACCCCTCAATTAATACAAAGAAATTAAGTTGTTATTCAAGTTTTATGGACCCAATTTAGCCTTTGGGCTAAATTACCTTCCACTGAGCACAAAAGTATGTGAGTTTTTGCTACATTTTTGTTAGCATCTGGCAACAACCAGTAAGATTAAATAAAAGTTTATTATAATTTTTCCAGTGATTTAGTAAAATTGGCATAAATATGCAGGTTTGGTAAATTAAACAGCCTTTAGGGTCCTTTAAACCCATTACATTTGTGATCATTTTAGTTTACAAAGTGCTATCACCTACAGAATTCCCATTTAACCCCCATCATAACCCTGTGAAGTAAGATAGGCAGACATTATATCCCTAAGTATGAGTGTGTTTACCGGGCCTGCCCTGCCAGGGTGCTGAATTGGGTTGCATGAACCTCCATTGCCCCCACAGCCCCAGCTGACTGGAAAGGTGGAATCACTTAATACAAGAGAAATCATAACATAAGCTAGACAATGTGCTGGTGTGACCAGACTCTAAAAGATGAAATGGGCCAATTGGATGTATCTCTGAGAGAGAGAGCATAACGTGTCCAATACAGACCTCCTTGTACAGATCAGACAGTTCACATTTCTCAAATAGACCTATTGAGAAATTTTCCTAAACTGTTTTGTTCTTAGTCTTCTCCATCTTAGTAAAAGGCATTTCCAGCCACTCATTTGCTCAGCAAAAGACCTAAGAATCATCCTCGTTCCTTCCTTTTCTCTCCCTGCTACCTCTCAGCAAGCTCTGCAAATGCTTTTTATAGCTTTAGTCTATCTGCTTCTGCTCTTTCCCACTGACCACCTCTGGAACAGGCTATAATTATCTCTTGTCTAATTTTGCAATAGCCTCAAAACTAGTCTCCCTGCTTCCATTCTTGCCCCTTTGGTAATCCATTTTCTACACAATAGCCATTGTGAGCTTTATAGAACGTAAATCAAACCATGCCACTTACATACTTAAAGTGTTTCAGAGTTTTTTCATAATGAAAGAACTCATTGCCCTGTCTTACAAAGCTCTGCATGGTGTGGAATTTATATTCCTCTCTAAGCTACCTCATACCAATCCCTTCGGCTACACTGGCCTTTGTTAGCTCCTGGACCCATTAAGCTCTCCCTACCCCAGGGATCTTGTAATGCCTATCTTGAAATCATTTTGGTGGGGACTAGCTTAAATATCACCTCCACATAGAAGCCTTCAGTGATCATGTTCCCCCAACACCGCCAAAGGAATTCTCTACCCTGTTACTCTCTACCCGGCTCCCATTCATTCTCATCATAGAATGTACCAGAGTCTGTCTTATTTATGCCTCTGCTTGTTCATTGGCCATTTCTCTCCATCAAATGTAAGTTTCATGAGGACAAGGACCTTGTCTAAATTGTTTATTACTATAGCCCTAGCACATAGAGTAGTTCCTGGCACATAATAGATATTAAATAATTTTTTCTTTAAATGAAGAACAGAGAGGAAGTCAAATAAATATATTAAAATTTTCAGATGTAGTGGAGATTGGGGCACCCTGAGAGACCACGGGGAAATAAAAATTATGCACATGTAAAGGAGAAAGGAGACAGGAACACAATTGCAGAAATAACCCCAAATCCGAGAAAGAATAAATACAGGCTCTAGACTACCTTCAGTAGGAACAATGTCCCAGTTCTGAATTCAGGACAGGTGTGTCCTGACAATAAACTCTTTTTGCCAGACACCAACCAAAGTTTCAAGTTTTTTTAATTAGAAAACTGAAGGTTATTCTGAAGCTTTGTCTTATGACAAGTCACTGTGAATGGGCATCCTAGATGACCTATCCAACCCTATGGCTGGCAAGAAAGACACAGTAAACAACCATGAAGATCACATGGAATGGGTGAAGGATGGCATCCCCAATGAAGAGATGCACCAGATAAAAATGACAAGTCCTCTAAGATTACCCTACCATAGACCCCTCCCAAATGCCTTAGCATTCCCTGAACACACACGCACTCTTCTACATGATCAGGGCTTTGCACTTGGTCTCTGCCTCGATTACTCTTCACTGTTAGCTTCCTAGTGTACTCAAAATAGGATGGTTGCTCTCAAGGCCCTCCATGTATGCTTCAACAGGAGCCAACTCACAGCCCTGTGTTCTTCATCTTTGCTTACATTTCTGTCTTTCTTGGTTAGACAGTGAAAGTCTGTTTCGGGGACAGTGAGCAGGTGCTCAACGCAATAGGTGCTCCACAAAGAAATGGGCACATGATTATTTTCAAAGTTCACACAGCTAATGACTCACAGGGCCAAAATTAGAATCCAGTGTGTTTCCCTTTGTTCATTCTTCAAATCTTGTATGGCATTATCATTGTACAGATGGTTATGAAGAAAAGCTTTCCTGATGATCGTAGCAAAAGCCTTAGTTTGGGGATTAATGTTGAAGAAAAGCAAAACAATTCTCTACTGAATAAATACAGAAGGCCTCACAGTGTTCTACTAAAATAAATTGTATCATTGGAGTCGTGATAACTGAGGGAAATTTTCTATTTTTAAGTTCTTTTTACAACTCTTGTAACAGTCAGTATCCCAGGCAAATATTTACCCAACATGTACTTATTTAATGGCTACTGGATAGGAGACTCCCTGCACCAGCGACTGGGGACAAAAAGGTAAATAAGACATGTCCCCTGCCCTTGAGAAGACATAATCAATAAAGGAGTACACAGCAGCCTACATGATCCTTTAAAATTGAGTAAATCATATCACTCTTCTGAAAACAAACAAAAAACCTCAACTGGGTTTTCTATCTCATTCCTGGTAATCTCCAAAACCTTTCCTATGACTTAGAAGACCCTCCTAGCATAGCCTCCTTTACTTTTCTCACCTCATCTTCCACTGCTCCAGTACTCCTAGGTTTCTGCCTCAGGCCTTTGAACTTTCCTTTCTCTACCTGAAGTATTCTTCACCAAATATCCATAGTTCAATCCCTCATTTCTCTAGATCTCTCCTCAAATGCCTTCTTAGCTAAAAGGGCTTTCCTGTCCACACTGTCCACCACTCACCTCCCAACATCATTCTCTGACCCTTGTACCTGGCTTCATTTTTCTTCAAGCATTACTATTAACTGATATTTTAGATTTAGGGGGTACATGTGCAGGTTTATTACACAGGTATATTGCATGATGCTGAGGTTTGTGGGTGTGAATTATTCCATCATCCAGGTAGTGAGCATAGTACACAATAGGTAGCTTCAGCCCTTGCCCCTCTTCTTCTTTCCTCCCTCTAGTAGTCTTCAGTGTCTATTGTTCCCATTTTTGTGTTCATGTGTACCCAATGTTTAGCTCCCACTTATAAGTGAGAACATGTGGTATTTGGTTTTCTGTTTCTGTGTTAGTTCAGTTAGGATAATGGCCTCCAGCTGCATCCATGTTGCTTCAAAGGGCATGATTTTGTACTTTTTAATGGCTGTGTAGTATTCCACTGTGTATATATACCACATTTTTTATCCAACCCACTGTTAATGGCCACCTAGGTTGATTCCACGTCTTTACTATTGCGTGTGAATACTGCTATGATGAATACACAGACGCATATGTCTTTTTTGTAGAACAGTTTGTTTTCCTTTGGGTATATACCCAGTAATAGGATTGCTGGGTCAATTGGTAATTCTAAGTTCTTTGAGAAATCTCCAAACTGCTTTCCACGGTGGCTGAACTAATTTACATTTCCACCAACAGTGTATACAGATTCCCTTTGCTGTTTTTTGACTTTTTAATAATAGTCATTCTGAATGGTGAAATGGTATCTCATTGTGGTTTTGATTTGCATTTCTCTGATGATTAGTGATTATGAGCATTTTCATGTTTGTTGGCTGCTTGTATGTCTTCTTTTGAAAAAGTACCTGTACATGTCTTTTGCCCAGTTTTTAATGGGGTTATGTAGTTTTTGTTTGTTGAATTGTTTAAGCTCCTTATAGAGTCTGAATATTAGGCCTTTGTTGAATATATACTTTGCTCATATTTTCTGCCATTCTGTAGGTTGTCTGTTGACTGTTGATAGTTTCTTTTGCTGTGCAGAAGCTCTTTAGTTTAATTAGGTCCTACTTATCAATTTTTATTTTATTGCAATTGCTTTTGAAGACTTACTCATAATTTCTTTCCCAAGGCCTCTGTCCAGAATTATGTTTCCTAGGTTTTCTTCTGGAATTCTTTTTTTTTTTTTTTTTTTTGAGACGGAGTCTCGCTCTGTCGCCCAGGCCGGACTGCGGACTGCAGTGGCGCAATCTCGGCTCACTGCAAGCTCCGCTTCCCGGGTTCACGCCATTCTCCTGCCTCAGCCTCCCGAGTAGCTGGGACTACAGGCGCCCGCCACCGCGCCCGGCTAATTTTTTGTATTTTTAGTAGAGACGGAGTTTCACCTTGTTAGCCAGGATGGTCTCGATCTCCTGACCTCATGATCCACCCGCCTCGGCCTCCCAAAGTGCTGGGATTACAGGCGTGAGCCACCGCGCCCGGCCGGAATTCTTATAGTTTGAGGTCTTGCATTTAAATCTGTAATCCATCTTGTATATGGTGAAAGGCAGGGGCCCAGTTTCATTCTTCTCCATATGGCTAGCCAGCTATCCCAGCACCATTTATTGAATAGGGAGTCCTTTCCCTATTGCTTATTCTTGTTGACTTTGCCAAAGATCAGATGGCTTTAGGTGTGTGGCTTTATTTCTGGGTTTTTAAATTCTGTTCCATTGGTCTATGTGTCTATTTTTGTACCAGTAACATTCTGTTTTTGTTACTGTAGTCTTACAGTATAGTTTGAAGTCATATTATGTGATGCCTACAGCTTTGTTCTTTTCACTTAGGATTTCATTGGCTATTCGGGTTCTTTTCTGGTTCCATGTGAATTTTAAAATAATGTTTGTTAATTCTGTGAAAAATGATGATAGTTTGATAAGAATAGCACTGACTCTGTAGATTGATTTGAGCAGTATGGCCATAATATAGTTTGGATATTGTCCCCCAAATCTCATATGAAAGTATAATCCACAATGTTGGAAACGGGGCCTGGTGGGAGGTGTTTGGGTCTTGGGGGCAGATTTCTCATAGCTTGGTGCTGTCCTCATTATAGTGAGTGAATTCTCATGAGATCTGGTTGTTTAAACGTGTGTGTAACCTCCCCAGCCTGCGTTGCTCTTGTTCTTGCTGTATGACATGCCTGTTCCTGGTTTGCCTTCCACCATGAGTCAAATCTCTCTGAGGCCTCCCCAGAAGTCAAAGAGACGCTGGCACCATGCTTGTATAGCCTGCAGAACCATGAGCCAATTAAACCTCTTTTCTTTATAAACTACCCAGTCTCCAGTATTTCTAGACAGCAACACAAGAATGACCTAACACTGGCCATTTTAATGATATTGATTCTCCCAATCTATAAGCATGGAACGTTTTTCTATTTGTTTGTGTTGTCTGTGATTTATTTCAACAGTGTTTTATAGTTTTCCTTGTAGAGATCTTTTGCTGCCTTGTGTAACCTCTCTTTCTCTCTCTCTGCCTCTATTCTTCTCTCTTACACACACACACACACACACACACACTCTCACACATACACAAACACACACAAAATTATAAGCTTCTTTAAACAAGAATGTGTGGTTTTATCCATATTCAACAAGTGGTTGTTGAATGGCTTAATGAATGAATTAGTACATTTCATAAATACTTTATTGCAAACTTATCAAAATATACATAATTATGCAATTACAACAATTACTCTCTTAAACTGCACTGAAGATAGCTCTTACTGAGAACTAAATCTGGGTGTTTAGGCTAGAACCTGGCCCTTGTTGAGGAGGCTGTTTCTTATTTCTAGAGAGCCATTAGATATAAGACACTGGACCAGATATTGTGAAAGAAACAAATGTGGTTAAAGTAAGATGTGGACTTTAATGGAATTTTGATTTATTAGGAGAGATAAAATTTACACCTGATCATACAAATGTAGTCATGTGGCAGTTTGAAGACAAAGCATGTAATGAAGGCTCAGAAGAGAGAAAGAATACTTTTTGGGAAGATCAGAGACTTAAAGGATACATTGATGTATCAATTATGCATTGAAGAATAAGTAAACATTTGGAAAAGAAAATTGCCCACAAAAGAGATATAGAAAACAAAGCCATGAGACGATAGGAAAAGGTATAGTCTACCTTGAACACTAATGGGAGTAAAACTTGAACACTAATGGGAGTAAAACTTGAACACTAATGGGAGTAAAAGAGATACAGATGGAACGATCCACTGAGAACCCAGGAGCCAGCGAATATGCTCAACATTTGAAATTGTGGGAGGCAGGTGTGCAAGCCTGTGCTCAAATCCACACTGGGTCTCATGGACTAACCTTGAAACTAGTTCTTTAGCAAAATTAAAATATCAGTACCTCCTTTGAAGAGTTCTAACAGAATAACATTTTGAAAAGCACTGCCACATATTATATTTCGTTAATACTGTTTCTTCATTATTCAGAAGACATTGTCTAAGTCATAGAAGAAATTTGGACAAATGAATGACACAACCAGAGCTTTTCCTTATTGACAAATTACCTAAAAGATTTGGTGTGATTTGGTTTTCCCTTACTTGGTATTTCTGAAATGCCAAACTCAATTTCCTATTCCTCTATATGTCAACCACGTACATGATGTCAACATTAGCCTCTTCTTTATACATATGCCACAAGATGGAGTATCCAAACCTAAACATTCAAAATAGAAACCTGAAAAAGTTATGAGGTCATGGAGCCAGACAGCCTTGGTTGGATGCTGCCTTTTCCATGCAATAGTTATGTGACCTTGTAATGCCATTGAACATCTCTGTGCCTAGTGGTTGATGCTATAAGAATTAGATAAGATAATGTATGTCAAGTACTTAACACAGACTTGACACATAGTAAATGCTTCATATATATTAGCTATTATGTTCCCATTGAAGTTCTCTTAGATTCTAACCAGACAACATATAAAAATTAGTAATTTAGTTTTCATCGTCTTTTGTTATTAATACGCCATATTAAAATGGACCTTTAAGAGTAGTATGTACCTGACACTGAAGGAAATACAAAACTGGATTTCATGAAGATTAAAAAACCTTCATATATCAAAGAACACCATCAAAAGAGTAAAAAGACTCCATACTACCCATAGTGAGCTACAGATTCAGGGCAATCCCTATCAAAATACCAATGACATTCTTCATAGAAATAGAAAAAAAAATTCTAAGCTTCATGTGAAACCACAAAAAACCCTGAGTAGCCAAAACAATCTTGAGCAAAAGGAACAAAGCTGGAGGCATCACACTATGTGACTTCAAGATACACTACAAAACTATAGTAACCAAAACAGCATGGTTCTGGCATAAAAACAAACACATAACACATAGACCAACAGAACAGAATAGAAACCCAAAAATAAATCCATCCATTTACAGCCAACTGATTTTCAACAAAGGTTCCAAGAACACACATTGAGGAAAAGACAGCGTCTTCAATAAATGGTGCTAGGGAAACAGAATATACAAATGCAAAAAAAAAAAGAAAAAAGAAAAAGAAAATAGACCCCCATCTCTCACCATGTACAAAAAATCAACTCAAAATGGATTAAGGCTTAAATACAATACCTGAAATTATGAAACTACTATATGAAAATGTAAGGGAACTATTTCATGACATTAGTCTGGGCAAGGACTTTTTGGATAGAACTTCAAAAGCACAGACAACAAAAGCAAAAATAGACAAATGGGATTGCATCAAACTAAAAAGCTTCTGTACAGCAAATGAAACAATTAACAGAGTGAAGAGACAATGTACAGAATGGGAGAAAATATTTGCGAACTATGCACCTGGCAAGGGGTTAATATCCATAATACATAAGGAATTCAAACAACTTAATAGCAAAGAAACCAAATAATCCAATTTTAAAATGGGCAAAAGATTTGAATAGACATTTCTCAAAAGAAGATATAGAATGACCAACAAACATATACAAAATGCCCAACATCACTAACCATCAGGAAAATGCAAATCAAAACCACGGTGAAATACCACTTTGCACCCACTAGGATAGCTATAATTTCAAAAAATAAAAATAACAATTCCTCTTGTGGAGGTGGAGAAATTGAAACTTTTATATGTTGCGAGGGAATGCAACATGGTTCAGCTATTGCAGAAAACACTTTTGTGATTCCTCAAAACATGAAACATAGAATTACCATTTGACCCAGCATTTTCACTTCTGGGTATATATCAAAAAGAATTGAAAACTGCATAAATGTACATGCATGTTCATAGGGGAACTTTTGAAAAAAGCCAAATTTCCATCAACTCATGAATGGGCAGACAAAATGTGGTATACGCATACAGGGGAATATGACTCAGCCAGAAAAAATGAAGTGCTGATAGATGCTACATCAATGAATCTATAAAGCATTATGTTAAATGAAAGAAGCCAGACACAAAAGATCACATATTGTATGATTCCATTTATATGAAATATTATATATTCAGAATAGGTAAATTCGTAGCAACAGAAAGCAGATTGGTAGTTGCCAGCAACTGGTGGGGGGACAGGAATGGGGAGCAACTGCCAAATGGGTACAGGGTTTTCCTTTGGGATAATTCCGTCTGATGGAAATGTTTTAGAACTAGGTAAATGTGGCAGTTGCACAACACTGTGAAAATACTAAGTGCCACTGTTCATTTTTAAATGGTAAATTTTATGTTATATGAATCTCATTTCAGAAAAAATGGAAACAAAATTATCATCTCCATAAGATATTAGCATTACAGCCTTTCCTAATTAATTTGTCCTATTTTATACTCTCACAGTGTATGTTCCCGCCATCATGCCATGTTATCCCATGTGTTCTACTTTGTTTCAATACACATCTACTACAGAGGTCAGTAAACTATGTCCTGCAGGCCAAATTTGGCCCACTGCTTGTTTTTGTGTGGCCCACAAACTAAGAATTGTTTTTTACATTTTAAATGGTTGAAAAAAGTTAAAACAAGAATAATAGTTTGTGAGACATGAAAATAGTTTGACACTTAAGTTTCAGTGTCCACTCAGAAAGCTGTATTAGTTTATGGTTACTGTCATTCTCTTACAACATACTGTCTACGCTTGCTTTCATTCTACAGTACCAGCTCTGAGTACAGAGATTACATGGCCTGCAAAGCAAAAAATATTCACCATCTGCCCCTTTACAAAAAATGTTGTTGACCCCTGATGTACTCGATCATAATAAGCTTTAAGTAGAAGTAATCTCTCACAGCACCCAGCCTGATGATTTGTACATTCTAGAGAGTTGATAAATGTCTCTTGCATAAATACCTCTGTAAAGTTTTTACTATTCAAATGCATGCCACAGGATTTCTGCTTCTATATGCTAATAAAATTGAAAGCACTAATTTCTTTGTATTTTTACAAAGTTTGACACCTCGTTTGATATTTGGCACATGAATTCTACAAAAGACTTTTTTAAACAGAAACTCCAAGCTGCAATGAGAATACATCATACCCAAAAGGAGAAGTAATTTTACAGTCTTTTTAAAAATATGAAATAGATGCTTATGTTGAAATCTTGAAAATCACACTAATGTGCCATTCAAACTTTAAACGTCAGTACATAAAACTATGTTAGTTTTCTAGCACAAAAATAAATGAAGGATTAAAAAGTTCTGATCCCTAGCATTGCCTTTCTGGAGGATAGATTCAGAACTAGTGTGACAATAGTCTTTAAAAATTTCTAAAATTAATATTTAATTTATTAGAACAAACAGAATTCTATAATCCATTTTACAAAGTGAGTTACCACGTATGTTCAAGAAAATGTAGGTAAAGATGTAAATACTAAACATTATTGGAGTAGATTGTGGGGAGAAAAGAGGCAAAAAAAAAAAGAAACATAAAGATTAGGTTTTTATCTTGATTGTAAATGATAAATTATCCAGAATCTTGGTAAGACAAAAATGATACTAAGCAGCAATCACTTATGTTTCTTAAACATTTTTTTAGCAAAATTATTCTTTGACTCTTAATATTTTCATCATTACTTTTATTTCTCTGTTTTGCAAAGGAGATTGCCTGGGTTGCATGGGACTGTCGGTATAATCAAGCAAGCAAGCAATACAGTGAAATTGATGTCATGTGATGAGCACCCATTTGGAGGTCTGAAGATCTCAGCATGGAGCCAAGCCACCATGGCCCTATTCTTAAACCTTTCATCATCCATGATGAAGAAGGTGACTACATGGTTTCTGAGATCCTTTCATTCTCATATTCTGGGAGTCTAAGTAATAAGTTAAATTCTGACATTTGTGATTGACTATTCAACAGATTTGAGTGAATCACATTTTTATAAATAATATATATATTAGGCTTTTGTATTTCTTCTTTCTCAAATATTCTATGTGTACCTACTAGTGAAATAGCCCTGTATTAAATAGGGCAATATGAAAGAGTTTATGAAGGCTTAAAGAGCTATATAAATGTATGTTGTTATTATTAAATAAAAATCATACAATGTTAGTGTTAAGGCCAGAAGGTCTTAGAGATCACCTTACATGACTTCATTTCACAGATGAGGAAACTGTGGTTCAGAGAGGTGAAGTGCTAGAGATTCAAAGATTCAACCTTTTCTATTATTCTATGTTACCCCATTTACAGTTAAGAATTGCATTCCAGGCCAGATGCAGTGGTTCACACCTAATCCCAGCACTTTGGGAGGCCAAGGCAGGAGGATCACTTGAGGTCAGGAGTTTGAGACCAGCCTGGCCAACATGGCGAAACCCCGTCTCCACTAAACATACAAAAATTTGCCAGGCATGGTGCCCCGGGCCTGTAATTCCAGCTACTCAGGAGGCTGAGGCAGGAGAATTGCTTGAACCCAGGAGGCAAAGGTTGCAGTGACCCAAGATCATGCCACTGCACTCCAGCCTGGCCAACAGAGTGAGATTCCATCTCAAAAAAAAAAAAAAAAAAAGGAATCGCATTCTAAAGTATTACTGTCCTTGCAACAGTTGCCTATATTGGCTTTCCCAATTATAATTTACCTTTTTTATTCAAGAAGCAGTCTGTTTTCTCACGCTCTTACTTTTGTATTCCCATGGCTTGATTTTAAGCTAGTTTCTATGTCTGCAAAACATTGCATTTTCTGATTGGGTTTATCAAACAATGATATCTAAGTAATATGTTTGTATTTCATCCAAGCGTAAGAAGTATACAGCTCATTAGAATTTAGGGCTAATAATGTAAAATGAAGAAAAATAAACAAAGATAAAATAAGGGTAAATTGTTGCCTTATCTGGACAATTTTGATATCAGATTCCTCAAAACTATGGTTTTATAAAGAGACATAAATTAACTTATTAAATCATATCTTGTTAACCAGAAGATCAACAATAGTAGTAAGATACTTCTGGCAAAGTCCATTCATTCAGTCATTCAACAAACATTTATCAAGCCCTATAAATAGCAAGACCTTGTTGGAGACCCTAACTAAAAGGCAGAGATTAATAAGTTCCTTCCTAGGAAGGAATTTAAGAAATAATAATAATTCACTGAGTCCTTACTGTGTGCCCTGTACAAGGTGTTTTATGTGAATGATCTCTTTTGATCTTCAAGACAACATGAGTTATATACCAGTATATTAATGTGAACTTTAAGTGAAATATAATATAAAGCATCTAGTACAGTGCCTAGAACATACTAGATTCTCACAAAATATTAATTTTCTTTTGGTCCCCCTTTTATTTCACAGCAGACATCATAATTTTTCCTTCTAGAAGATATATCCCAGAAAGCAGTGGATTTCCAGAGCTGAATGAATGATACAACCAAAAGAACCTGCTGGTTGAACATAAGAAATCCCCCCAGACCCAAGGTAAGGCTTAGAGCAGTGGAATGAAGCTCAGCTAAAGGCAGGAATTGGACAGCCACCCATCTGAAGGCACTGGGGCCCAGGACACGCTGGAGATTCTTGGAGGTGGGAAGTAAGCAGAGGCTCCACCATCAAAGTTTGGAGGAGAAGGGGTCTGGGCTCCTCTCAGTCATGTACAAGTTCCTGCAGTGGAGGAAAGCCCAGTTCCAAGAAACACAGCGAAGGAAGCGTGGGCAGAGGCACAAATAGCAGATTGGATGCCCCAGCCTAGAGCCTTCAGAGTGTGGCTTCCAGAACCACAACAAACTCTAACAGACTTTCCACAGAGATGGGAAGGAAGTTGCTAGAACAAACACTATCCTGAAACTTGCCCCAAATCTGAACCTCATCAAACCCCAGTGTTTTTTTGAGGTTAGAAAAAGCCTGGCTTAGCATTTTTAAAACAATATCTATTTGCCTTTTGTCTACCATTTGCAGCCAGAAGTGGAAGTTCTAAAAACCCATTAAAAACTTTGGGTTTTATTTTGTATTTATTTCTTTACTATATGCTTTGCCTGGCCAAAACCAGAAAATGCTGGAATGGCACAAGTTCATTCTCCTGAGATATCCAGATCAAAGTTGTTTGGAACTGCTTGGCAAAATATCTGAATTTTTCCATTCTTATCCAAACCAATGCCTCCAATCCCTTGCAATTTACTCATATGCATCCACCTTCTCAAGTGTTCTGAGGCATTTCTTTCAGCACACACACTGGCCTTCAAAGGGTAACAAGAAATTGTGTGCTGGCAGAAGCTATATTTTCAAGTTTATGCCTTCAATTCATTATCCGACAAAGAGAACAAGAAATTCTGGCAATTTTATCCACTCTATATATTCCACATGGAGTAAAGTATAGGAAGAGCAATGTCAAAGACCCTCTTGCATAGAGATTTATTTGTTGGCAGTATATTTTACACTGCTAAATTATCATCCTCTCTCCTAAGTGTGGAATCCAGTTTGGCCAAGTAAAACTTTAAAGCAGCACATATAATCCGACCAGCAAATTTACTGGGAAACTGGTCTTGTTCTTTTCATAGTGCCTTAGAGAAATGTCCCTGCGGGTGGGGGGTTAGCAAAACTTGCCCTCTCAGATATGTTGTATTTTTGTTGCAGAATTCACATTTTACACTTATTTCCCATTGGTCATTCTTATTCTAAGTGGCCTTAATCCATAGATGTTACCTTTCAGGAACATATTAAGGGTATAATGCAGTGCATGCTGCAATGTTAATCTTGTCTTCATAAAAATACTTCAATTTATCATCTATAGATTTCTTTTCCCGTGGTAATTTTAATCTTGATTTTTTTCCATGAGATACAAAACAAGAATTTGCCTCACAAAAAAAGTCAACTTTTAAGAGAACTCTTCCACCTTTTCATTAAAATGAAGAAAATGCATGATGCTGCCTTACTCAAAGCTACTGAGAAAACATCCCAGTAATGCACCTCCTCACCTGTTACATGTTTTAGCCTCAGTTCCTATTTGGGTACCTGGGTATTTTTCAGGTATACCCTTGGCTATTTCTGGGTGTGTATTTGAAACCATCTTCATTAGCATAATATTTTTCTAATGTCAAATGAAAAACATTTTTATGATCAGATAGATGAACTTCTAAGGTCAGCAAGCCTGTCTCAGTTTCTAATATTTCCAAAATATACAAGTGATTCTTTTGCTTTATAAACCTCCACCTGCTTCTTTCTTTCATGTAATTCGCCTTTGTTCAGTTATTTTGCACCACCCCTGGAGTGTTTTCAAATATATTTTAAACCCCCAAGCAACCCCATTTCAGCTGATTGACTTTAGAGAACTCTAATGCTGGCCAGGCATTTTGCTGCAACCCCATTTAGACTCAGCAGGAAGAGCAGATTTAAAAGGCAGATTACGTTTTTAGCTTTTTAAAAACTGCTTTATTAGAGAGGCTAAAAGCCACAGTGGTGGTAAGCTGAATTCTTTTGAAATACAAGCAACTTCAAGACATCTAGGGAGTAGCTCCTCACCCGTGGAGCTCCTCCCTTTGGGTTTCAATGATGGCAGGGACCAGCTGGCTCCAAGTATTTTTCTTAAGGGTCCTTGTGGCTCCAACAACAGAATCCCTAAAAGCACCAAAGAGGTTTCATTTAAGGGTCGGAGACCTTTGAAAAGCAGCTCACCGAGGTTCCCGCCTCTGGACTTCTGGCAGGCCATTTTGTGTGAAAGTGTTGTTACATACTGGCTTCTACTGAAATGGAGGGGCTGGCCAAGGGGCAATAGGTAGGGAACTATAATGAGGATGTGAAAGCCGCTTACAGAAGAGGTGAGAATACCTGCAGGCCTCATTCCTATGACAGGCATCTGGGAGTCCCAAAAGATGGCTAAAAAACAAACAAACAAACAAACAAACAAAAACGGGTGGATGGATGGATAGATAAGACATAGATAGATAGATAGATAGATAGATAGATAGATAGATAGATAGATAGATAGACAGACAGGCGGAGGCCACAGTAGTGGCTACTGCTTCACACACCATCTTAAAACATGTGCTACTACTAATCAATGCATTCCTTCTCACGTACTTGGGGTTTTGTTGGTATTATACCAAGAGCTGCTTATAGAGCAGTTGAGTGTTCCTGAAAAGAGGCTGGACATACTGAGATTTCTAGAAAGTCTACGAGATTCCATATGGAATCTCATTGTGTTTAGAGGTTTTGAGAGAAAATAAACACAACCAGATTTCAAGAATGTTTGTAGAAAAGGCACGCTAAGACTATTTAAAGACAAGGTTAAAACAGGATTAAGCCAGAGATCTAACTAATCATACCGTGTAGATGCAGGGCATATGTGCTGCCACGCACTCCCTCTGTGCCCAGAGAACATCAGAAACCAATTATAACTCACCTGCCAAGCCCAGAACAGCCTTAGAATCTTTCTTGGCAGGCTGATGCCATCCTGGATTAAACAGAGGATAGCCCTAAAGATGTATATGGGTCAGGTTAGAACCCAACACAGCTGGACATGGTGGCTCATGCCTGTAATCCCAGCACTTTGGGAGGCTGAGACCGGCAGATCACCTGTGGTCAGGAGTTCGACACCAGCCTGGCCAGCATGGTAAAACCCTGTCTCTACTAAAAATACAAAAATTAGCTGGGCGTGGTGGCGCATGCCTGTAGTCCCAGCTACTCAGGAAGCTGAGGCAGGAGAATCACTGGAACCAAGGAGGCAGAGGGTGCAGTGAGCCGAGATCACGCCATTGCACTCCAGCCTGGGTGACAGAGTGAGACTCTTTCTCAAAAAAAAAATTTAATTAATTAATTAATTATTTTTAAGAAAAGAAGTCAACATAAATTCCCACAGGCAGGACAAACAGGTGGCAAAAGCAAGTGGAGCCAGCGGAATGGGAGCAGGAAGAATGTCAAGTACATGCCCTACCAGAACAGGGCAGTAGGTGCTCAGCTTCAGAAGATGTTATCCTGCAGGAATCGTGGGCTTGTATCACCAGATTTTTTAAGAGTAAATAAAACCAAATTTTTACTTGAAATCTCTTGATTTTTAAATGCTGAATCCAAAAAGAGGGGGAGAAATTAATGCCACGTAAGCCAAACAAAATACATATGCGGAAAAAAATAAAAAGACATCTGCTTGTTAATGTAGCCTCCAGGCTTAGGAGAATTGAAGGAAGATTTCACTTTGCTCTTGTCTTGCCTGAACCACCTTGCCACTATCCGCAGCTTAAAAACAAAAGAAAACCATCTCACCAGGGCTTGCAGAGGGCATGTGACAAATTGCAGAAAATTATAGCCAACATTTCGTGGTTGCTGATCTTCCCTGGGTTACACACTAGCAGAGGCCTGAAAAAACAGGCAAACTTCAAAGATCAAAGTTTCCATGCTGCAGAGGGGACTTTTCAACCAGCTTGCTTTTGTCTAGTTCCTCCCACCCCCAACCCCTTTTTGTCAATCACCAAGCAGTTGTCACAAAGTTCAGATTCTGACATTGTCAGAGGCTAATCATGCCTTTCACTCATAGCTTATTTCAGTATTCCAACCCTCTAGGTCTTGGTCTCTTTTTGGGCTGTTTACATACAATTTCCTTCTGGGTGGAGCTTTGTTTTTTCTTTCCTTCTTTTGGGGCTGTTGTTTTTTCTTAAAATAGGAGGTCATTTCAGGCAGAAATATGTTTTCGCCTCTTTGCTTCCTCTATGGCTGGGCCTGGGGCCCTTTTGGAAAGAAGGAAATTTCCACTTTGTTTACAAGGAGGGGTTGGTTTTCTTTGGCTATCCCATTAATTTGCTGGGTAGGGAGTTTGATGTTCCTAGGATTATCTAAGGAAATCAGGAGAGGCATTTTAAAGGCCCTTCTTCATTTTTTTTTTATGTTACACTCTCTGTTTTTCTGATTCTTTTTCTCTAACTTGTTCACATTTTTCTAATGAATTTAAGCTTCCTATATGTCCGTCCTTGCATTCCAGCTTTCTACCCTATTTTTTTAGCTTTAGTTGTCAATCTGGTTATTTGACCAACATTCTGGACCAATTCCAGCATGAGTCACAGTTTTGTACTTTTAAATGGAAAAGTAATGTTCCCCTTCTCTTTAAAATGCAGCCATGACCCATTGCCATTGCTACAAAAGGCAGACTTGATTGTGCATGTCTTTCTCTACTGTATTCTCCCATCTTCATGGGCCACACGTCAAGCAATTCATCACCCACATCGAATAATGTCAATAGGCACCCAGGTGGGAGTGAACTGTTCTAAGCCTCACTCAGAGTTTACAGTTGTCCTCTGGAAGAATGCATTCTAAGAAAACAACACGTTAACTGAAAAAAAAAAAAAATTCCAAAGCCAACAGAAGAAAATCCTTTAAGGCATATCTTGTGATGACTTTAGTAGGCTTGATGCCAAAGAAATGTTAAATAATTTATTCAAGACCACTCCCAATATGTGATTTACTTAAAGGGTCATGTTTACTAACATATCATACTAAAAGACCTCAATTAAGTGGAATTAAGAATCCCATTTCAGAGTTTGATTGTTTAGGACCATTCCATTTCATAAATGCTTATTGTTCATTCTAAACCAAGGAAGAAAGATAAATAATGACAAATAAGGTCTATGGTAAAGATTGAGATCAGGAAAGGCTATTTAGGATGGTGATTAGGACCATGTATTTGGAGCCAGGCATATGTGGGATGGGTACACATCAGCTAGTAACAATGAGTCTCAGGCAAGTTACTTACTATGTCTATTCTTCAATTTGCTCAGCTATAAAATAGAGATAATAACAGTACTTCCTTCATGGAGTTGTAAATGACTATGTTAAAGACCTAGTAAGTGTTCATTACAACCAACAACAGCAATAATTCCAACCTTCATAGGGCACTTTTATTATGCATGAGGTACTACCTTTACTTGAATGATTCTATGAAGTAGGTATCATTATTATCATCCTCATTTTGCCCATAAGGAAATTAGAGACTCAGAGAAGTTAAGTAACTTATCCAGGGTCACAGAGCTACTAAGTAACCAATCCAGGATTCCAACCTAAGTGAACTGGCATAGAGCCTGAGCCCTTAACCACTATGTAGCTTTTAACGTCCTTTTAATGTGTAATGAGTCTTCCCTATTCCAAGTGTTTGTGGATCTAAGGTCATTCTGTCATTAACTCAACTTCCTATGTTGCCTATGACTGCCTATAGTGTTGTACACAGAGCAGAGATGCTGAAAATGGCAGATCTGTTAAAACTGTCTCTTTCTCTCTCTGTCTCTCTCTCTCACATACACACACACACGCACACACACTTACATGGTTGTTTATTTACCCTCACTGTACCCTTCCTGCGAAGTCAGAGGAGTAAATGATGGATATAAAATATACATTCTACAGTATAAAAAGAGGAAGGAGTTTCTAATTCATTTTTGCCTTTTAATTAACCAATAATTAGTTATTTAAAACTTCTCATTCCTCCTAGCATTCTGGTTAACTGATATTTTTTGTTATTTTATTCCTACAATAAAATAAATACATGTGGTAGAAATTACAGTCAAATAGCTTCCATTCCAAAAGATACAAACTGCTCTAATTTATCTAGTTTAAAGAAGCAACAGTTTTAGAGTAAACTGTTGGTGAAATTCCAAGTAACATTTTTACTGTCCTGAGAAATGAAATTTGAAGAATTGGAAGGCATAGGAGGCCATGACGTCAGAGATGGAAATATAGAATGGGGCCAGCAGTTTGTCACAGTAATACATTCTGATAATCAAGAAGTTAAATATCACAGGATATGTTTGCAAATCTATTACAATATGCTGTGCTTATAAAATTATATAAAATATGCTGTGCTATAAATATCACTTATATTTTATTGTATATTTTATGTATACTATATATATAATATGCTGTGCTATATATATCACTTATATTTTATTGTATATTTTATGTTATCACACATGACCTCATTTGATTTGCACAGGAGAAATAGTATTAGATGAGATAGGCAGTAGAAATAATATCAATCCATTTTATGTAGGAGGAAACTGAGGCTCAGAAAGCCAATGACTTGGCCTAGGTCACACAGCTTGCAGAGCCAAGACTTACCATTTTTTGCTATTTCTACTAAGTCACAATTTTTACTGGCACTTTTGTTGAGCCTCCCTTGACAGTTTCCTTAGACCAAGATGGCTGTTCTCCAAGGGGTGGGAACCAGGAATGATTTTTGTAGGGAAAGGTCCAGAACAAGAGGTAGTAATGCATGGGTACACCCTCCCAAATCACCTTAGAAGGCTAAGCAGGGCTGGAGGAAAGGAGGTCATTGGCAGGAGAAGGGAAAACTACAAAGGGCAAATGTCCCAACTTTCCCACATCTGGCCATGCTCATTCCACATTTTATTTTGTGTTAAAACTATTGGCTCTTGATTCAAATTGCAAGGGTTGAATCCTGGCGCCACTCTTCACTGAGCTCTTTTTGCCTCGTTTCCTTGTTGGTAGAATGGGATTCAAAACCATCCGAATTTTGTAGGATTGATGTGAGAATTAAACAAGAGAGAGCCGAAATGGTGGCTCATGCTGTAATGCCAGCACTTTAGGAAGCTGAGGCAGGAGGATTGCTTCAGGCCGGGAGTTTGAGACCAGCCTGGTCAACATAGTGAGATCCTGTCTCTTTTTTTTTTTAAACAAAAAATAAATAAGAATTAAATAAGAGAACCATGTAAAGGGCTTAGCATTCTAACTGACACATGGTAAGTACTTAATGAACATCAGCTATCATCATCACTATTTTTCATGCAGAGCTAGAGTGGCAGAGCCAGTATTGGTACCCAGCCAACCCAATTCCAGAGACCAGTTTCTTAACCAAAATTCCTATTGTCTTCGGACTTTCTGTGTCCATCTGTCTGGAACGAACTTCCCTTAGATATCCATCTGCACAGCTCTCTTCCCCTCTACATTTAGGCCTCTGCTCAAATATCACTTCCTCTGAATGACACTTCTTGGCTGCCTGATCTAAAACGGTACTCTTTGTGACTCTCTATCCCTTTAATCTGCTTCATTTTTTTTATAGTACTTATAGTTACCTAATACAATATTGAATGTTTATTTGATTTGTCATGGATTGCTTTCTCTACCACTAGAAAGCAAGCTCCATGAAGGCAGGGGCTTGGTTTGGCTCACATGTGTGGCTTTTTTGCTTAGAACGTATTCAATTTTTTGTTGCATAAATGTATATACTGATGAGTAAAACATTCATTGACAGCGGCAACTAACATATGGAACCACTATCAACAGAGAAACCAAATAGGAATAAGATCTAGCTCCTACTCTAAAGAGACTTACACTTTAGCTAGGAAGGGGCTCAGAAAGGTCATTAGAAACCCACCTAACTGTCGTGACAGAGAATGCCAAGGTTGAATGAGGGGCACCAAACCTCTGTGTGCTCCACCCTGAGTCTAATCTGCAGACTTATCCATCAAGTGAGTCTAACAGTCTATTCTTCCCTAATGAAATGTTCTAGAATCAAATATCAAATCAAACAATAGAATTTCAGAAAGCATTTTAAGAGAGTTTAAATGCTCAAGCCTTGCTATCTCTATGAAATCAGACATACTATTCCTTGGGAGGTGACATTCTCCAGAAGACTATGGAAATAGTATTTCTTTGATGTAATCTGCTCCCAAAAGTAAACTAGGGAAGTAGATATTTTACAGTTGCTAAAGATCTTGAGAGATTGAAAAGCAAAATAGGCACTCAGTCTCATTAAGCCCAAACTACTAGACTGTGTCTTCTGGGTGAGTCATTAATCAATACCATTAAGTTATAATTCTTTGCCAAGCTAAGAAAACACGACCCAAACAGTAGTGAGCATTTCCTCCCTCTTACCACTTACCCCTAAATATGAAGAGCGATCTTCTAAAAACTTCAGTCTTCCTGAGATTAGCAGGTCTGCAAAATGTCCACTGGATTTGTCCAGAGAGAAAATGTGCCAAACGTGATGAAGTGAGAGAACACCACTTGATTCTGGCCACTCACACTCAAAGCTTTTTCCACCGCCTGGATAAAGCAGTGCAGAGCTACACAGGATGACAAGACTGAAATAAAACAAATCATTTACAACATGATTTCCTGCTGAGCAGTGTTCTAAGCCATCCCATGGTGGATAGTGCCTAGCTAACACAGAACAGACCCTAGGCTCTTGAACGGAAAGTCCTTTTATATGACAAATAACACTGTGTGTGTACTGATGAGTGGCAACCACAGAAAAATGGTGCGCTATAATGGAAACATCAATGGTTCCAGCAGAGGAAGACTGCACTGTTCTTCATCAGAGAAGCTCACCTTGATCTGGTATGATGGACCTAAGGAATAACTAGCCACTGGGGCAGTCAAATCTACATTCACATAAAAGGCCATAGCAATGCCCAGTGTGACTTATTTAAAGGGCAACACAATTGAACATAAATTATCAAGTGTCTAGAATATGCAACATTATGGGTTAGGGGTTAAAAAAATAAAGATGCACAAGACACATTTCTGCCATGAAGGAGGAGGAAAGTGCTGACTTAAATGTGACCTCATTTAATTTGATCCTTATAGAATCCAGTAGGGTAGACACAAAGTTTTATAAACCCCATTTTACAGATAAGGAAGCTAAGGCTCAAAGTGGTAAGTGATGTGCTCAAGTTTAATTTGAGTGAGCTCTGGAGCTGGAACTCGACCCCAAATCCTGGATTCTTACCGCTATAAAACCTGCATCTGGCTCCATCTTTAGACAACAGAAAAAAGCAAAGCCTTAATTCAAACATATTCCTGAGGTAAATTAGAATTTGCATGACATTTTTAAACTTTTAATCACTTCAGTATGTCATTGCAACACCATTTAGCTTTCTTTCATTAAACCTTGATATGACCACATGACCAAAACAGCCAGATGATGACAGAACAGAAGCTCTGCTCTCACCCACAGAACAATCCAGGACTCAGGGACGGCAGGCTGCATCCAAAGTATTCACAGCTGAGGTAAATCTAAAACCTTTGCTCATTGGGGCATTCCAAGGCTTTTGGGGAAAAACATACCTCGTTCTCAAGTATTGTTTGGCAACTTTTCTTCATCCAGATGATCCTGGTTTGACTGGATCACCAATAATGTTTTTCAGAGAATTGAAAATTTTATGAGCTTTCCCTCAAGATGGGCTCAAGGAATGCTTAACATAAAGGCACAAATATTATGGAGCTGGAGAAATTTAAAAAAGAAAACTGATAAAAAGAGTGATCCGAGTCCCAGGAAGATTAGAGGGTCTTTAAATTCTGATTTTGTTCGGGGTTGAACACTAAACAGAATTCATACATTGACTCTCTACAGTTTACAGTTGGGGCTGTCTTTAACTTCCTTCACCTGGCTTCCTTTCTGTATGCTTTTATTATACTCACAGTTCAAATCTCATTTCCTGACATTGTTTATTATCATCAGGTGTTGTGCCTTTATCATTACAGTCATAGTAGCACTTTTATCTCTACCTCTATTTCTAATGAAACAACCTTTTTACCCTATATTATTGTACTTGTGTATATTTTTATATCACCTCTGAACTTAAAACTTCTTGAAGAGTTATCTGTAATAGAATATTATCTCTGACTAACCAGCATGAAGTCTCAAATTTGACAAGCATCCAGTTTATTGAATACAGAATTAATCTTTCTCTGGTTTCCACTGACCCCTCTATCTTCATCAGAGGACTTCTGTTGGACTTCAGTCCAGTCTGGTCTACAGAAAGTCCCTTTTTATCAGTTCTCTTTTTTTTCTTTCTTCAGCTCCATAATATTTGTGCCTTTATGTTAAGCATTCCTTGAGCCCATCTTGAGGGAAAGCTCATAAAATTTTCAATTCTCTCAAAAATGCTATTGGTGGTCCAGTCAAAACAGGATCATCTGGATAAAGAAAAATTGCCAATCGACATTTGAGGCAGAGGTACCTTTTTGTCCCCAAAGCCTTGGAATGCCCCGATGAGCAAAGGTTTTAGGTTTACCTCAGTCCTGAATCTTTGGATCTACCAGCAAATTAGGGACCCCTGTCAAAACATGCCTTAAAGAGAGAGATGGCAGTTGGGAAAGAGAGCAAATCAGGAAATTCAACATCCTCATTTTATATATGAAAAATGGAAGCCCAAAATAGCAATGTAATTTACCCAAACTCATCCAGCTCTTGGTAAAAGACCCAGGACTAAAACCCAGGTGTCCTGTCTGCCAGTCCTCTGAGGTAACTTTTCTTTCTCCTCACCATCCCAAACTGCCTCTCCTAAAGAAAATAAGTCCTTCTGATATTTTAGTTCTTGTTTTTATTAAATTGGTTTGTGTCCTTGGCTCCTTGTCCTGCCCTCATGCCTGGCCCAGAGTGCTGGGCCACTTGGAACTAGGAGTGTCAGTCCTCATGGCTCCAAGAGGTCACCATCAATAGAGAAGTCACTTGTCTCACGTCTTTGGGCAACACCACCTTCCCTACTTAGACAAAAAGATGACCCTTGCGTTAAATCTGTCAGTCTTGAGCTCTGCTAACTGGCAGAGCTAAGAGATCATACCCAGGCTTATGTTGGTCAGGTAGAAACAAATGTGCCACCTATAAGTTGGGTGACATTATGATCATTCTAGCACCCTTTGATTTGTTAAGAATAAAATAGTTTTGTTGGAATCCTTTGTGGTTATGTTAGTGTCTTATCGACCTCATCTTTTTCTAGTCCCACCTTCTTTTTTTTTTTTTTGCCTTCCTGGTGCCTCGTATTTATTTGTTTTAAGATGTGATTGAGGCCGGGCGTGGTGGCTCACGCCTGTAATCCCAGCACTTTGGGAGGCCAAGGTGGGCGGATCACAAGGTCAGGAGATCGAGACCATCCTGGGTAACATGGTGAAACCCCGTCTCTACTAAATATACAAAAAATTAGCCAGGCATGGTGGCAGGCGCCTGTAGTCCCAGCTATTAGGGAGGCTGAGGGAGGAGAATGGTGTGAACCCAGGAGGCAGAGGTTGCAGTGAGCTGAGATCGCGCCACTGCACTCCAGCCTGGGCGACAGAGTGATACTCAGTCTCAAAAAAAAAAAAAAAAAAAAAAAAAAGATGTGATTGAGGGATATTACTTTAATTTTTTAAGCACCTAAAACACTTTATGTAAAAATAAAGAAATAAATTTATCAAATCCAATTTTTTGGAGCAAGTTGCAATGGAAAAAACCCTAGATATGAAATCAGATTAGAGTTCAAAAACACCCTCTCACCTGCTAACTTTTGCCGATGACTGAACTTCTCTGAGTCTCAGAATGCTCATTTGTAAAATAGAGTTAACAATTCAACAACAGAGAGTAGGCTAGTTGAGTGAGAAGTCATTAAATGAGTCTGGTGTGATGCCTGTCATGGCACATAGGATCCCACTCCACGTTTGCTGAATCTGAACTCAGGATTTTCAGGATCATAAGAGCTTTGTTTACCACAGCTGCCCTCACTACTGCTCTGGTATCTCTTTTCTTGTACCATCAGCACTTTTCATAGTGTGCTACAGAAATGCCCAATTATGGTATCCTATTGTGGTTTTGATTTGCATTTCCCTCATGGCTAATAAGAGCATCTGTTCATGCATTTATTGTGCATGTGTTCTTTGGAGAACTGTCTTTTTATATCCTTTGCCCATTTTATCATTGGGTTTTCCTATTTTCATTGAGTTGTAAGAGTTCTTTACATATTCTAGATTCAAGTCCCTTACCAGTTATATGACTTGCAAATTTTTCTTTCATTCTGCATGTTGCCTTTTCACTTTCTAGGTGATGTCCTTTGAAGCACAAAAGTTTCTCATTATAATGATGTCCAGTCATCAAATCTACTTTTTCCTTTGTTGCTTGTGTTTTTGTTTTCATATCTAAAAACCATTGTCTAATTCGAATTCATAAGTATTTACCACTGCATTTTTTTCTAAGAGCTTACAATTTTCACTCTTATGTTTAGATTTAATGATCCAGCTGGAGTTAATTTCTGTATAGGTTGTGAGGTAGGGATCCAGATTCATTCTTCTACCTGTAGATATGAAGTTGTTCCAGCATCATTTACTGAAAAATACTATTTTTTCCCATTTTGTTATATTTACACTCATGGTAAAAATTAAGTACTTTTTATAGCAACACATCAGGAAGCACATAATGCCAAATTGCCTCCCTTTTTGTATTAAAATTGATTCTATTCAAATGTCAAAAAAATTTAAAAAATCAAATTTAAATGAAATGAAAAGATATCATGGAGCATATTATGATACTGCTTATTACATATGAACATTTTAAAAGCTGAGTAAGGTAAATTTATCCAGGAGAAATATATTAAATATTTGTCCAATTCAGGCAACCTTGCACTTAGGAGGGCAGCAGCAGAACTTTGGACATCATCCAGAGGAAAACATTAAAGAGCATGAATACAAAGCCTTTCAGCATGTACTAGAAAATAAACCCATCCTGAAGTTGAACACGGACAAGGTCCTAGATTTTTTTTCTTTTTTAGAAAGATCAAAATGTCAGTCTGAACAACAATTTTTTTAAACTAAATAAAAGCAGCATTAATGTTTTTAAATACAATTCAAAAACTATTAAAATGAGTAAGTTATCAGGAAGTACATGACCATAATCCATGTATTTTCTATGTTCCTTCTACTTGTACATAGATTTCAGATCACGTGCAGTCCTATTATGAATTCTATTAATTCTTCCTTGCCTTGTGTTGTAAACATTTGCATTGATTTAAGTGGTTGCAGAATAGTTCATCATGCTGCTGGCTGTTTAACTAACTCTCCTCCTAACTCTAGACATTGTTTGGAAGTTGAATTGAATTTTGTGATTAAGTGGTTGTTTTTCATAACTCCTGTAGTTTTAACTTCAAAATTCCTTTGCACTCCCAGTCCCAGTGACCATTTCAGTCATGCAGGGCATAGCAATGATGCATAAAACAGAGACAGACAGGAGATAAGCGATTGAAACTGCTCTTTTTGGGCAGGGAGACAATGAGAAGCAGGGGAAGCACAAAACAAACCAAAAAATCTGGTTTTAATATCTGCTTTCAGTTGTTAGACTAAATGATTATTTGGTTCCCTTCTGTGAATTAATTTCACCAGCCAGTTATTCTAATTCTGTATTCCTTTTGGCCAGATAGATATAGACTAAAAATATGTACAGAAAAGAATTCTGGACTTATTTTAATGTGTGCCTATCAGCATTTGGTTATTTCCTGTCTTGTTGTAAAAAGAATTTAAAGCAGTTCACTTTGGGGAGTTTTCTGAAAAACTTAAGGTCTTTAACAATGCAATTTTTTCTGCTTTCTTTCAGTTCCTAGAGCATTTCTGTCAGTTATAGAAGTTAATTATATTTCCTAGAATCTTATCTCATATTATAGGTATATACTATTTTAATTCCTATTTGCTCTGCTCTCTATAGAAATCAGTTTGACATGAACAGTTTCATATCAGCATTGAGGGATTATTACAAATGGGCTCACATGTGTCTTTGTTTTATCTCTTGTGTAATTACAACTTGGATGGAGCATTATTTGTTCAACCTTCTAAGGTCACAGACCAGTCTTTTCTGGTTTACAACTGTACTAATCAGCTAAGAAACAATGGGTCAAGCTATGAAAAAGCTAAACGTTGAAGATTGTTGAATGCAGGGCTTTACAGTAACATGCAACTACCTGGCCTTTGGAACACCAACTGTATAGGATTGGGAATAATACTGGAAATGTCCCTTTGTTCACTGCAATGTGAAATAATTCCATCTCAGTGTTTGCTCAGTAACCACATGCATTTTTGTTTTTGCCTTTTTGTCTCTTCATTTTAATATTTACTATGTGTAAAACTTCTGTATTCTGCACTGTGGCAGGGAGGTGTTCTGCAGACGGGAGGAAAAGGATGTAATTCCTAGCTAATATAAATCTTCACACTTGCATGGAACTTTAGAACTGACAAACTGTTTTTCCACATGAGTGAACTTCTCTGAGTCTCAGAATGCTCAACCTAATGAGGGAGATAGGACAGGAATGAGTATGCCGTTTTACAGGAATGAAACTGAGACTCAGAGATATTGTGATGTATCCAAATCCATCAGACCTAGAAAAGTGAAAGACCCGGATGGTCACATCCCTAATCCAACCTGCTTATCACCATTCATGGCTATAATGAAAATTTTTCACTAAGTAATTTCTCCCTTTGAAGATTTTCTGTAATTCTTAGTTGCACACTAGTTTTACAACAATCCAAGTCAAGGAGAAATCTGTGTGTTAAAGGACTTTTTTCTTTGATGTGCCTTTACTCTCCGTGGAATGCACCCAACAGTGAGTTTTCCCCTGCACTGAATAGCTCCTTTTATTTAGTGAGATGGTACCTCATAGAGAGGGAGACTTCTCAAAGCACCTAACAGATTGGGGCTTCCTAAACCACATCTTGAGGGACAAGAAACACTGCCCTCCCTGGCTGGTGGTAAAGCTTCAACAAGCCCAGGTGGCTTTTCTCTTGGGCTCCCATATTTCCGCTCTTTACTCTGCCAAAGTCCACATTCCTTTCCCTGTCACCACACACAGTTTGACCCCAGGCCAGGGTGGCAGCTTCCTCGGTCCCTTTGAGGCCACAGCCAGTGCTGCTCTGTAGACTTATTGGCAGTGGGCATCTGGGGACAGCTGCTGCCCAAGCCCTCCTGCAGCAGCCCATGCACCTTGCCTCACAATTGGCCTTGTGTTCTCCCAGGCTCCTGGGAGGAAGACCCATCCTGCTCAGCCCAGGCCTCCCACCAAGTGTGTTACTTGGGGCCCTCCACCAAAACAGGATGGCGGTTGAGTGTTGAGATTACCTGACCACTATTACCTCTTCCTTGTCTCCCAACAGCTTAATTCAGCCAAAGGTGTCAGGACCTCATCCCTGAGAGATTTGGGTTGTTGTTTTGTTTTCTTTTGTTTCCCAGAACAGGAAAAACATGAATATTTTCTTTTTTTTTTCCTGTGCTTCTTTGAAAAGACATGAGGGGTGAGCCCCGTGTGAAAAGATATTTTTGCATCTAGTTTGGGGGGAAAAAAGCCTTTCCCCAAATGTCTGAGAACCTTTTCATTATAAAATCCTGTGATGAAACACTAACGAGGAAGAAGGATGCCATCAGCAGCAGGGCCAGAGTACAACAGCACCGTCTACTGGACAAAGGCTGAGTTCATTGATGGTGTTCCATGCAATGGCCATGAAGAAAATATGGCTAACACTCTGGGGCTAGGGTGCAGGGAGAAAAGCATGAAAGAGGACCTGGACTTTTCTAAATGCAGTAAATCTGTGAGAGGCAACTGCTTTGTGGGACTGTTCACAAAACAAATTCCAGGCCTTGAGAGTTGCTCTTTAAAAAAATTTCTAAAAATTTATCCCCTATACACCCATGCAACCCCCATCCATCTACTGTCATTTTTATGAGGCTGCCCCCACCATCAACACTTATTAAACACCCTCTCACCTTGACACCCACACATTCATTCCTTTATTCATTCATTCAGCGCCAGGCCCTGCGCTAGGCATTCAAGGTGTAATAAGAAGTAAGCCCTAGCATCCTTGAGCCATTCTGTAGGCATCCAGGACTGGGCCTAGGCAGGAATTCCTGTTCCAAGTCTTTCTTTATCAACTTCCTTTCAGTTTTGTTCTTACTTTCAGTTCCCCTCTGAGCCCTGCTCTCTGCTAAGAGATAAGTGGGATATTGGGGTATCCATGTAAATTAGCCAAGCTCCTATATTAACCAGGTAAAATGTTTCTTATCCCATGTAAATTCAAACTCTTAAATCCTTAAGATGGCTATTCAAGGATGATCCTAATGTTAAGATCTTTAGCCAATTTGACAGATACATGGAGGTCAAAGAGGAATGGGGTGTTGATGTATGTCCCTTAATCAGTCATTATAGTTGGTAGCTGCCTTTTTAATACATACAAATGGCCAGCTCTGGCCAACAGGTTAAAACACAATGAAAGCTTGAATTTTCTTAGGCATAATTATTTGGTATGAATGTATCTTTTTTATTTTCCATCATTAATGAATTTTTAAAATGTATAGCCAAGCCTTTAAAATCAAGTAGGCCACAGTAATATCACCAGGAAGAGAAAATAAATAATATTATTAAGGAACCAAGAGACCTCTCTGTAGCTGTTGGGAAAATTAAGGAAAGTAGAAACTGAGCCCTATGTATTCATTATTAGAACAAACATTCTCCTCAGTGGAGATTATCGTCAGGATGACAGGTGATCACTAGTGGCCCAGGGCTTTCTAACAGTCCAATGAGGCAAAGCCCAAAGTACAGTCACAAACTCAAGGGACTGAAAAAGCTTTTGGAATCCCCTCATTCATCTCTCTTTTTTAAGCAAAGCCAAACCAACCCACACCAATTATACCAATCTCATCGTTTAAAATTGTCTAGGGAAATGAGTTTATATATTTTGTTGTAGTCCCATCCTAGTAGTTAAAATGTACACATCATCAAAAAGTTTTTTCTAATGCTAATTTAAAGCCCCAGATTAAACTTAAACCTGTATCCCAGGAGGTGGAGAAGGGGAGAGGAGGTGGAGTAAGGAGAGAGAGCAATAATTAATCAATTTCTTCCTTATAATAGCATGTGTTTTCTTGAAGCCCAAGTCTAATTCTATTTATAAATATTTCTTTCCCATTATAAGCAATTCCAGATTGATAGGTTGTTTCAAGTGAGCCATAGTCTCTTCAGTTTTTCATTAAATGTGTTAATAACTCACAGTGCATGTATCTACAGTCACAAAGCAACTTCTTGGGCTTTATCTGTTGTCTTTTACATGTATTCAGTAGAGAATGATGGGTGGTTTGAATATTTGTGGGTAGCTATTCGTGAATATGTTTACTGACTTCCATCATTAAAAGAGTCACAAGTTTCAAGTTAAACTGGAAGTCCTTGGTTTATATTTCCAATTTCTGCAAAGCATATAAAATTTTGAGGTAATGACAGCAGTGTTTCTAGAAATAAGAAACAGTCACCCACGTATCTCAAACAGTGTTTATTACATAGAACAGTTTCTGCTGAAACTACCCCTACCATATTTCATAGAATTCGTTTTCCTCCTTGCCTGGAGTGTCTGTGTCCCAGAATCTGGAATAGCAACTGTATCATCCATGCTGACTCCTGCCTGCAACCTTAACTTTTTAGAGATCAAACTGGCCCGTTGTCTGTGCTGTCACCACAAGTGACAGACCAGCCTTGTGCAGTGCTGTACATCAATTTTCAGTACAAAAATAATAGTACTTCTTCCTTAGCTGCTTGAGTAAAATCAAAGTGAGGGTCTTAAACAACTTAATTTCATCCTTCAGGGGCAAGTCATTCTTGAGCCTACTGTAACTGAAGAGGGATAGGTTGTGGTGTAATTGTTTCCTGCTTAACCATTTTACTGCTATACATCAATTTTACTCTACTTTTGTCTGTATCCAATCATATTTTCAAATATAAGTCATGTGAATATTTAAAGCCCCCTAAAAATGGGACAGAGGAAATTATTCCCAATGAACAAGGATAAGGGATCTGTATTCCTTGAATTTTAAAATAGTCGTGAATCTTAGAAACCCACTATTCCAGCTGGGAATCCAATTACGTGGCTGTCTAAACATTTTTCTTCAAGGAGTCTTTCTAGTCAATAACTATTCTTTCAGAGCATTCAGTTTGGGCCTTTACCAACAAAGACCAAGCATTTTAAAGTCAATAAACAAGGATTTATAATAGGCAGTGCCATTCTGATTTCTAGTAGAACCCAAAACCCTCTCTGTATTTCCATGCCAGATAACACATTTTACTAATATAGATTGTACCAACCTTTCTGATGGCCAATATTAAAAATTAAAATGTGTGTATAATTTGACTAAGGTGTTCACTTTAAGGAATATCATCAATAGAAATTATTGGATGCATACACTAAAATATTTGCACATAGATGTTCATCACATTGTTGTTTATAAAAGTGAATCTTGGCTGGGTGCTGTGGCTCACGCCTGTAACCCCAGCACTCTGGGAGCCCAAGGCGGGCAGATCACAAGGTCAAGAGATTGAGACCATCCTAGCCAACATTGTGAAATCCTGTCTCTACTAACAATACAAAAAAAAAAAAAAATTAGCTGGGTGTAGTGGTACACACCTGTAGTCCCAGCTACTCTGGAGACTGAGGCAGGAGAATCGCTTGAACCTGGGAGGCAGAGGTTGCAGTGAGCTGAGATTGCGCCACTGCACTCCAGCCTAGTGACAGAGTGAGACTCCGTCTCAAAAAAAAAATTATAAAATCTATTTTTCTCTATGAATAATAATAATGTGTGTATTTTCACTATCTATATAGTTACACAAGCTATGAAGCCATTTTTTCAAATGTATGAGCCATTTTTTAACGGTTTTTTTTTTAGTAAAGTGAAAGCAAGTTTATTAAGGAGGTAAAGGAATAAATGAATGGCTACTCAATAGGCAAAGCAGCTCAAAAATGGTTTTCTATTACGGTAAAGAGAGTATATGCATAGAGAAAGCTTCAAAGAAATATGTCAAAATGTTAACAGCAGTTATTTGTGGCTAGGACTACAGGTGAATTTATCCTTCTACTTTATATGTTGTGTGTTTTTTTTTTTAATTTTGTTTTGTTTTGTTTTGTTTTTTTCAGACAGAGTCTCGCTCTGTCACCCAGGCTGGAGTACAGTGGCATGATCTCGACTCATTGCAACCTCTGTCCCCTGGGTTCAAGCAATTCTCCTGCCTCAGCCTCTCTAGTAGCTAGGATTACAGGCGTGCACTACCATGCCCTGCTGATTTTTGTATTTTTAGTAGAGACGGGGTTTTGCCATGTTGTCCAGGCTGGTCTCCAACTCCTGACCTCAAGTGATCTGCATGCCTCAGCCTCCCAAAGTGTTCAGATTACAGGCCTGAGCCACCGTGCCAGGCCTACTTTACATGTTATATCATTTTTTCTGTAAGCAGGTATATCTTTCATAGTTTTAAAGGGCTGTGTTTGGCCAGGCACTGAGGCTCACGTCTGTAATCCCAGAACTTTGGGAGGCCAAGATGGGTGGATCACTTGAGGCCAGGAGTTCGAGACCAGCCTGACTAACATGGTGAAACCCTGTCTCTACTAAAAATACAAAAATTAGCCATATATGGTGGCACATACCTATAATCCCAGCTACTCAGGAGGCTGAGATATGAGAATTGCTTGGACCCAGGAGTTGGAGATTGCAGTGAGCCAAGATCATGCCACTGCACTCCAGCCTGGGTGACAGAGTGAGACTCTGTCTCAAAACTAAATAAAAAATTTAATTAATTAATTAATTAATTAATTAAAGGGCTGTTTTTACTTGGAGGAAAAAGTAGCTCATAAATACCGAAAATATTTTGTTTTATCAGGGTTTTGTTTTCCTCAAAGGAAACTACTCATGTGAGGAAAAAATTCTATGCACAAAATATAAATTTCATATATCAAGAATGATTAAGAAATGGAGTATTATAGCTAACTAAGAGTAACTATACCGACTCTATGTAGGTATAAGGCAAGGTCACATCAAAAGGAACACTACAAAGTGGCTTTCATCCAAACTTTTAAGACCTTCTATTTTTACTGACTGGACCAAAACCAAAAATAGGCGTCTCTCAATCCAGCACAGTAGTCACTAACCTTCATTGCTTGGCTGTAAACATACGGAATTCCTCCACCCTCTTCTCACCCACAGACTCTCTTATATACAAAAACGACTTCAAGGACTAACCAGTGGTATTTATGCTGGGTTTTACAAAGTTGCTGACCAGACTTGTCAGCATAGGAAAGAGGGGCTGAGATCCCTCTCCTCTGGCTTTTTCATCCTAGAATGATACATAACATTTCTTTTGGAAGAAGGGTTGTATGGCAGCAAAAGCAAAGCTATGAGACACACCCTTCTTTTGCAAATAGGAAAAGTGATGCCTAGAGACTAAATTACTTATTCACCAGGATGGAAATGCCAGGATCAGAATGTAGTTTCATGACACTTGCTCTGTTAGTTGCTGTTTACCCAGCACCATCCTGGATTCTCACAAGAAAGAACCCCTTTAGGACAAACAAAAGATCAGACCCAACGAAAGATGAATGTCCTTGTGCCCAGTCTGAGCTATTCGTTTGCTGGCTGAAGAATAAGTGTAAGTGTGTTTTGTCTTCTTAAGGTTCTTATGGAAGGTAGCAAACCAACATATAAAAGTCTTTAAAATAGCTAATGCAAGACCTCTGAACAGCCATTGTGTTAAATGTCACAAGAGATTTTCATCTTAGTATTTAGTGGCTGGCAGGAGATGACTCAGTGTCATGGAATTTAATTTTAAATTGTTTTTAAATAAATTTACGGGGTCCAATAGCAAGTAACTTTGGAAGGTGACAAGGTGGCTTTGGAGATTTGAGAGTTTTTGAAGCCATATATCAAAGGTTGCCTTTGACAGTTATGGGGATTTACTTTGTTCCCTACTCCAATTGTTTCCAAAAGCTCTCAACCATGCTTCCCTGTGCAGGAAAACTAAATTTGGAAGTCTTGCCATCTTTGCCTGCCTGGGACCTCAAAGTATCGAGCCCTGTATGCCTAGAAACTGCTCAAACATTCCTTTCTGGGGGCTGTCATTAAATCCCTGTTTTCTGGATGGAGATACTGAGGGTACAACTATTGGTCAAGGTCACCCAGTAAGTCAGTGGCAAAGCTGGGAATACAACCCAGACTTTCTGACTCCCTTGCCCATCCCCTGACCATCAAACCACATGCTCTTGACCAGGATGAAACAGACTTGTCTGTCTCAGCATTTAGAGTGAGCCGAGTAAAAGAAACTGCAATTTATCCATTTCCATTTCAAACTTTCATGTGTCTCTTATTTCATCAGCTAATAGGCACATCACTCCAGGTCATTCTTCACTCTAAAAAACTTATTTTTTACTAATTTGTCAAAGAAATGCTATCTTAATTTGGAAGAGCATGAGAAACCACTTTTTTTCCCCCGTCATATCACATTGTGTAACACTGGCAGTGTGGCCACTCCAAAAACCCGCAGAAGCTGCTTCCTTTGGTCTGCCGATGGCTGGTTCTTCTGCCAGCTCCTCCATGTGGCCTTCCTTGTATGGGGGTCGGGCGTCCCATGGTTCCTGGCAAAGGAACATCCCATGGACAAGCCAGGGCCTTGACGTGGCTGTTCCTTCTCCTGCTCTTTTGAATGCTCCTTGACCACAAGAGAACTCGATTCTCCTGCCAGCTGTACCCCATATGCCACTTGAAATGTAGTCAGTGGTGACTGTCCAACAGGGCGCCAGCCAGAGTCCAGAGCAACTTTACTAGGGATGAGGGAAAGGCAGTACAACCAGGTCGTGCCAGTGAGAACCATCTCCTGCCAACAACCACAAGGGGAGAGAAGGGTTTTTAATGCCCATGGGTAAACTGTCCCACTTTTTCTCATAGCCTATAAAGATGTTTCTCCCAGCGTTTTATACCTGTCATGTTTGATCATAAATATGTCTTCCTCAAAATGAGCTAACTTGTTTACCCAAAAGGCCTGACTCTATTTTGGGGACAGCTTTCCAAACTCTGGGTTAGGGTGTTTGACCAACTGGTTCCATCCCCTCTCCTGCTGCTGGCAGTTAGTCCTTGTGTTCTGCAATGACTTTGCTCCCTGAAGCTGTCAGTAGAAGCAGGGAGCAGCAGAGATATGAAATCCAGGAAGGAGAGAGATGTGTTGTTATTGTGCTAACGAGGCTCCTCCCGTGAGTTTATTAAATCTGCTCAGTCCAGGCCAAGCATGCCTTGGTCAGAAGAGATTCCCCAAAGTCACCTCTAATTTTAGTACTGCCTCACCAAGAAGTGCGGCCCTGCCCTCACTACCCCAGACACCTGTCCTCTCCCTGTGAGAGGCTCTCAGGGCTAAGTGCATCCCCAGTGACACATAGGGTGGCCCCCAAAATCATTGTTCTAGTACTTAAAATTACAGACAGTTAAAAGGCGGTTCCTGCTTGTCTTTCCCATCACACGTGGCTCCAAATGCATCATGTTATTCCATCCTTCAGCTCTTTCAGCCTGCGCAAGCCATCAAGTGCTATGTTCTCATGAGAAGAAATACGTTTCCCTAATGTGACAGCACTGGATGTACTCCAGGGAGAGTGACAGCTTAATTTTGTTTATTATTCACTCTGAGTTCTAAAGAAGTAAACTTCATTAACTTTTCCAATAAAATACAAAGACTCTATTATTTGCCGTATCCATAAAATTAAACAAGAAAAAAATACTTTGACGTTTCCAAGAAAGCAGGTTCTTTTTTTTTGTTTGTTTCTGTTGCTCTACCCAGATGATCTAGAGGGTGATATGCTTCTGTTGGCCTCTGACCTGTGATAGAAATGCCCAGGTCGGCAGCTCCATGCAATACTCAGCATCAACCTGTTTGCCCATCCATGTATATTTAATGGTCTTCCTGGCATCTTGACTATCAGGACAGAGATGTAACAGCCCTGACTAACATTTTATAGACATGTATTTTCATTTGCAGAGTAATAGAACTATGAAGATAGATGTCTCATTCCAAGTAGTCTCTCAACCAGAAAATAAGAGATCTAAAAATATAATGTGTCCCACAGCAGCCCTGACTTCAGTCACAGATGGGGCTGGAGAGATTGAAGCTCCATGAGTAAGTGCATCACAGTGAGGATGAATCAGCCTGGCCTATCACCTTTCAAATCTGGTAGAAGAACTTACAGACCCAGTTTATACTTGTGTCTTCCTGATTATCTAGATACATGGTGGAAATCTGCTCTTAGGATGAAAGATCATAAGGAAATGTACCTGGAAAAATAATAATTAGAAAACTACTTTCAGTTTTAAAAATAGCTAGAAACTCATATCGAACCCCCAAATTCAATATTGAAGCAGATTGCCTTATTTTTATAACTTATTTTGCCAAAAAACAAGTGATCGTGTGTATGATTGTTTCGGCAAGCACAAGTTCCAGCCTCTAACTGCTCTCAGAAATTAAACAGCTTTCAAAAAGAATAGCGGGCAAGACAATCCAAGAAAGGGGTGTTAAGGCCTTTTGAATTCATTAAAATTTATTTCAAGAATGATAAATCTTCAATGTATGTTAAATTGTATGTTAAACAGTCATCTTTTCTGCTTTGAGAGCAGCATTTGAAGATCTAAAAGTAAACAATGATGTGAAAGTTTCCTTCACAGGGCTTTCTTGTTCTCTTTCCCTCCTAATAAAATGGTGTTTATGGCTTAACATACACAGTAGGAAAGGAAGAACGTAAGTAGGAAAGCAAAAAGAAAATCTACAGACTCCAGGAATAGAACTGTATTTGGAGGTTGAGCTTTAAAAAACGGAAAACTTTGTTTTTCACTTAATTTTAAAATTCTGATAAAATATGTATAACATAGTATTCATCATTTAGGCCATTCTTAAGTGTGCAATTTAGTACCATTAAATGCATTCATAATGTTATATAACCATCACCACTATCTATACCCAAAACCTTTTCATCATCCCTAACAAAACCTCTGTACTCATTATACAATAAACTCCCCATTCCTTCCTTCATGCAGACCCTAACATGTATTCAACTTTCTTTCTCTATGAATTTCACTTTTCTAGGTACCACATATAAATTGAAATCATACAATATTCATCCTTCTGTATCTGATTTATTTCTCTAAGCATAGTATTTTCAAGGTCCATCCGTGTTTTAGCGTATATCAAAATTTCATTCCTAAAAAAGGAAAACTTTTATTTGTAAAGAATAAAAATTTTGATCTGTTTTTTTCTTATTTATAGCCCTTGTTGTCTGGAGTTTGTTATATCTCCATAGAGGGAAGCAGAGGTCTCTTTGGTCTTACCTGGCTTTTGTTAACTGACGATGGTCTTCTGAGTACGTGGAAGTCTTTCTCTATTGCCTGAGAAGCCCAAAGAGGTTCTGGGTTTTGTTTTTATTTTTCTTTCAGATCTTCTGGTATTGTGAACTGACAAACTCCTGTCATAAAACCAAAGGACTGAAAATCTTACATTGAAGCACTTATGGTTAACCCCAAAAGCATTCTTTGTTTTTGGTCCCCCTTCACCTACATATTTGTTGTAATTTTCCCTCAGTTAAATTGGGGAGAGGTACAATGTACAGGCAATGGGCATTTAGCACAACCTATGCTCACAACTCCTGCCTTTTCAATCACATTTTTGTCCAGTATTTCTCAACCTCATGGGGCCAAATGCCACCTTTTACAACAAATATTTTATTAAGCTCCATTTATTTATTCTTAAATGAAATTCACAGACAATATAACCTATAGACACCTATTAATTTTTAAGCCAAAATGATGCTTTAAGCATAAAATAAATGTTAAAAAAAGAAAATAATTTTTAGTAAAATAATATGTATTTCAATATGTAAATGCTTAGAAATAACTACATTGGAAGACATAATGAAGCAGTCAAAAGCTGGCTGTAGATGACAAATTGCTTTTGAATTCAGCAACTACAAATACAAACCAAGATTTATGTGCTGTTTAGACAATTAAAGCCCTTGAACAATTGTCTAACAGTTATGCAAATTTCCAAAACAATGAACAACTTACTTTAAAAAAAGAAAAGTTCTGAACAAAGTACAAAGTTTTATTCCTAGAAAATTTAGGGTGTATTAAAACTGTGTAATAAATACATTGTGTTTGCATGTAAAATGGAGTTAGGCTTTGAGTTTGAATAATTATACACGAGGTTTTCTGAATTCACAACTGCCCAGTTGGACATACAAAAGTCACATGGGACACAGAACAATTCTTCATGGCAAAGGACTATCTCAAACATGCATAATGTTGACCTCCCTGACACTTGCCCAGTAAATGTTAATGTTAGCCCCCAATTAGAGTAATAATCAAAAAATAAACTCACAAATTTAAAAAAATGAACAGAGGGGGATATTTAACTAGCCCAGTCTCTTTAAAGGTGGGAAGCCAGCAGATAATTCCAAGTGCCTCTAAGAACTCCAAAGTGTTTTGATGCACACTGTTTCCAGGGTGGATTCTGAAGAGACAGAGGCCCAGAGACTCTAACATGGAGGCTCCTCTGATGGTCGCAGTTTTTTGGGTGATTTTCTTGTATTCTTGCCCAGACTGTGTAACTGAGATCTTATTCTCTGCTTCCTCTTGAGACACTTCATGCACCACCTATGTCAAGCTCCCTAAATATAGGAAAGTACATGAACAATTTGACTATGGTATGGTGGAAGCTCATGGTCTAAACATTCAAATTACGTCATTAAAGCTGCAAAAAAGGATTAAGCTCTTTCTTCCATTTCGTTTTTCCCTTCTAAGTTCACCCTTAATTGCAGCCTCCTGACCAAAGCTGCAAGTCTGAGCATAGCTCCCAAACTATAAAAAATCCAATAATTTCTTTCTATCTGTGTCTCCAATCCCACCTCCAGCCTGGTTCCATGCCCATACTGCTCTTCTTGAAATTTGCCTAAACCAAACCTACTGGCTTCCTGCATCCTGTGCTGTAGTCACCTGGAATTGAGTTCTTCACTCTCTGAGAGTGCAGCTTCTCAATCACTCCTCGTAAGAGTCCAATCTCACCAAATTTCAAAAATATGTTCTAAAAGAGCAGATTCCTTATATGCCTCCATAGGGTCTAAATTTTTTCTCCAGCCCCCCTCACTTAAGTTATCTTCTAAGATCTTCAAGACAACCCTGTAAAGTAGATCAAGGAGTTGACATTTTATCAATGAGGTCATTGAGATACAGAGAGATTTATTAATTTGCAAAAGTTACAGTTAGGGTCAGACGTGATGGCTCACACCTGTAATACCAGCACTTTAGGAGGCCAAGGTGGGAGGACTGATTGAGGCCAGAATTTGGAGACCAGCCTGGGCAAAAAGTGAGACCCCATGTGTATTAGTCCATTATAGTCCCACATTGCTACAGAGAACTACCTGAGACCAGGTAGTTTATAAAGAAATTAAGTTTAATTGGCCCACGGCTCCACAGGTTGTATAGGAAGCATGGCTTGGGGAGGACTCAGGAAATTTACAATCATGGCAGAAAATGAAGGGGAAGGGAAGCATATCTTCACATGGCCAGCAGGAGAGAGAGAGCAAAGGGGGAAGTGCTATGCACTTTTAAACAACAAGATTTCATGAGAACTCACTGTCACGAGAACAGCAAAAGGGAAATCTGCCCCCATGATCCTATCACCTCCCACCAGGTCCCTCACCCAATACTGAGGATTGCAATTCAACATGAGATTTGGGTGGGGACACAGAACCAAACAATATCATCGTCTTTACCAAAACAAAACAAAGTTACACAGCTAATGAGTTGCACAACTAGGAAAATAACGGGTTTTCTGTTTGCTTATTTGTTTTTATTTTAATTTTTTTTACTCTTAATTCAGTAGGTTTTTCAGTCATCCATTTACTAGCTCTATTAAAATAAAAATCTCTTTGGTGAACTAATTTATATTTACCATTTCCACAGTCGACTGAGATTTAGCAAGTCTCTCAGAAAGCCTTCCTGCTTTTGTTTTTGTTTTTTTTTTGGCAATACAGTTGGAAAGTCCTTCATTTTCTGATCTATCATCATATCCCCAGAAGTGTCTCTGCTCCCCACATGGTTAAAAGTACCCTTCCTTTGACCTTTTCTAGCATTGTTGTTTTTTCTGGATATAGAGAAACCAGAGTTGCTACACTAAGAGATATGTATGTCCTACATTTGAGCACATAAGTACCATAACATTTTCCCTTTTATTTCTGAAGCATATCAGAGGCAAAAGAGCACTTTGGACTTGAGACCCCTTCCCCTGCTCTGAAATCTCACCAAATTTCAAGGCTTAGCTTGAATGCAGCCTCCTCCATTGTATTAGTTGATGTTCTCCAGAAAAACAGAACCAATAGGACATTATACACACACACACACACACACACACACACACACACACACACACACACACATAAATTTATTATGAGAAATCTGCCCATGTGGTTATGGAGTCAGAAGTCCCATGATCTGCCATCTGAAAGCTGAAGACTCGTGAAAGCAAGTGGTATAATGCCAGTCTGAGTCTGAAGCCCTGGGAAATAATGGCATAAGTTCTAGTCAAAGTCCAAAGTCCTAAAAACTAGAGGGGCAATGGTATAAGTTCCAGTCCAAGTCCAAAGGCCTGAGAACCAGGAGGGCAGGTGATGTAAGTCCCAGTCCAAAGACAGGAAAAGACTGATGCTACTGTCCCAGCTCATGCAGTCAGGTGCAGAGAGAGAGAATTATTCTTTCCTCTATATTTTTGCTCTACTCAGGCCTTCAACTGAAAATTATAGTTAATTGCTCACAAATGTTTGCTTTATATTCATTCTTGTTTATTTATTTACTTTTAGGTTTTATCTTTTTTTATTTTTTGAAACAGTTGCATTGAATGATATTTATTTATGTTGGGAAAGGCAATCTTCCTTAATCAAATTTATTTATTTATTTAAATGTTCATCTCTTCCAGAAACATCCTCATAGACACACCCAGAAATGATGTTTAACCAGATATCTGTGCATCAGGTGGCCCACTCAAATGGACACATATAACTAAACATAGCATCTATAAAGCCTTCTTTGAACCTCTAACATAATTCCTTTATTTTACCATAGCACATTTTCTAAAATCTGTTTAGCACTTATTTAATTATGTAGGATATTATAGTTAATTGCTCACAAATGTTTGCTTTACATTCATTCTCATTTATTTTTATTTTTTATCTTTTTAAATTTTTTTGAGACAGGGTCTTGCTCTGTCATCACCCAGACCGGAGTGCAGTGGCTCAATCATGGCTCACCGATGCCTCAAACTCCTGGGCTTACACAATCCTCCTGCCTCAGCCTCCTGAGTAGCTGGGACTATAAGCATGTACCATCATACCCAGATTTTTTTTTTATTTTTATACAGACAGGGTCTCACTATGTTGCCCAGGCTGGTCTCGAACTCCTGGGCTCAAGCAATCCTCCTGCCTCAGCCTTCTAAAGTGCTGGGATTACAGGTATGAGCCACCACTCCCAGCATTCATTCTTATTTATACGTAACACTAAGTTTCACTCATTTCTTTGCCCACAAGTGTTCCTGTATCCCATTTCTTATTACTGAATTTATTTTTCTTCTTTCTGGAGTAAACTCTCTGTGAGAAGGTCTGGGTATGGTAAATTTTTTAAGTCTTATGTGTTTCCATTAGAAAACTTTTGGTTGCAAGTAACAGAGAAATCCATACTCAAATGTTTTTTAAAAGGCAGCTCCATGCACAAAGGTATCACGTAAAGGAGAGGTCCTTTTCATCATCCCACCCTGCCATCCTCCACTTTTCTATTCTGTTCTGAGGTTAAGTCCTCTCTTGGCAATGGATGTCACAGTCCCAGGAATCACAGTCAGTCATGACAATGTCCAGTGGAAGCAGACTCTGCTTCTTCCTCTCTTGATCTCTTTAAAGAAAAGGAGACCTTTCACATAAGCCTCTGGGCAGACTTCTCACATCTATTTGGTCAGGACTAAGTGAACCAGCCCTTTCTATAACCACTTACTGTCAAAAGGAATGGGATTACTACAATTAGAGTAGCCTAACTAAGATTTACCCTTTATTGGGCCAGAAGGTGGGACAAATGACACTATCAATTTGGGATATGGATTATGCATGGTTGGTTGGAGAGCACTTGTGCAAAAGGCTCTCCAGAATGCCCTTAGTCTCTACAGAGAGTTGTGCTTGAAACAGACAAAGCAGGCTGCAGCATGGATAGTGCCCTGGGACAGAGAGCTTGTGCTTGTACTGCGTTTGCATTTATGGGGAAGCTAGGGCAGAACGGAAATACTTAACCAGTCCTGTAGCAATAGGAGTTTCCCATCAGGGCAATGGCCTTGCTGGTGAGAATATGTGGAACTTGGACAGCAGCCATCTAGGGGAAGTTTGCTTTCCAGTTCTGGTGTCCCAAAAGACAAAGTTCCAAACAGCATACTCCCAAATGTTGAAATCCCAAAAGATCAAAATCTCTGAAGTCCAAACTTCCTAATATCTTAAATCCAAGAAATCACTATCACAGAATGGTTGTCTCATGAAGGGCTAGCTCTTATGGACTGTCCAATTCCCCAAAATCTATCCTTGAAATGTGTTTTTTCCGTAAGTCATATTTTCTCCTTAGTTTTTTTCTTTTTCTTTATTTTAGTTTTTTTCACTATTTTAAATTGTCAACACTGCTTTTTACAATTTCTAATGCTCTGTATTTAATCTTCACATTATTTCCAATATTGGAACTAAGAATTATGTAGAAACTTATAGAGAATTCTAATGTTTTATGCAATTTTTTTTTTGCAAATTTGACTTCATGGAAGTGTATTATCACAATGTTGACTTTGTGTGTAAACACTGTGTGTATATGTGAAAATGTTAAAACTTCCTCAATAAATGAAGCACTATTCTTTTTGTAAATCTTCAGTGAAAGAGAAAATTTCTCAAGATCTCAGCTCTTTGGATGACTGTATAACCAGTGGTGACACATCATGATTTATGATCAATCTCATCAAAACACTTAGGTTGTTCATCAAGGTATTTCAGATGACTGCAGTTATAAAAGTGGGTGTACACAACTAGCACTATAGTGATATGTGTTTAGACATTTTCCTTTTTGACCTATTTATGAATATAGTTTATCTGCTCATAACTGTTATACCCATGCAACTGTCATTGGTATATACCTGAGTGTTTATGCTTGCAAAATTATGTATGTTATTATTACCCATTTTACTGGGTAAAGTGGCCTAGGAAGTGTTCTGACATGTTTTTACATGTTTCTCAAAAAAATCCCATTTTAAGAATGTAAATAAATATCTTTTTAATTTTTTTTTAAATTTTTTCCAGAATTATAGTTTGGGGATGTTTATTTTTCAGAATTTCAACATTCAAGGTTTTGGTGTTCAGGATTGTGTCTTTTAGATTAAAATCAACACCCACCTCATAGGTGTCCCTGGTGAGCCAGCCTGTTTGCTAGGATGCCTAAGGAAGTAGGGGCCAAGTCATGGGATGTGTGACTGAGTTTGTCTCGCCTCATCCCTGAATCACATGTACACCTCTATCAAAGAGGACTCTACCAGCAGCAGAGAATACTTGTTTGACTGGACTATGGGGTGTAGTCTATACCATAAATTCTTGAAACCCTCACCACCTATGGCCAAATCTTTATTCTAAACTCAAAAGTTATTTTCCTTCAATATTGAAGATTTTGCTTGATTATCTTTTTTCATCCATTATTGCAGATGAAAAATCTGTGGATTTTCAGTTTAATTATCTAGAGTAGCTTTTTAATTTTCTCTTTTCTTGAATGAGCCAAAATGTCATACATTTGTGTGCATTTGTGAAGTTGTTTCATTCTGTTTGGCACATAGTGTTAACTTTCAATCTGAGAGCTCATTTCATTCTTCAGGTGTTATTTCTTTTATTTATTTAAGGATCTGCTTCATTATCTCTATTTTATTCCTCCAGACCCACCTTAGGTAACCACATATCATTAAAGAGACTTCAAAACATGCAGACATTTCATTCAGGTTTCTTAATTTATCTTGTATATTTATCATCTATTTATTCCTTTGTGCTCTATTCTATAACAATAGAATACTTGGCCCCAATTTCTAACTCACTACACTTAGCTCTTTAGTTTTGACCTTTCTACTGCTCAGCCTAATATTGTTTTTTTTTACTTTATTATTGAAATATAACATAAGTACAGAAAAGTGTATGAACCCAAACTATACAGGTGAGTAAAGAATCACAAGTGAGCCTGTATGGTGTCTCACATCTGTAATCGCAGCACTTTGGGAGGCCAAGGTGAGAGGATAACTTGAGTCCAAGAGTTTGAGACTGGCCTGGGCAACATAGCAAGACTCCATTCCAAACAACAACAACAACAACAAACAATCATAAAGTGAACCCAGCTGTGAAACCCTCACAGCTGAAGAAAGAGGTCTGGGCCAGGAATGTTTTCTTTGCTCCATTAGAGTATAGTGTACGTTTCTGATACGGCAACTTAGTGAAGTGAAAAAACAAAGAGAAAGTGGAAAGTACTACTAGAATCATCTTTAATTTAGTTTGCAATTAAGGCAAGTGCACATTCCATAGGAGCAGACATTCTGGTCCTGAGACAAAGAGTTTGTTCAAATGACAGAGCCCTGAGATCCTCTATTTCTACAAAGATCTAGTTCACTCTGATATTGCTGACAACATTCCTAATTATCTCCCTTCACTTGTATGATTACTTTCTTCACCCCTTTTCCCTATCATATCAGTTCATACTATTTTATGGAAAAACCCAATCAAGGCAACATTTTTCTGAAATGTCAACCTAAAAGTAAGAAGCTGAGACAAAATTAATACAGAGTTTTTTGAGGCTAAAGTTGAAGACTGCAGCCCTGGACACACTTCCAAATTGCTTTGGGGAGTCCTCCAGAAAATAAAACAGACGTTCACTTTTAAAGAAAAAAGGACAAATCAGAAGAAGGGCGATTACAAAAGTTGTTTGTCAAAAATGTTTATTGGGACGAGGCAGGGCAAGATGGCTGAATAGAAGCCTCCACCAGTTGTCCTCTCCACAGGAACACCAAATTAAACAACTATTTATGCAGAAAAGCACCCTCATAAGAACCAAAAATCAGGTGAGCAATCACAGTACCTGGTTTTAACTTCACATCGCTAAAAGAGGCACTGAAGAGGGTGGAAAAGATAATCTTGAATTGTCGACACCACCCCTCCTCCATCCCCTGAGCAGCAGCCATGTGATACATAGAGAGGGAATCTGTATACATGGGAGAGGGAGAATGCAGTGATTGTGGGACTTTGCATTGGAATGCAGTGCCGCCCACGCCAGCCAGAACTCAGTCTGCACCCATGGAGGAAGCACTGGGTCCAGCCTTAACCAAAAAAGAATCACCCATCCCAGTGGCTGGAACTTGAGTTTCGGCAAGCCTTGCCACTGTGGGCTGAAGTACTCTGGGGTACTAAATAAACCTGAACAGCTATCTATGCCACAAGGACTACAACTCCTAGGCAAGTCCTAGTGTTGTGCTGGGCTCAGAGCCAGTGGACTTGGAGAGTGTGCAGCCTAGTGAGACACCAGCCGGGGTGGCTAAGGGAGTACTTGAGCCACCCCTCCCCCGATCCCAGGTAGTGCAGCTTGCAGCTCAAAAAGAGATCCCTTCCTTCCGCTTCAGGAGAAGAGAAGGAAGGGCAAAGAGGTCTTTATCTTACAACTTAGATCCAAGCTCAGCCACAGTAGCATACAGCACTGGGCAGAGTCATAAGGCCCCCATTCCAGGCTCTAGCTCCCAGATGAAATTTCTAGATACACCCTGGGCCAGAAGGGAATCCACTGCCTTGAAGGAAATGACCCAGTCCTGGCAGGATTCATCACCTGCTGAGTAAAGAGCCCTTGGACCCTGAATAATCAGCAGTGGTAATCAGATATTACATGCCATGGGCCTTGGGTGAGACTCTGAGACATGTTGGCTTCACATGTAACCCAGCACATTTACGGCTGTGGTGGCTATGAGGAGAGACCCCATCTGCTTGAGAAAAGAAGAGGGAAGAGTAAGGGGGACTTTTTCTTGAGCTTAGGTACAAGCTCAGTCACGGTGAAGAGCATCAAGAGGGCTCTTGGGGTCCCCAGCTCTAGGCCTTGGCTCTTGGATGGATCTCTGGATCCCTGGGCAAGAAGTAAGCCCACTTCCCTAAAGGGTGAGTCCTGGGCTTGGCAGCATTAACCCCAAGCTGACTAAACAGCTCTTGGTCCTTAAGTGAACATTGGTGGTAACCTGACAGTACTCCCCGTGGGCCTGTGGTGGTTGTAGAAACATGGATAGACTCCTCTGCCTGGGGACAGGGGAAAGAAGAATGGGAAAGACTTTGGTGGTTTTGGTCCCAGCTTAGCTGCAGTAGAATACAGCACCAGGTAGGCTTCTAAGGATTCTGACTACAGGCCCTGGCCTCTAGACAGCATCTGTGGACCCATCCCAGGTCTGGGGGAACTTGGGATGCTTAAAGGAAGGACATAAGCCTGACTGGCTCCACCACCTGCTGATTATAGAGCCCTAGAGCCTTGAGCGAACATAGGCAGTAGCGAGGTGGTGGTTACAGTGGGCCTTGGGCAAGGCCTAGTGCTGTTCTGGCTTCAGGTCAAATCTAGTGCAATCCCAGTGTTGGTGGCCACAGGAATGCTTGTGTCACCCCACCCCCAGCTCCAGGTGGCTCAAAGAAGAGAGAGAGACTTTGTTCATTTGGGAGAAACTAAGGGAAAAGAACAAGAGTCTCTGCCTGGTAATCTGTAACATTCTTGCAGGTATTATCCAAGAGCACCAAGGTGATACCTCTACGAGTCTGCAAAAACCACAGCATTACTGTGCTTGGGGGTGCCACCTAATGCAGATATGGTTGCAGTGAGCAAAAACTTAGATTGCAATACCCAAGTCTCTTAGAATATCTGGAAATCTTTCCCAAGAAGGACAGGTACAAATAAGCCCAGAGTGCAAAGGCTACAATAAATACCTAACTCTTAAATGCCAAACACAGATGAATACACACAAGCTTCAAGACCATCCAGGAAAACATGGTCTCACCAAACAAACTGAATAAGGCATCAGGAACCAATCCTGGAGAGAAAGAGATATGTGACCTTTCAGACAGAGAATTCAAAATTTGAGGAATTCATATTTGAGGAAAGTCAAAAATTTCAAGATAACACAGAGAAGGAATTCAGAATCCTATCAGATAAATTTTAGATAGAAATTGTAATTATTAAAAATAATCAAGCAGAAATTCTGGAGTTGAAAAATGCAGAAGAATGCATCAGAGGTTTTTTTGTTTGTTTTTGTTTTTTGAGACAGAGTCTCACTCTTTGCTCAGGCTGGAGTGCAGTGGCATGATCTCAGCTCACTGCAACCTCCACCTCCCGGGTTCAAGCGATTCTCCTGCCTCAGCCTCCAAAGTAGCTGCGATTACAGGCATGTGTCACAATGCCTGAATAATTTTTGTATCTTCAGTAGAGATGGGGTTTCACCATGTTGGCCAGGCTGGGCTCCAACTCCTGACCTCAGGTGATCCACCCAACTCGGCCTCCAAAAGTGCTAGGATTACAGGCATGAGCCACCACGCCCAGCCTAGAGTATCTTAATAGCAGAATTGATCAAGCAGAAGAAATAATTAGTAAACTTGAAGACAGGCTATTTGACAATTCACAGTCAGAGGAGACAAAAGAAAAAAGAATGAAAAAGAATAAAGCACACCTGCAAGATCTGGAAAACAGCCTCAAAGGGGCAAATCTAAGAGTTACTGGCCTTTAAAAGGAGGTAGAGAGAGAGATAGAAGTAGAAAGCCTATTCTAAGTAATAATAACAGAAAATTTCCCAAACGTAGAGAAAGATATTAATATTCAAGTATAAGAAGGTTTTAGAACACTAGGCAGATTTAATCCAAAGAAGACTGCCTCAAGGCATTTAATCATTAAACTCCCAAAGCCCAAGGATAAAGAAAGGATGCTAAAATCAAGAGAAAAGAAACAAATAACCCACGATGGAGCTCCAATACATCTGGCAGCAGACTTTTCAGTGGAAACCTTATAGGCTAGGAGAGAGTGGCATGACATATTTACAGTGCTAAAGGAAAAACGCTTTTATCCTAGAATAGTGTATCCAGTGAAAATATCCTTCAAAAATGAAGCAGAAATAAAGAAGACTTTCCCAGATAAACAAAAGCTGAGGGATTTCATCAACACCAGACCTGCCCTACAAGAAATGCTAAACTGAGTTCTTTAATCTGAAAAAAAGGACATTAATGAGCAATAAGGAATCATTCAAAGGTAAAAAAATTCACCGGTAATAATAAGTACACAGAAAAACAAAGAATAGTATAACACTGATTGCAGCGTGTAAATGACTCATATTTGAAATAGAAGATGAAAAGATGAATAACATATAATAACTACAACTTTTTAAGACATAGGCCATACAATAAGATACAAATAGAAACAACAAAAAGTTAAAAAGCAGGGGTATGAAGTTAAAGTGTAGAGATACTATTAGTTTTTTCTTTGCTTATGCAATCAGTGCTAAGTTTTCATCAGTTTAAAATAATGAGATAAGATAATATTTGCAAGCCTCACGGTAACCTCAAATAAAAAAGAACATGCAATAAATACACAAAAACAAAAAGCAAGAAATTAAACAACCACCTGAGAAAATCAGATCAGAAAATCACCTTCACTAAAAGGAAAACAGGAAGAAAAGAAAGAAGAAAGAGAATACCACAAAATAACCAGAAAACAAATAACAAAATGGCAGGAGTAGTTCTTACTTATCATTAATAATATTGAATGTAAATGGACTAACTGGCCAATTAAAAGACACAGAGTGGCAGAATGGATTTTAAAAAAAAAGACCCAATGATCTGTTGCCCCCAAGAAACATATTTCACCTAAAAAGACACATATAGACTGAAACTAAAAAGATGGAAAAAGATATTCCATGCAAATGGAAACCAAAAGGGAGCAGGGGTAGCTATACTTATATCAGACAAAATAGATTTTAAGACAAAAATTACACAAAGAGACAAAGAAGGTTATTATATAATGATAAAGTGGTCAATTCAGCAAGAGGATATAACAATTGTAAATATATATGCACCCAACAGGGGAGCACCCAGATATATAGAGCAAATATTATTAGAGCTAAAGAGAGAGACCCCAATACAATTATAGCTGGAGACTTCAACACCCTACTTTTAGCATTGGACAGATCATTCAGACAGAAAAGCAACCAATAAACATTGTACTTAATCTACACCATAAACCAAATGGAACTAATAGATATTGACCAAACATTTCATCCAATGGCTGCAGAATACACATTCTTCTCAGTACAAAGATCATTCTCAAGGATAGGCCATATGTTAGACAATATGATCATTTCAATTGATGCTGAAAAAGCATTTTATAAAATTTAACATCACTTCATCATAAAAACCCTCAAAACACTGGAGATAGAAGGAACATACCTCAATATAATAAAAGCCATATGTGATATATCCACAGTTAGTATTATATTGAATGGGGGAAAACTGAAAGCCTTTCCTCAAAGATCTGCAACACAAGGATGCCCACATTCACCACTATTATTCAACATATTACTGGAAGTCCTATCTAGAGCAATCAGACAAGAGAAAGAAAAATAAAGTGCATCCAAATTTGAAAGGAAGACATCAAATTATCCTTGATTGCAGAAGATATGATCTTATATTTGGAGAAACTTGAAGACTCTACCAAAAAACTATTACAACTGGTAAATTCAGTAAAGTTGCAGGATACCAAATAAACATACAAAAATCAATAGCATTTCTATATGCCAACAGCAAACGCTTCTGAAAAAGAAAATGACAAAGTAATCTCATGTACAAGTTACAAATGAAAGGCCGGGCATGGTGGCTCTCATGCTTGTAATCCCAGCACTTTGGGAGGCTGAGGTGGGCAGATCAAATCAAAATGGATTAAAGACTTAAATTTAAGATCTCAAACTATGAAACTACTGGAAGAAAACTTTGGTGAAAGTCTGCAGGACATGGGACTGGAGAAAGTCTCCAGGACATTGGACTGGGCAAAGATCTCTTGAGCAATACCCCCACAAACACAGGCAACCAAAGCAAAAATGGACAAATGGGATCCCATCAAGTTCTGCACAGCAAAGGAAACAATCAACAAAGTGAAAAGACAACCCACAGAATGGGAGAAAATATTTGCAAACTACCCATCTGGCAAGGGATTAATAACCAGAATATTTAAGGAGCTCAAGCAACTCTACAGGAAAAAAATCTAATAATCTGATTTAAAAATTAGAAAAAGATCTGAATAGACATTTCTCAAAAGAAGACATACAAATGGCAAGCAGATATAAGAAAAGATGTTCCATATTATTGATCATCAGATAAACGCAAATCAAAACTACAATGAGATATTATCTCATCCCAGTAAAATGGCTTTTATCCAAAAGACAGGCTATAACAAATGCTGGCAAGGCCATGGAGAAAAGGGCAACCTCATATGCTTTTGGTGGGAATGTAAATTAGTACAACCACTATAGAGAACAGTTCGGAGGTTCCTCAAAAAACTAAAATTAGAGCTACCATGTGATCCACCAATCCCACTACTAGGTATATAAGCAAAATAAAGGAAATTAGCATATCAAAAAGATATCTGCACTCCCAAGTTTATTGCAGCACTATTCACAACAGCCAAGATTTGGAAGCACCCCAAGTGTTTGCCAACAGACAAATGGATAAAGAAAATATGGTACACATATAGAATGGAATACTAAACAGCCATAAAAAATGAGATCCTGTCATTTTCAACAACATGGATGGAACTGTAGGTCACTATGTTAAGTTAAATAAGCCAGGCACAGAAAAACAAATTTCACATGTTCCCACTTATCTGTGGAAGCTAAAAATTAAAACACTTGAACTCATGGAGATAGAGAATAAGACAGTTACCAGAGGATAGCAGGGTGGGGCCAGGGGCGGGGGCGGAATGGGGAGGGAGGGGGGCAGAAGAGAAGGAATGGTTAATAGGTATAAAAAATAGAAAGAATGGACAAGATCTAATATTTGACCCCACAACAGGTTGATTATAGTCAATAATAATTTAATTGTACATTCTAAAATACCTAAAAGAGTATAATTGTACTGTTTGTAACACAATGGATAAATGCTTGAGGTGATGGATACCTCAATTACTCTGATATGATTATTACACACTGTATACCTACCTGTATTAAAATATCCCATATTCCCCACAAATGTATACACCTACTATGTACCCACAAAAACTAAAACTAAAAATATTAAAAAATTAAAAACAATTTTTTATTGGTTTATAAAAATGACATTGGTTAGTGATTGGCTGTGCAGTGGTAATTTTTAAAGTATGCTATGGAAAACAAGACCACAGGTGCCCAACTGCCAGCCCTTTGACTTGAACCTTATGCTGTGAGACAGAGATGGAAAAATCCTTAACCTGAATCTCTGGCCCTGAGGGAGAGGCAGAAAAAAGGCAGTTTTTTTCCCTACAACCCAAATCTCTTACCCACAAGATAAATACCAAAAATCTTTGTTCTAGAGAGAGTTTGAAAGAATAGCCCAAGTAAAGTCTAGACCTTTAATCAAAGAGTGGAAGAATTAGGTCTGGAATTTTAGTAACATCCACCACTTTACATCAAATAATTTCTCTCAGAATAGGAAGAACACAAAGGTTTTGAAGCCTGACCAGGGGTCAAGTTGGGGAAAAATGTTAGAGGACGGGATGGGTTTGTTGTGAATCTTGCTAACAGCACCAGAAATGTTGACCTAAAAGGAATAAGCTGAGGCAAAATTAATACGGAGAGTTTGGGCCACAGTTGAGGACTGCAGCCCAGGACACACTTCCAAGTTTCCTTGAGGGGGGTGCTCCCGAGAACAAAATAGAGGCTTAAATTTTTAAAGAAAAAAGGACAATTAGAAATGTTATCAGGAATTCTCATTGGTTAACAGAAGTAACATTGCTTTGTGATTGGATGTATATTCTTACACTGTAAGGTATATGACATTATAGTTATTTAGCATCAGTCTAGAGCCTACATAATAAGTATCTTCAAGAGATAATTATTTGGCTCAAGGGAGAGTGAGATGTAACTGCTGTTACATTTTAAACGCCTTTCTGGGCCTAATAATTTAAAAGGGCTCACATTCTTCACATTAAAAGGTTTTTTTCCTTCTCAGAACCACGCTCCTAGAAATCCAAGGGCTCTTTCCCGGCTTAAGCTCCGCCCTGAACAGAGGGGTTGGGAAGGCTAAAAGGAAACAAATGTTCCCATTCAGTAAGAGAGACATAGAAATGACATCTCTCCCTGGACCATCAAGTTAACTCAGCTGGCCTGCCTATTCTTAGGAGTGATCTGAGAGAGGATGGTGGAGAGGTGTACTGTTCCCCAATCTGATGCTCTGCCTGCTGCTCTCAGTCAGTGTCATTCATTCTCCTTACTGGGGACTGACTGCCTCAGAAGAGACTTCCAAAAGGAAAAAGATCTCAAGAAGTTGATCAAAATTTGCAGCACTCATGTGGGTCCTATGAAGTCTCAAAAAATATCTAGATTCTTCAATGACTGGAAAATTTTGTGATTAGTTCACTATAAAAGATGCTTATTGAGTACCTCTTGTTTTCATTTATTCAACAAATATTTATTGGCCACCCACTCTGTAGCAGGCTCTGTTTTAGGAGCCATAGCAGATACAATAAGTAAGATAAGATCCTGCTTTGAAGGCAGTTCCCATTTATTTGGAAGGGAATGGCATACAGAAATAATAAAAGCAAATAACAGAAAAAGGTATGTGCCCTACAGCAGTATAAACAAATGACATTGTGAGAGAGGGGTGAAAACAGAGAAATCCTACTCAGATTAGTAAACCAGGATGTCCTCATGGAAGATAGCATTTAACATGACCCTTGAAACTACAAAGAAATTTGACAAAGACGGAGTAAGAAAGAGCATTCCAAAAGAGAAAACTGCATAAAGAACAGGGTAGTCTGAGCGTGGTGGCTCACACCTGTTATCCCAGCACTTTAGGAGGCCATGGAGGGCAGATCACTCGAGCTCAGAAGCTTGAGACAAGCCTGGCCAACATGGTGAAATCCCCTGTCTACCAAAAATACAAAAATTAGCCGGATGTGGTGACATATGCCTGTAGTCCCAGCTATTCAGGAGGCTGAGGCAGGAGAATCACTTGAAACCAGGAGGCGGAGGTTGTAGTGAGCCAATATCTCACCACTGCACTCCAGCCTGGGTGACAGAGTAACAGTGTCTCAAAAAAAAAAAAAAAAAAAAGAAAAACAGAGTAGAACTAAGGTACATAAAGTAGTTGGGTGTGGCAGGAATGATAATAGAGACAAATAAGCAAAGCATCATTATTTAAGAAAAAAAAAGGAGTTGGTCTATGTGCACCATACTTACAGATCACAACTCTAGCCAATAGCTAGTGTAAGCTGTAACATCCAAAACAAGCTATTTTGTAGACTTCTGTAAGGTTCCTGAATAAATATAAATGATATTTTTGTTCATCCAGTTTAACCTGGGTCAAATGCTTTAAGCCAATGCTAAGTGCTAAGCTGAGCCCTTTCCTTAAGGAGTCTTCTTTTTAGTGGATAGATTCGAGGAAACAAAAACATGCTGAGTTTTCCTAAATAAAAATATGGATAAGCTAAGGTGAACATTGATGATTAGAGTTAGTTCTGACTGAAAGGAACATGGAAAGCTTGTGAAAAATACCCATTTAAGTGGATTTTGAATCGGGGGACAGGGACTGGAGAAGATGGAAGTGGAAAGATCAAGGTCCTAGCCCAATTTTAATGGAAGAATCAACACAGAGCTCCTGGAGATGTGAGTGCTTCTGATTAACTTGCAATCTGACCACAGAAGAAATCTGACTTAGCCAATTAACTGTGGATGTTAAATTAGCTTTTCATTAGTAATAATTGTTATGATGGATAGATAATTTATGAATTCTGAGGAATACTCCACACATTCAAACAAGGGCTTTATCTTTTAAAAGCATCATTATAACAAAAATAATATTATATGTGGCTACTATTCCCTCAATGGTGGGAAAGAAAGAGGGGGTTGTGGAAGGGTTTTGGAGAAGTGGATGATGACCTTGAGATCTAAAAGATAAGATACAGGGAGGCCACATAGAGAAGGAGGTATAGGGAGGATATTCCAAGCACAGACAGCAGCAAGTAAAGGGGGCAACAGGGAATTTAATGGAATCAAGAAATGCCAGTAGTTGTGAAGGGCTGCAGTACAGAAGGGTTAACAGAGAGGAGTGACCATAATGATGTATGAGCCACATCTTCTAACGACTCATATACCACATGAAGTTTAGCTCTTATCCTAAAGACAACGGAAGTCACCCAAGCATTTTATACAAAGAGCAGACTTTCACTTTAGAAAAATCCCTCTGGCAGCTGGAAGAAAAAGAGATGAGTAATATGTAGGCAGATTGAAGGCAGAAAGACCAGTCCACATTCCAAGTGACCAGTTGGTGGCCAAAGCATGGTGGGGTCCCCTAGCCGAGTGTATAACTAAGGCTTGTTCTGAAGAGCTGGAGAAAGAACCTACGTTCAAACTGCCTGGTTATATCGTCAAAGTCTCTCGCCACCCCTTGTTTGTCAGAACATTGCTTGAGCCAATTTTTTAAACCATAAGCCTGAGGAACAAGAATATCACATACATTGAGGAAATTTTAATTTAACTTTCCTGAGAGCTGGAAACCAACTTCTTGCAAAGTTCAGCACATTCCTCAAAGCTGCTCTCACTTCCCTGCCTGGCTGAGTCAGGAAGGAAAAGGGCTTCGTTGCTAAGACAACTCCATCCAAGGCCTTCCACATTGCCTGCCCTCTGCTTAAACCCTCTGGGATTGCTTGGAAAATTACAAACCTAAACTATAAATGCCTCTTCTTCACTTACCTTTTCCAGAAACACCACTTAGATATCGCTTTCTAGCAACCATTTTATTTCTGTTACCAGTTTCACCACCCCAGACTCTCCCTTTCTAAGGAAACCTGGACTTCCCAGTCAAATTGGATTTTATTTTCTGATATTTTCAGACTTCATTTACTATTATTCTATTTGTTTGAAAACGATTCTAAGAAGCAGATAGGGAAAGAGAAAGGATGCTTCTGATCTAATATATTGCTCAAGTCTAGGTGCTATGAGGCATACAAGTACCAAATCTACACTCATTTCCTTGTTAAAACATATGACGCCATATATTGAGTAATAGCAATATTATATACTAGCATCTGGATTTCAACAAAGTGTTTGGCAAAGTTTCAGGATAAGGAACAAGGTGAGGAAATGAGGACTGGATAAGGTTGTATGGTTAGCATGATTCAAATCTGACAGTATCCACAAGGTGTTGATTAATGGATTGCTGTCATATTGTGGGAAGGGTTCTAATTTTAACCCTTTCCTGTTCCTCAAATTTATAGTCACTTAGATAGCAACATATGCTGTTAGTTGTGCAAATGACCCAATTCATTTAGTGCAATGCTAGGCACTTAGCAATTGTTCAATAAATGTTTGTTGAGTTTAATGGAGAGGAAACTGTTGATACTTTATGTGACCAAATCACAATTGTAAATGAGTTCATTAGGCTGAAAGTCAAAATACAAATATGATGATATTGAAAAGGGATAAGTGAATTTTGTGCTTTTGGACTCAAATAATCAATGGTACAACTATAGCACTTGGAAAGCCCAATTTAACATATAAATTAAAACATGTCTTTAAAAAGTTAGCACTACAGGCTAAATATGAATTAATAGGCTGTTCCCTTCTCCTACAAAATTAATATAAGTTACAGAATGTCATGTGCTGATCAAGGGCAATCATAGCCTGTTCTCTGTGCTGTTTAGATAACATCTGGAAACTGTGTTTCATGCTAGGCAATGCATCTTAAGAGGATTATTAATCAAGAGACCATAATGCCAAGGGATTCCTATAAGAAATAGGTAGAGATATTTGGATTATATGCCCAGGTTATTTTTTAGAAACTTTTTTTTTTTTTTGAGACAGGGTCTCACTCTGTACCCCAGACTGGAGTGCAGTGGCACGATCTTGGCTCACTGCAACCTCTGCCTCCCAGATTTAAGCGAGTCTCCTGACTCAGCCTCCCAGGTAGCTGGGACTATAGGCATGCACCACCACACCCAGATAATTTTTCTATTTTTAGTAGAGACGGGATTTCACCATGTCGGACAGGCTGGCCTCAAACTCCTAACCTCAGGTGATCCACCCACCTCAGCCTCCCAAAGTTCTGGGATTACAAGTGTGAGCCACCGCACCGGCCCTATTTTTTAGAAACTTGAGCAGGAGTAGGGGTGGTAATGGGAGTCTTCTTGATAGCTACCTCCACATATCCAAAAGCTATCATCTATAAGCAAGATTTATTCTTAGTAGCTCTAGCTTAGCTCAACTAAGCTAAGTTTAAATTAGCTTAACTAGGAGCTTGAAAAAAAATGACAAGCAAATTTTTGGCTCTAGATAAGAAATATTTCTTTATCAAATAAAATGATTGACAAATGGAACAGTGACTATCCCAAAGTAATAGTAAAATGCAGGTAACTTCTAAAGCAAATTGTTGCATGAAATAGTTTCATGGGTTTTTTAATGTTTGTAAATTTATTAGGTAACCCCCACTCAATCAGAATAGGTTCAAAGCAACTCCTTAAAGTACTCCATATTTTGAGGTTCCATCCATCTCTAAGACTGTCTGATTGTGATCACAGTTATGTTGCCAGAAAGCCAAGAACAAAACAGAGTTAAATCACTGTCCACCACTATCATCATGCAGACTAAGAGACATAGGGTTTAAGAAATACTAATTCAAGGCCAGGCACTGTGGCTCATGCCTGTAATCCCTGCACTTTGGGAGGCCAAGGCGGGTGGATCATGAGGTCAGGAGTTCGAAACCAGCCTGACTGACACAGTGAAACCCCGTCTCTGCTAAAAATACAAAAATTAGCTGGGTGTATAAAAGCGCCTGTAATCCCAGGTACTCAGGAGGCTGAGGCAGGAGAATAGCTTGAACCCAGGAGGCGGAGGCTGCAATGAGCTGAGATCGCACCACTGCACTCCAGCCTAGGCAACAGAGTGAGACTCCATCTCAAGAAAAATAAATAAATAAATAAATAAATACGAATTCAGTTGAATTCCACAAGTGTTTTTTGATTTCTTCTTTTGTACTAGGCACTTGTAGGTACTGAATTTATAACTGAATAAGACACAGTACTTGGCCACAGGAAGTTTATAGTCTTACGTTGGAAAACGTCCTGAATAGATAACTTCAAGATGCTTTCTATAACAGTGCCTGCCATAGTTGGTACTTGTATTAGTCTCTAACTGCTGCTGCAACAAGTTACCAAAATTTAGCACCTTAAAACAGCACAATTTTTTTTTTAAATGTTGTTCTGTTGCCCAGGCTTGAGTGCAGTGGCATGATCATGGCTCACTGCAGCCTCGGCCTCCCAGGCACAGGCAAAGCTCCCACCTCAGCCTCTTGAGTAGCTGTAACCATAGGTATGTGCTACCATGCTCAGCTAATTTTTGTATTTTTTGTAGAGATGGGATTTCAGGCTGTTGCCTGGGCCAGTCTTAAACTCCTGGGCTCACGTGATCCACCAGCCTCGGCCTACAAAAATGCTGGGATTATAGGCATGAGCCACTGTGCCCGGCCAAAAACACAAATTTATTATCTTACGATTTTTGGAGGACAGAAATCTGAAATGGCCACAGAGGTGGTATCTGTGAGTGAAGTGAGCCAGCTGGGACCTAGGGCAGGAGGAGGGCCCATGCCCTGTATACGTGAGGAAGCTGCAACTGAGCTCCAGCCAGTTTTAGCCATGTAATATTTAGCCCAGTGTTGTTACGTATTTCCATTTTTCAAGAGGAGCTGCAAATCTGGTTATTTATATACAAATAATCGAAAACTTTAACACTGGCAACTCCTATCAAACACCTCTGAGGACCAGTTTGGCCCACATTCTACTAGTTTGCAAACTCTAGTTTAAGACAAAGAAAAGACTTGGCTAATTAATCAATGGTTCTAAACCTGGAGTCTGGAATAGAATTCAGGATTCTATGAATATGAATGGGAAAAAAAGTGTCTTACTTGAATTTATAGAACATAATTTACATATCTCTTCATACATCTCTATATTTAAACATAGAAAATAAATACTATATCTTTATTTTACTAACCTCTAATAGAAATTTAGCATCTCCTTATTTATGAACATCAGTCATAGACCACAGTACTATTGGGAATACCTGTAAATATCACCCATAGAAATTACAAATATTTTCATATTATACTACAGTGTTGCAGTGTCTCAAAATGTCTTCTATGCTCATCATCACTTTGAAATGGGCAATTTGTAGATCTACCCTAGATCTTGTTGTGTAATATACTAATGAAGAATCACATACAACACCATCATCATGGATTTGCTTTTATTTTAGTATTTTGATAACTATATTTCATCATATTTGGTTACCTTTGTAATGATATTTTATTTAACAAACTTAGATTATTCTGAGATTTCAATAGATGTCATAAGACTACAAAGGTATTCATAGCACATGTGCCTCTGTCTCTCTCTCTCTCTCTCTCTGTCTCACACACACACACAGACACACACGCACATACAGACACACACAGACTAACACATATACGCACCAACTCTTGAACCAAATGAGGAGAATGAAGAAGAAAGCAAGACAAAAGACTCTTCAAAAATCTTTGATTAAATGTTTGTGTGTGGCCACCTGACCCTTGTCAATCTGTAACTGTCACTGAGGCATTCTTATTAATTCTTTGAGCCTCTCAGGTGCTGCAGTTAAATCTAATTTCAGTGACTAGGAATAACTGAGCCTTGGTCAAAAACAGAAGCCTGCTGTTGTTAAACTATATTATTAAAGTGGACTACCCTAGGAAATGCATTTTATTCAGTAAATAAGTCACACAGGAACTTAGGCTGTATAGCTAGAGATGCTGTTCCTTTGTTTGAGATCTTGCTGGGCTGTATAGTTAGAGATGCTGTTCTTTTGTTTGAGATCTTGCTGGGCTGAGGAGCTTCTGATGGCTTGCTCGCCATCCCATTTAACCAAAGACTCTCTCTCTCTGCTGATGGATGATCACTGGTTTCTTTGCAGATCTGGGAAATGTGTTTGGCTTGCTCCCCGATATGACATGCCTGCTCAGCTTGCTGGCTTTTGCAAAGTTTAGCTCAGTTGTGGGTTTTTCTTGCTTCCAGGAGACTTGGGTTGGCTTTTCACATTCCTAGGTCTCCTGTGTCTGAAAACCTTCAGTTTGGCTTTACAAATGATCCTATAATGTAACACTAGCTCCTGAATGGTAACATAAGTTTGGTAATAATAATAAAATAGAAATAGGGAGCGATCAGATTATTAGCATGGGCATATGAATTAAGCCATATTGCAACAAATCTGTTTCAAGGGTAATAATCTTAGTTTGGACAGAATTGAATTCAAGACCTCAGTCTCGCTGGCATTTCCTACATCCACTTTCTCAAACTATGAAACTTTCCAGATATGTACTTGAATGATATATGTTCCCAACTAGACTTCATGTGGTCTTCTAAAAGAAAGTCTCCTCTCAACCTCTTTTTTCAAATGCCCTGATATTTTTTGAGTCCTAGGTAGCTGAATATCCTCCAAAGTTATATATAAGAAGGTCCCCATACCTCTGTGGTCTCCAAGGACAGAGATTACTGTTTCTTTTGTTCATCAGGTATCTCTAGCCTGGCACATGAAAGGTGTTCAAAAAATATTAGCTGGTTTAACAAATAAATGAATAAATGCAATATGAATAATTATAATTACAATTACAATACTTTTCTCAAAGATTATTGAAAGAATTATTTGAAAACATTCATGAACTTTTAAGTCTTATGAAAGTGAATAAATTGGATTCACTAGTGCCATAAACCATGGTTAATTCCACACCTTCTCTTTATGTTATGTCCAATGAGAAGTGCAGAAAGCACATTTACACAACTCTAATCGTCTTTTGTTTATATAAAAACCTGTTTCTAAGCAAAATTATACAAGTGACATATTTCATATTTGCTGCCATTCAAACCTCCTTTTATTAGTGCTGCTCTATTTTGAGGGGGTATCAATTTCCAGGGGCCCAAGGCCCTCAGAGAATCTTGTACATTTTACATAATTAGTTTTGAAGATTCTCTCATCCTTACTGCAGACACTGAGCATTTGCTACCATTGCCTCTTCACCATCACAGCTTATCTTTCCTATCTTACATTCTTTTTTTTTTTTTTTTTTTTTTTTTTTTTTTTCAGACAGAGTCTCACTCTGTCACCCAGGCTGGAGTGCAGTGGTGTGATCTCGGCTCACTGCAACCTCCACCTCCCAGGTTCAAGCGATTCTTCTGCCTCAGCCTCCCGCGTAGCTGGGGCTACAGGTGCATGCCACCACACCCAGCTAATTTTTGTATTTTTAGTAGAGACGGGGTTTCACCATATTGGCCAGGCTGGTCTCAAGTTCCTGACCTCATGATCCACCCACCTCGGTCTCCCAAAGTGCTGGGATTACAGGCATGAGCCACCGTGCCCAGGCTCCTATCTTATATTCTTTCTCAGCATTAAAAAGCCAACCTTAAAACTTTGTGTATGTGGTCATGTTATCAGCGGGTTACTACTTAATGTGATACTTCCCACGTGGTGTGTGTGTCTTTCATTAGGAGCAGCTACTTCAGCCCTCCTGGCAAAATGGCAGGAGAATATTGGCTCTTCCAAGAACACTTCATATGGTGCCACATTGACAGCTACCTATTTTATCTGTGCATAAATCCTGCCCCAGTAACACACACTAAGGTGTTTCTCATCTGTGCTCTAAATGGATGAGAAACTAGGTTCAGATGGTGAACTAGGAGACTCGGGCAAATTGCCCCCTCTCTCTCTGCCTTAGGTTCTTTACCTATAAATTGAAAAGTGGGGAAGGTAGTGCCCCAGATTTTCTCATCTTTTCTGCACCTAAAACAGTAATGATTCTGAGATTCACTGGAATATGCTTCATATAAAATAAACCAGGTTAAAAGGGAAATCCTTAAGAGATACTGCTGTTTTTCTTACACTTGTCATTAGACTCTTTATGATAATAGAATAATTTAGGAGCCAAAAGTATAATATATATTTTTTGCAGTACATAAGCTTTATGAAGACAACAAAGTGATTTTTGAAGAATGACCAGCCAGGTGCTGTGGCTCACACCTGTAATCCCAACACTTTGAGAGGCTGAGGCAGGCAGATCACTTGAGCCCAGCAATTTGAGACCAGCCTGAGCAATAGGGCAGAACCCCATCTCTACAAAAAATTCTACAAAAAAATTAGCTGGGTGTAGTGGCATGTGCCTGTGATCCCAACTACTCAGGAAGCTGAGGTGAGAGGATCACTTCAGTAGGGAAGGTTGAGGCTGCAGTGAGCTGAGATCATGCCACTGCACACCAGGCTGGGTGACAGAGTGAGACCCTGTAAAAAAAAAAAAAAAAAAAAAAAAAAAAAAAAAAAAAAAAGAATGACCAAACTCATTCTCCAAAGAGAACTGAAGAATATAAATTTTACTGAACTATACAGAATATATTCCACAGTGCATTCTGATTACTGCTTTTATTTCCTCCGCTTTCAGGATCTTGCGACACCTAGAATGATTCTTCAAGCCACTTATTCTTTGTGATAACACATTTCTATCATAGATCCCAGTATATCTAGCCTGAGCTGAGTCTTCAGCCTTATCAGGACTATCATCTGCAATGTGAGAAACAAAGATCTAAATTTCCATTTTTTTGTGGAGGAATTACTTCCTAGTTGAGATTCTTTCAACATACAAAAGCGGGAACACCATGAAACTGTCTCTTAAAAAACATAAAATATGCCTGTTGCAAGATGCGATTGTAATGTTATTATTCAATCAGTTTGTGTCCTGCATAGTGAAGGCACATGTACACAGATATGTTCATCGGGGTAAGGCTAAACTGCTGCATCAAAGAGGATCTCCCACAACCAAAGCTTACAGGCTTAAAGAAACAAATAAATTGACTTTTTGGTCATGTCCCAGCCTGAGATACATGTTGCCAGATGGTACCTCTGCTGCATGGTGGCCATTTAGGAACCCAAGGTAAAGGTGGCTCACCTGTGCTCAATATCTGTTCCCTAGTAACAACCTAAATTCCACTTATGAGCTTAAAAATAGACCACAAGCTGATAATTTTATCACTTTGTGTTTAAAATGTGATCCATAAATCCTCTTACCTCTTCGCCATATACATTTGCCTCTCTTTTTCAAAAAATGATGGCATAGTGACTATTTTTATGCCGTCATATGTAGTGGGTAAGCTATTGATAAAATGTAATACAATTCTCATTTTTTTTAGGTTCTATTGAGGGAATTAATGAATCTGAAGATTTCCTTGTACTGTATGTATGATTCTCCTGTTCGATAAAAGATGTCAAGGATTCATAATAAAGGTCTAGGTTTTTTAACATCTTATTTGCCATTGTGTTGATACACCAATATCAGGCTGTTCTTTCTGCAGCAGTGACCAAACTTCAAAATATAAAGGAATGTGTTCTTTTGTGTTCTGTTTTTGTTGACACTGGATTTTTGTTCTGAACAAAAATAAAAACTTTTCTTTTTTTTGGTTAAGTAGAGACTTTGACCAAAAAGAAAACATAAAAAGACAACAATGTGTTGGTGTAAGCCAGGAGACAGTGGTGACTGTTTTTATTTTTGTAGTGCATTATGAAAGACAGTTCTCTAAAAAGTTTGAAGGCAGCTAAGAATGAAATACTTTTAAAGATCTATGGCTCTTTTAAAGATATAATTTGGATGATCGGCATTCATCTTTGAGCGATGAAAAGTAAGTCAGTTTATACAGTAGCATATTTACCAGCCTAGAAAAGAAAAAGGTATGCTATTCACATTCATAGAATCCAAGTTTCTTTTCTGCCATGGAGAACCAAGATGTTTTATTGGTTCAAACTGTCACACAGTTTTTTCACAGGGCTAGGTCTCTTGGGCAAGGAGTCCCACAGCAGCTGAGCAAACACTCTGGAGTTATACGTAGCTCAAGACCACCACAAGGGTTGCTAGAGGAGGGCAGGCCAACCACTCTGTGGGATCTGAGGGAGTGGCTTCTGAGAATTAGATGGTCTCAGGGGCATCAGAAGCCTGACTGTGCACGCCTGCCTTCAGCCTGGTGATAGATCCCCGCTAGGGTGCTGAGGCTCCTAGATCAGCAAGGTCTCACAGCCCCCCAGCCCCAATCAGGTTAAGCCTGGGATCCCCTTTCATGCCCTGTCAGACAGCCAAGACACTGACACTCGACACTTGGCCCTACCTCCCAGAGAACTGCTTCTCAGGCCTCTCATGGCTGTCCCACAGTAGTTTTGGCCCAAATCATTTCCTGCTACATTTCCTTTCCCATTGCCGTGTAGCGAAGTGTGATGGGGCATGAAAAATAGAACTGTGAGCCAAATAACACACTCTATTTGAAAGGAATGATCTGGTATCCTTCAATAAAAAATAATTGTGCTTGTAATATCAAATGTGTGGCTACAGACTTGCAAAAAACCCAAAAGACCACGGGATGGAGTGGTATAGTGGTAGGGAACAGAGAGACAAGAGATCAGAAGCACCTGGGAAGAAAAGGTTCCTAATTAGAAGATGTGGCTCCAGTGTTCTTGAAGGCACTCAGCTATAGTCAAGGACTGTCCATGACACAAAAGGGTGAGGTGAGGTTAGTGATACATATAATTTCTGCTTACATTAAGCCTATAAAATTAATTAGCCTAATTGACTAATAATTAGTTTGTATTATTAAGGATGGTAAGAAACCAGTCTCATATCTTGTAGCATATCATTATTAACAGAAATATTTGTAAACTAAGGTTACCACATATATGAATGTATTATTAGTTCTAAATACTCCTGGAAGGTAATTCAATTGGAAAGCAGTCATTCTCTTCACTAGCATGTGCACTCATGTGCACACACAGAGCACTCAAGGAAGGACTGAAAAGAGAAAGACGAGTAAGGAAAAACAACTAAGGAAAAAGTAAGGCAGAATTGGAAATCAAAACAAAATTACATCTGAAATGATGTGATTAATAAAGTAGCCAAAGAAGGGCACTCAAATATCAAAGTAATACATGAATAGAGATATTTTCCAAAACTCCAAGTAGAATATGAGAATCATTTCACTGTACAACTATAACAATATACACGCAACTAGTCTTCCTTTCTAGTCATAACAAAAATTACTTGAAACATATACAGAATGAAGGAAAGAATTCTGGTTTTGATACCGAGAATTCAAGGAGAGTAAAGTTATTTTCTCCAAAGGCTGAAAATCTTATATATATGTGTGTGTGTGTGTGTGTGTGTGTGTGTGTGTGTGTGTATATATATATCAGTAGTTGCTGTATATATATATATATATATATACACACACACACACACATACATATATATATATTCTGTGAGCACATAGGTAAAATTCCTTTTATCTCTTTCATCTTGAGAGCCTGAAATAATTTAATCTTCTTGCAAAGTTTCTTAAAAAGAGACTGTAAATGTTTACATTATTAAGCATGTATTTAATGGACAAAAACGAACAAGAACAAAAATTTCAGCTGAGGCATTTTTGCCAAGAAAAGATCTCCAGAGTGAATTTTGTGATGACTTGGAAAAAATAGAATAAGGTAGGTTCTGTGTAGAATAATGCTATTTGGAAAATTATAACTGGATTTTAAATCTATTTTATGATAGTAACAAGTCACTTCAAATTTTTCCTTACATGGTGTTAATTAAACTACATAAAATCAGGTTCATAAAATAAACTTTTCTTTTTTCACAATAGAAGAATCTAGCAGTTATCACTTTAACCAAGTGATCAAATATAGGATCCCCAGTAATGGAACACATTGTCATGATATGACTCTTGATGTGATGGTATTGGAAGTATATAACATAATCTATATTGTATTTTCCCAAAAATGTTTAACCTAAATATTAGCACAAGAAAACAATCAAATCCAGATTGTGGAACATTCTCTGAAACATATTGCTCTAACTCTTGAAAAATGTTAATGCCATGAAAGATAAACAGGAGAGGGAACTATTCTAGATTAAAGGAAACTAAAGAGACATGACAACCATATGCAATGTGATATGGGTTGGATGTTTGTTCCCTCCAAATCTCATATTAAACTATAATCTCCCATGTTAGAGGCGGGGCCTAGTGGGAGGTGTTGGATCACAGGTGCGAATCCCTCATTAATGCCTTAGTGCCATTCTCATGATAATGAATAAGTTCTCTGAGTTTGTGTGAGACCTGGTTGTTTAAGAAAATATTTCTCTCTCTCTCTCTCTCTCTCTCTCTCTCTCTCTCTCCCTCTCCCTCTCTGTCTCTCCTGCTCCTGCCATGTGATGTGCTGGCTCTCTTCACCTTCTGCCAGCATTGTAAGCTTCCTGAGCCCCTCACCAGAGGCAGTTGCTGACACTAGGCTTTGTATATAGCCGGTAGAACCATGAACCAATTCTAGTATATGGGTTTTCATTGTACTATTCTTTAAACTTCTCAGCATGTTTAAGATTGTTTAAGGACACTGGGTTATTAAATAGTAAATGAGGACTATTTCTCTCTTGTTTTGTTGGGGAAGGGGAAGTTTCCTGTGAAGACCAAAAAACCTGCTAGACAAATTCCATAAGAGCTGTAACACTCTGTGTTTCAGGTAATAAGTGAAGAAGGGACAATACGCTATCTCCATTTTGCAATTTCTACTATACCCTCATGGATCTAAGTGCTGAGCATGGCTGGTTATAAAATAAAAGATAATCAGATACTATATGCCTTTTAAAAGAATACACCATTACTATGAAGTAGTCTTGCCAACAAATCAAACCTAAAATGGACCAAAGACCTAGGTCAGTCATTTGCAAACATCAGTGGGATTAGGAGAACCCAAAAGGCTTGTTAAATCAGACTGCTGGACTGCAAGTCCAGAGTTTCTGATTAAATAGGTTTAGGGTAAAGTCTAGTCAGTTTCATTTCTAACAAGTGGGAGTGCTGAGGCTACACTCCATGATCATCTCTTGAAAGCAAATTTTCTAGATTAACCTGCTAATTTACTGAAACTGCAAAGGACAGAGAAACATGTTAAATAATACCATGGGGATGTTATCAACAAAACCAGACTGTGGGCAAGTCTAAAAAAAAAAACACTCCGTGTGTCTTAAATAAATAAATTGCAATTTAAATAAAGATGAAAGGGGAATATATAGATTAAAAGAGATTTAGGCCAGGCCCCATGGCTCATGCCTGTAATCCCAGCACTTTGGGAGGCCAAGGCAGGTGGATCACTTGAGCTCAGGAGTTCAAGATCAGCCTGGGCAGCATAGTGAAAACCTCTCTCTACAAATAAATACAAAACAGTAGCAGGGCATGGTGGTATGCACAGATCACCTGAGCCCAGAAGGTCAAAGCTGCAGTGAGCCACAATCATGCCACTACATTCCAACCTGGGCAACAGAGCAAGACTCTGTCTCAAAAAAAAAAAAAAAAAAAAAGAGAAAGAGATTTAAAAGATATGCCAATCAATTGCAATATGTAAAATTCTACTTAGATTCTTATTTAACATTACTTTTTTAAAGCGTATTTATTACATTTAAGAGAAAATTAGAACTTTGGCAATTGACTGGATGAATTATTACTTTTATAGATGTGTTAGTGGTATTTTTATTTTTTTGAAAGAGAGTTCTTCCAGCATTTTGGGAGGCCAAGGCAGGCAGATTGCTTGAGTCCAGGAGTTTGAGAGCAGCCTGGGCAACATGATGAAACCCTGTCTCTACAAAAAGTACAAAAATTAGCCGGGCATGGTGGTGCACACCTGTAGTCCCAGCTACTAAGGAGGCTGAGGCAGGAGAATCGCTCGAGTCTGAGAGGCAGACGTTGCAATGATTTGGGATTGTGCCACTGCACTCCAGCCTGGGTGACAGAGTAAGACCCTGTCTCAAAAAAAGAAAAAAATCCTTTTATGTTGATGTCGGCATGTCTTCCAGGCATATTCAAAGTACACATGTGACGATTTCTTCATTATTTTGACATTTGAGATGTCGAAATACTAAACCACCAAACACACACATGATCAATATAAGTTCTATTTTAATCACAAGCAAAAATATCAAAAATGATTTTGTTTAATTGTGAAAATATCATACATAAAGAGTACATTATAATAATAGCAGCATTGGAGCCAGGTGCATAATGTCATGAGAAATTGTGTCCAGCTCATGAAATAAGAAATCCACAATCCTAGGGGGCAAAAAAGAATGTATTATCAATGTGTAGCTTAAAGAATAACAATAAAATAAAGACCTGTGCATCCATCACCCAGCTTAAGAAATATAATATTATCAGTACCCCTAGAAGATCCTGAGGGCTCCATATAAATCTCCTCCCCATCACTGCCCCTGGAAGTAACTACTATGCTGAAATTTGAGCTAACTATTCCTTTGCAGAACTACATGCTTTTACTACCTAACACTATAGTTTCATTTGTTTAGATACTTATATAAATAGAATAATACCATATGCATTTTTCTATATATTACTTATTGTTGCTGTTGTACAACCTTGTAGTTTTGAGATTCAGCCATATAAATGTATGCAGCAGTAATCCCTCTATATTTACTGCCATATAGTATTCATTTGAACAGATATTCCAAGATTTATCAGTTTTTGTGTTGATGGATGTTTCATCTCTTCCTTTCCAAATTTTCAACTGTCCTATTTGATTGCACTATTACCTCCATTACAAAGTTACACTAGAATAGTGATGGAGATCAGTTCTTCCTGACTTCAGTGGAATGTTTCCCCTTAATCATGATGCTGGCTTTTGGGCTGAAATATACATTTATATCATGGTTAAAAAAAGTATTCATATATTGCTATTTAATTGAGTGTTTTGTCAAAAATGATTGCTGAGTTTTGGCAGGTGCCTGTTCAGCATTTATGGAGATGATGGTGTGATTTTTCTCATTAGTTCTTCCAATTTAATAATTTTTTAATATAGAAGTGTCATTGATTCATGAAATGAATTCCCCTGCTAATGACACTTGAATCTTAAAATTTGTTCCTAGAACTTATTTAGGAGTTTAGTATCAATATCTACACGTCAAATTGATCTGTAGGTCTTTTCTTTAAAACAATATGTCAGAATTTGGAATCAATGTCATCTTCATGCCAATAAAAATAATTTGGAATAGTACTTTTTTAAATGCTGTGGGCTGTCTAAATAGCACTAATATTGTCTTCCCTTTGAAGACTTGGTATAACTTTCCATAGAAACAAATGGGCCTAAAGCTTTTCTTTATTAATTTTCTCTGTTTCTTCTAAGGGGATCATTTTGTTTAGATTTGTCTATATCTTTTCTGATTTCAGTGTGGATATGTTATATTTTCCTAGCTAAAAGTTATCGTTGGCCAGATGCCATGGCTATACCTGTGATCCCAACACTTTGCGAGGCCAAGGCGGGAGGATCACTTGATCTAGGAGTTGGAGACAAGCCTGGGCAACATACAAAATCCCGTCTCTATGGAAAATACAAAAATTAGCCAGACACGGTGGCTGGTGCCTGTGGTCTCAGCTACTTGGGAGGCTGAGGTGGGAGGATCGCTTGAGCCCAGGAGGTGGAGGGTGCAGTGAGCCAAGATTGAGCCACTGCACTCCAGCCTGGGTAACAAAGCCAAACCCTGTCTCAAAAAAAGAAAAAACAAAAAGTTACTCTTCTCATTCAGATTGCCAAATATATTTTCACAGAGCTGAGTGAAGTTCTCATGATTCTTTTAATTTCCTGTTTCTGTCTTTATTTCCCTATGATCATTTCTTCTTTTATTTATTTGGGTTTTTTGTTGCTTTTTTGATTAGTTGACTTAGTGTTTTATCTATTTTATTGTTGTTTTAAGGAACGTTTTATATTTAGTTATTAGCATTATATTTCTATGTTGTAAATCACTATTTTGTTATTAAATTCTTCCATTTGCTTTGCTTAATTTTAATCTTTTTCATCCAGATGCTAAAACTTTATTAGTTTTTCACTTTTTGAATTCTAAGAAAATTATTTAGAGCTATTGAATTTTCCTCTAAATGTTGCTTTAGTTCTATTCCATATATATGGATATTTACTATTCCCCTTATTGTTCTTTTATAGAAGTTCTGTGATACTAGTTTGTCTTTCTTTGTTAACCCAGTTGTTTAAAAGTGAACTTAAATTTTTTCATGAATTAATTTGTACTTTATAATTTTAGTCATTGTATTACATAATGTTGGTTGTATTATTTCTACATTTTGGAGTTTATTGAGTTTTTTAACTGACATAACAGTTACTTTTTTGTATATATGGAGAAAGCAACTAAAAAGATATATTTTATATTTTTGGAGTACAAATTTTGAGAAATACATGTGTATATATACCTTATCTATCCTATTAACTATGTTTCTTTTAGTTCTTTATATCTTTATTTGTGGTCCTTTTGATATACATTGACTGCTTCTTCCCTTCCACACACATGGCAAAAATGCTCCTCCCCACCCCTTTTAGGTTAGAGATAGCTATATTAATTGCTTTGCATGATGAAATGTAAGCAAAAGTAATGTTCATCGCTTCCAGGTAGAAGCCTTTACAGGCTGATGCACAATTTATCATGTTCCCATTTGCTTGCCACAGTATCCAAAAGGGAACATTTCAAATGAAGGAGGAGCCATCAGCTTGCATCCCTCAGTAAAGAAGACATTGAAAACAGGTCCCTGCTGACCCATGATGGACATGTAGTATGAGCAAAAATTACGTCTTTTGTTAGTTTAAGCTACTGAGATATAGGGAGTGTTTGTTATTTAGCAGAATAAACATAACCTACCCTGCCCTATTATAGAGTAAGAATGCAACAGTCTTCAAGTTAGATTGATTCAGCAGCCCAATGACATTTATCAAAGACTCCATTTTTCCACCATTCACTCTTGAGATCAGCTTCTTGCTGATAACAAGAGATGCATCAGTTCTAGAACTCATATTCAGACAAGAAATAGCAAACTCAAGAAGAAAAAGCATCTTTTCTTCAATTTTCTCTTAGGAGCAGGGAAACTCCCTGATGTATTCCAGCAGATAGCCCTTTATACCTCATCAAGTAGAATTATGTCACATGCCCATTTCTGAACCAATCACTGGTAAAGGGGATGGAATTTTCATGATTGACTTAGATTAATGATCTAGGATGAAATAGATGTTGGGGTGCTAACCACAATGACTTCTACCAATAGCAAATAATATCTATGAGTATGTACACACATATGGAGGCGCTATTATTTTTAAATATTTTAATCATAATAAAAAATATACCATAGAAGCCAGGCATGGCCTGCACTTGTAGTCCCAGCAACTAAGGAAGCTGAGGTGGGAGGATAACTTGAGCCCAGGAGTTCAAGGCTGCAGTGAGCCATGATCACACCACTGCACTCTAGCCTGGGCAACTGAGCAAGACTATCTAAAAAAAAAATAACAAAAATAAAAATAAATTTTCAAATAAAAAAATTTAAAATAATAAAAAATATAATTGCCTTGATAAATATAAGACATAATCTACATTTACCATTCCAGAGTCATTACTTTTCCCAAATTCTGAATTTAAATTTTTTTTTGGTTTCCTTGGGGATAGTTTCTACATTTTGATTTGTATATTTCTTTTTCTCTTTTTTCTATTTTATTATTATTATTATTACTATTTTGAGACAGGGTCTCACTCTGTCACTCAGGCTGGAATACAATGGCACAATCTTGACTCACTGCAACCTCTGCCTCCCTGGTTCAAGGGATTCTCCTGCCTCAGCCTCCCGATTAGCTGGGATTACAGGCGCCTGCCACCACGCCCAGCTAATTTTTGCATTTTTAGTAGTGACAGGGTTTCACCATGTTGGTCAGACTGGTCTCGAACTCCTGACTTCAGGTGATCCACCCGCCTCAGCCTCCCAAAGTGCTGGGATTAAGGCGTGAGCCACCACTCTTGGCCTGATTTGTATCTTTCTTATGTCTTTTATTTGTAATAATAGTCCCTTATATGTCATCAATAAAAACAGGAAAGGTTAGGCCAAGTGCGGTGGCTCACGCCTGTAATCCCGGCACTTTGGGAGGCCAAGGCGGGCAGATCACGAGGTCAGGAGATCGAGACCATCCTGGCTAACACTGTGAAACCCTGTCTCTACTAAAAAAAATGCAAAAAATTAGCCGGGCGTGGTGGCGGATGCATGTAGTCCCAGCTACTCGGGAGGCTGAGGCAGGAGAATGGCGTGAACCCGGCAGGCGGAGCTTGCAGTGAGCCAAGATGGCGCCACTGCACTTCCGCAGGGGCGACAGAGAGAGACTCCATCTAAAAATAAATAAATAAATAAATAAATAAAACCAGAGGAAAGTTAAAATATGTAAAATTATAATCCAGAACAACCAATGACTGAAATTTACTTGTAAATTGGCATGTATCTGAAAAAGCCATAAAATATCACTTTAACCAAGGTTTCCAAACTTTCTGACTGACAAGTTAGCTAAGTGTGGCTATTTTGTTTTACTTGGCTGAAATACTTATTCTATCTAGACATCAATCAATTACCATGTATATTATCTCCTTGTCAAACACTGCTACTCCTGTTCTATTATGTACTTATTTATTACAAATGGTACATGATGTCATGATACTGAGTTATTTTCATAACTTAATGATCTTATATTACAATTTGCTTACAGGTAAAAATCTTTGTTCTATTATTTAAAGTACAATAAAAGTACTTAAATGCAATATCTTTTCATGTGGGTGATATATTTTTACTGACTAAAATGCAAATCAGAGTTTCCTAAGCATTTTAATGCACTAAATTTATATTAGAATCTAACGCTTAGGATAAATCAATCATTCCTAAACCAGATTATAAGGTCTTTGGTGATAAAAATCAAGTCTTTCAAACCATATTATCTGGTACACCAATTAAGGCTCCAGAAATACTTATTGATAATATGATCTAATGAGAAACAGTCAAATTTTAAAAATTAATTACTTATTGAAATAGCAATCTGTACTCATAATTTTGAAAATGAAGCAAGTCAGTTTTCAGTCCAGCATGTAAGAAGCTTGAAAATTGCTTTTCTAATAACAGCAAACAAAAATATGAACAAATTGAAAAATCAACAATTCTTAGATCTATAAGAAAATGAGGTCACAGGGAGAACCACTGCCTCTCAAGTTGGAGAAACCAACAGGTAAAACAGAAAATCACAACTTACTGGAGGAGAAACTCATGAGCTGAAACTTCCATGGGAACCGGCACCATGGTAGAAAAATCTAAACTTTAATTGGCAAATTGCTGGAGGCTTAGTGTGGACATATCTGAGAGATAAAGACTCCAGAGGGATTCAATCATCAGAGGGCACTTGAACTTTTGTAAGTTTTATCTCTTGGAGCTCTATTAAGTTTTCATAATGAATAGTAAAGAAAAATCCATTTATGTTTCTGGCAAGAGCAGGGGACAATAAACCACTGTGGAATAAGTCATTGTGTTCTGTTCTCAATAAGACCTATCTGGCCAGTCGCAGTGGCTCACATCTATAATTCCAGCACTTTGGAAGGCCAAGGTGGGAGGATTGCTTGAGCCTAGGAGATCAAGACCAGCTTGGGCAATAGAGAAAGATCTCATCTCTACAAAAAATAAAAAATTAGTTGCACATGGTGACAAGCACCTGTAGTCCCAGTAACTTGGAAGGCTGAGGTGAGAATATCATTTGAGCCCAGGAGGTCAAGGTTGCAGTGAGCCATAATTGCACTACTACACTCCAGCCTGGGCAACAGAGTAAAACCCTATCTAAAAAAAAAAAAAAAAGCCCTGCCCTCAGGAGAAACCATTTAACCAGAGCCTAACTTGCTGGGGTTTTTATCAGAGCCTAACTGATCTGGGCTGGGGAGCATCACTGGTGGGGGCTAAGAGGCATGTGTGAAGTTCATAATTCAGAGGGCTGAGATTTAATCATGGGACTGACTATACAATGCCTCCCTTCCTCCAAGACCTTAGCACCATGTTACTAGAGGCCTATTTACAGAAATTCCTTTTATTCAATACATTATGTACAGCTATCAAGAAATAATTACAAAACATACTAAAAAGCAAAAAAAAAAAAAAAAAGGACAGAGAAAGTATCAGAGCCAGACTCAGATATGGCAAGGATGTTGGAAGTATCAGACCAGGAATTCAAAACAGCAGGGATTAATATGCTAAGGACTCTAACGGACAAAGTAAACAGTATACAAGAACAAGAACAGATGGATTGTGTAAGCAGAGACAGCAATGCTGTGAAGGAAATCAAAAAGAAATACTAGAGAATAAAAACACTGTAACTGAAATGAAGAATACCTTTGGTGGACTGATTAGTAGAATGAACACAGCTGAGGAAAGAATCTCTGCACTTGAGGATATCTCAATAGACCTCCAAAACATAAAAGCAAACAGAAAACATACTGGAAAAAAAAACCCAAAATAAAATATCCAAGAACTGTGGGACAACTATAAGAGGTGTAAATACATCTAATGGGATTACAGGGAGAAGAAAGAAAAAACAGAAGAACAGACGACTAAGAATTTCCCCCAAATTAATATCAGATACAAAACCACAAATCTGGAAGCCCAGGGAACACCAAGTAGAATAAATGCAAAAGAAAAAGGAAAGAAAAATACAAAACAAACAAAAAAAAAAAACAAATAGGCACATCATTTTAAACTACAGAAAATCAAAGATAAAGAAAAAATACTGAAAGAAAGAAGCACAAGGGAAAATCATTACTTATGGAGGAGAAAATAGAATTCCATCCAACTTTTCCTCAAATACCAAAAAAAAAAAAAAAAACAGAAGAGAGTGAAGGTAGATATTTAAAATGTTGAGAGAAAAAACTACCAACTGTATTCTGTGAAATTATTCTCCAGAAGTGAAGGGGGAAATAAAGACTTTCTCAAACAATCAAAAACAGAGGGAATTTATTGCCAGTAGATCTGCTTTGCAAGAAATGCTAAAAGTAATTCTTTTTTTTTTGTTTTTTGAGACAGTCTCACTCTGTTGCCTAGGAGTACAGTGGGGCCATCTCAGCTCACTGCAACCTCTGGCTCCCAGGTTCAAGTGATTCTCCTGCCTCAGCCTCCCAAGTAGCTGGGATTACACGTGTGGGCCACCATGCCCGGCTAATTTTTTTGTGTATTTTTTTTAGTAGAGATGGGGTTTCACCACGTTAGCCAGGCTGGTGTCAAACTCTTGACCTCAGGTGATCCACCTGCCTCAGCCTCTCAGAGTGCTAGGATTACAGGCATGGCCACCACACCCGGCCAAAAGTAATTCTTTTTTTTTTTTTTTTTGAGACAGAGTCTACCTCTGTCGCCCAGGCTGGAGTGCAGTGGCATGATCTCAGCTCACTGCAAGCTCTGCCTCCTGGGTTCGCACCATTCTCCTGCCTCGGCCTCCTGAATAGCTGGGACTACAGGTGCCTGCCACCAAGTGTTGCTAACTTTTTGTGTTTTTAGTAGAGACAGGGTTTCACCATGTTAGCCAGAAGGGTCTTGATCTCCTGACCACGTGACCCACCCGCCTCAGCCTCCCAAAGTGCTGGGATTACAGGCATGAGCCACTGTGCCTGGCCCAACAGTAATTCTTAAAAATAAAACAGGCTTGGCATGGTGGCTCACACCTGTTATCCCAGTACTTCGTGGGGCTGAGGTAGGAGAATTGCTTCAGCTCAGGAGTTCAAGACTAGCCTGGGCAACATAGTGAGATTCTGTCTCAATTTAAGAAAGAAGGAAAGAAGGAAGGAAGGAAGGAAGGAAGAAAATGATAAATGTCAGAAACTCGATCTACACAAAGAAAAAAAGCATTGGAAAAGAAACAAGTGAAGGTAAAATAAAAACTTTTATTTTTCTTATTTTTAATTGATCTAACAGATAAGAATTTTCTCAAATAATAATAGCAAAAATGTCTTCAATTATGTATACTTCTGCATATATATACACATATCTTTATTATACTCATGTAAAAGCAAAATGAATGACAGCAATGATACAAGGGAAGGGAGGAAAGAATTAGGATTATTTTGTTATTATAAAGCACTTACACAATCAGAGAAGCTGTAGAGTGTTATTTGAAAGTAGGCTTGGAGATATAAATACACATTTAGTTGTAAATTCATATTACAGACTTGAGGGCAACCACTAAAAAAAGTTAAAAAAAAAAAAGAAGTATAACTAATATGCTAATAAAGGAAAGAAAGTGGGATTATACAAAATGCTCAATTAAAACCATAAAAGGCAGAAGAAGAGTGGAAGACAAAATAGAAACAAAGAACAAAGCCAACATATAGGAAATACTAACAAATATGGTGGATATTAATTCAACTATATCAATAATCACTTCAAACATTAATCGCCTGAATATACTAATTAAAAGACAGAGATTGTCAAAGTGAATCAAGAAACAAGATTCGACTATATGTTGTCTACAAGAAACTCACTTTATTAAGTTATGATAGATGTTGGCATGAAGGCAGTGAAAAGGGAACACCTATACACTGTTAGTGGGAATGCAAATTAGTACAACGTCTATGGAAAACAGTACGAAGATTTCTCAAAGAAACTAAAAGTAGATCTACCATTCAATCCAGCAATCCCATTACTGGGTATCCAAACAAAGGAATAGGACTCATTACATCAAAAAGACACCTGCATATGTATATTTAACACAGACAATTCACAATTGCAAAAATTTAGAACCAACCTGAGTGCACATCAACTGATGAGTAGATAAAGAAAATGTGGTGTATATGCATCACCATAGAATAATACTCAGCCATAAAAAGAACAAAATAATGTCTTTGGAGCAACTTGGATAGAGCTGGAGGTCATATGCTAAGTGATGTAACTCAGGAATGAAAAACCAAATACTATATGTTCCCAGTTTTAAGTAAGAGCTGAGCTATGGGTACAAAAAGGTATACAGAGTGGTATAATGGTCATTGAAGATTCAGAAGAGGAGAGGGTGGCAGGGGCGTGAGGGATAAGAAAACAACATATGGGGTACGATGTACACTACTTGGGTGATAGGTGCACTAAAATCTCAGACTTCACAACTACACAATTTATTTATGTAATCAAAAACCATGTGTATCCCAAAAGCTGTTGAATTATTATTATTATTATTATTTTTCCCAGAGTCTCGCTCTGTCACCCAGGCGGGAGTGCAGTGGCGCGATCTCGGCTCACTGCAAGCTCCACCTCCCAGGTTCAGGCCATTCTCCTGCCTCAGCCTCCCAAGTAGCTGGGACTATAAGTGACTGCCACCACACAGGGCTAATTTTCTGTATGTTTTAGTAGAGACAGGGTTTCACCGTGTTAGCCAGGATGGTCTCAATCTCCTGACCTTGTGATCCGCCTGCCTCAGCCTCCCAAAGTGTTGGGATTACAGGCATGAGCCACTGCGCCTGGCTGAAATTTTTTTGAATGTTAAAAATAAGATAATAAATACAAAAATAAATAAACTCATGTTAAATATAAAGACACATATAGATTAAAAGAAAATGGATGGAGAAAGATGTATCATTCTAACAGTAATCCAAAGAAAGCAGAGTAGCTCCATTACTTTCAGATAGAGTAAACTTCAAGTCACAGAAATCTATCGAGAATAAAGAGGGTCATTACATAACGTTATAGAAGTCAATTCTCCAAGAAGACATAATAATCTTTAATGTGTATGTGCCTGACAACATTGCATCAAAATACTTGCATCAAAAACCGATAGAACTGCAAGAAGTGGATAAATCCACTGTTATCATTGGAGACTTCCACACTCCTCTATCAGAAATGGACAGATCCAACAGGCAGAAAATCAGTTAAGAACATAGTTGAATTCAACAACACAATCAATCAAGTGCATATAATGAACATCTATAGGCTATTTCATCCAACAACAGCAAAATGTACTTTTTGCAAGCTCACATGGAACATTCACCAAAATAGGCCATACTCTGGACCATAAAACACATCTTAACAAATTTAAAAGGATGGAAATCATACAATGTCTGCTCTCATACCAAAATGGAATTAAATGATAAATTAATAACAGAAAGCTGAAAAATCCCTAAATACTTGGAGTTAAGCAACATAACTCTAAATAACACGAGTCAAAGAAAACTCAAGAGAAAGTTTAAAAATACTTTGAACCAAATGAAAATGAAAACACAAATTATCAAAATTTTGTGCATGCAGTGAAAGTAGTACTTAGAGGAAAATTTATAGCATTGAATGCATATATTAGAAAAGAAGGAAGATCTAACATCAGTCGCTCAAGCTTCTACCTTAGGAAACTGGAAAAGGAAATGTGGAATATATACACCATGGAATACTATGCAGCCATAAAAAAGGATGAGTTCATATCCTTTGCAGGGACATGGATGAAGCTGGAAACCATCATTCTCAGCAAACTATCACAAGGACAGAAAACCAAACACCGCATGTTCTCACTCATAGGTGGGAATTGAACAATGAGAACACTTGGACACAGGGTGGGGAACATCACACACCAGGGCCTGTCAGGAGATGGGGGGCTGGGGGAGGGATAGCATTAGGAGAATCACCTAATGTAAATGATGAGTTGATGGGTGCAGCAAACCAGTATGGCACATGTATACCTATGTAACAAACCTGCACGTGTGCACATGTACCCTAGAACTTAAAGTATAATAAAAAAATTTAAATACTTGTAAATATTTGATCTATGTATGCTAAACACAGAGCTGATCCACATAAAGATTTACATAAAGATGTTAAAAAATAATAATAATATTAACCCTTTATGTGTAATATTGTGTGGGAAAAAAAAGAAAAGGAGGAGCAAATTAATTCCAATGTAAGCAGAAGAATAAAAATTAGAGCAAAAATTGATAAACTTGAGAACAGGAAATTAATAGAGAAAACCAAGAAAACCAAAGCTTTTGCTTTGAAAAGATGATAAAATCAAATAGCCTCTCACCAGGCTAACTAAAAAACAAACAAACAAACAACAAAAATAAGACAGAATACAAGTAACTAATATCAAATTAGTAAGCCTCTACCCAAGTTAAGAAAAAAAAAACAGATGACAGAAATTACTGTAATTCATAGAGGGGATATCACTACAGATTCCATGGACATTAAACAGATAATAAAGAAATACCATAAACAACTATGCCCACAAAACCTAGAAGAAATAAACCAAGTCCCTGAATGATACAATCTGCCAAAACTCACATAAGAAGAAATATAAAATCTGAATAGGCTGATATTTATTTTAAAAATTAAATTAATAATTAATAATGTTCCAAAACAGAAAGCACTAGTCTCAGATGGGTTCTTTGGTGAATTCCATAAAACATTTAAGAAAGAATTTATACCAACTTTGGACAATCTTTTTCAGAAGATAATAGCAGAGGCAATACTTCCAAACTCTTTCTATGAGGCCAGGTTTGCCCTAAACCAAAACCAGACATAGATATTACAAAAACAAAAAACTACAGATCGATATCTCTCATGAAAATAGATGCAAAATCCTCAACAAAATAGTAAATTTAATCCAACAATGTATAAAAAAATTATGTATCCTGACCAAGTGGGATTTATCCCAGGCACATAATTCTGGATCAACTTTCAAAAATCAATTAATATAATCCAAAATATCAACAGGCAAAAATTACATGATTATATCAATAGATGCAAAAGAAGCATCTGACAAACTTCAACACCCATTCATAACAAAAATATTCAATAAACTAGGAATAGAGGAGGACTTCCTCAACTTGATACAGACAATCTGTAAAAAACCTTATTAAAAAATAAAAAAAACCCTACAGCTAACATTATACTTAATGGTGAGAAACTCAATGCTTTCCCACTAAGATCAAAATGTTCCCGCCTCACCACTGCTTTTTAACATCGTACTAGAAGTATTAGCTAATGCAATAAGATGTGGAAAAGTACAAAGATTGAAGAGAAAATTATAAAAATTCTTTCTTCACAGGTGACATGATTTGTTCATATAGAAAATCCAAAGGAATCAACCTACAACCTCCTGGAACTAATAAGCCATTATAACCAGGTTACAGGATGCAACATTAATACAAAAAAATTCGATTGCTATGTTATAACAGCAGTGAACAAATAGAAACTGAAATTAAAAACACAATACCATATACATTAGCACCCCAGAAGTGAATTATTTACATATAAATCTAATATAATATTTACAAGATACAGATGAGAGAACTACAAAATTCTGATGAAAACAAAGAAGAACTAAATAATTGCAAAGATATTCCATGTTCATGGATAGGAAGACTCAGTATTACTAAAATATCAGTTCTTTCCCATTTGATCTATAGATTCAATACAATCTCAATTAAAATCCTAGCAAGTTATTTTGTGGATATTAACAAACTAAATAATTACTACTAGTAACAAACTAAATGATTATGAAAATATCAGTTCTTTCCAATTTGATCTACAGATTCAGTACAATCTCAATTAAAATCCCAGGAGGTTATTTTGTGGATATTAACAAACCAATTCTAAAGTTTATGTAGAGCAGCAAAAGACCAAATAGCCACAAAATTGAAGAGCAGCAAAATTGAAAGACTGACACTGGCTTCAACACTTACTATAAAGCTACGGTAATCCAGACAGTGTGGTATTGACAAAATAATAGACAAAATGGAACAGGATAGAGAGCCCAGAAGAAAAACCCACATAACTATAGTCAACTGATCTTGGACAAAGGAGTAAAAGCAATACAATGCAGCAAAGATAGTCTTTTAACAAATGATGCTGGAACAAATGGACATATACATGAAAAATTGAATCTAGATACAGCCTTCACAAGACTTAACGCAAAATGGATCACAGATCTAAATGTAAAATGTAAAACTATAAGACTCCTAGAAGATAACCTAGGAGAAAATCTAGATCTCCTTGGATTTGGTGATGACTTTTTTGATGCAACACCAAAAGCATGATCCATAAAAGAAAGAATAGAGAAGCTGAATTTTATTAAAATTTTAAAAATTTCTGCTTGCAAAGACACTGTCAAGAGAATGAAAAGACAAGTTATAGAGTAGGAGAAAATATTTGTGAAAGACATATAAAGAACTGTTATCTAAAACATATGAAGAACTCTTGAAATTCATCAGTAATAACATAAACAAATGGACTAAAAAATGGGTCAAAGGCCATAACAGACCCTTCATCTCACCAAAGATGAAATACAGATAGCAAATAAGCATATGAAAAGATTTTCCACATCATGTCATCAAGGAAATACAAATTACAACAACAATGAGATATCACTACACACCTATTAGAATGGTCAAAATTGAAAACACTGAAAACCAAATGCTGGTGAGGATATGGAGCAACAGGAACTCTTACTCATTGCTCGTTAGAATGCAAGATGGTTAGGCTGGCTGGGCGCAGTGGCTCACACCTGCTATCCTAGCACTTTGGGAGGCCAAGGTGGGCAGATTGCCTGAGCTCAGGAGTTCGAGACCAGCCTGGGCAACATGGTGAAACCCTGTCTCTACTAACATACAAAAAATTAGCCAGGCATAGCAGCGTGTGCCTGTAGTCCCAGCTACTTGGGAGGCTGAGGCAGGAGATTCACTTGAACCCTGGAGGCGGAGGTTGCAGTGAGCCAAGATCATGCCACTGTATTCTAGCCTGGTGACAGAGCGAGACTCCATCTCAAAAAAAAAAAAAAAAGAGTAAGAGTAAGACTCTGTCTCCAAAAAATAAATAAAATAAAGAATGCAAGATGGTTATGGCCACTTTGGAAGACAGGTTGTTATAAAACTAAACACCCTATGGTTTACCATATGATCCAGCAATCACACTCAATGGTATTTACCAAGGAGTTGAAAACCTATGTCCATGCAAAAATCTGCACACAGATGTTTATAGCCACTTTATTCATAATTGTAAAAACTTGAAAGCAACCAAGATGCCCTTCAGTAGGTGAAAGAATAAACTATGGTACATTTAGACAATGGAATATTATTCAGTGCTAAAAAGTAATGTGCTATCGAGCCTTGAAAAGACACAGAGGAAACTTAAATGCATATTTCTAAGTGAAAGAAGTCAATCTGAAAAGCCTACATACTATATAATTCCAACTATATGTCATTCTCAAAAATGCAAAACTATGAAGACAGTTAAAAGATGAGTGATTGTCACGGGCCAGGAGGATAGGGAGAGATGAACAGGTGGGCACAGAGAATTTTTAGGACAGTGAAAATACTGTGTACAATGCAATAATGGTGGATACATGTCATTATTAATATGTACAAACCCATAGAATATATAATACCAAGAATGAACCCTAATGTAAACTATTGACTTTGGGTGATAATGATATTAATGTAGGCTCAGCAGTTGTAACAAATGTACCACTCTGGTGGGGATATTATAATAGGGATGTTATGCATGTATGAGAGGCAGGGAGTAAATGGGAAATCTCTGTACTTTCCTCTCAATTTTGCTTTGAATCCTAAACTGCTCAAAAGATAAAATATATTAAATAAAAATTATTTAAATGAGGTGACTATCACTATGGATACCTTGCATAGCCTTACAGAGATAATGTACGCATTCAGGTAAAAGCCATTTGTTTACAATGGGAACATAGTGTTTGCACTATGGTAAACACTTGGTAAAATATTTTAGAGATTATTTTGAAACTACTTTTGCAGAAATTATAACTGAGGAAATTATAACAGTAAAAGAAATCTGACATGGCTGACTCCATCTTGTCTCAAGCCTCACAAGTTTCCTGTCTTTGCTCATTGCTGGGCATGAGCCAACCTAACTTTAGGAGAAATTTAGTTTATAGTTTAAATAATAGCCCTTCCCTCAAACTAAACTGTGCTTGTAAAACTAACAAAAGATCACCAAGTTAGCATGAGAGGGGCCTGAATTCTAAATCATTACCAGCCATTATTTGGAGGTTATAAGATTTGCAACTTCCCCAATTACTCTGGAAAATAACATCGCTATTGTAGATCCTAAGATTGGCCTTTCGAGATGTCTTTTCAGGTTTTTGCATTTCTGACTACTGGACAACCCCACATGGACCTGCCAACCAGTCCCGAGGCTTCCACCAGGAACTGACTCAGCAGAAGAGAGCAGCTTCCTCTCCCTGTGATTTCATCTCAGTGCCAACCAATCAGCACTCCCAACTCACCGGCTCCCTACCTACCACATTATCCTGAAAAACTCTGATCCCCAAATTCTCAGGGAGACTGATTTGAGTAATAATAAAGCTCTAGTCTCCCGTATAGCCCCCTCTGCGTGAATTAAACTCTTTCTCTATTGCAATTGCCCTGTCTTGATAAATCGGCTCTGTCTGGGCAGTGGGCAAGAGACCCTGTTGTGGGGTTACAAACTGGAGAACCTGTTGGACAGTTACAATTTTCCATTAGTACATAAATCTTTTTAACATTTCCATTTTATTGTTTTGTATGAATGCACCTTAATTTAATCTGTCTATTCCCTGCTCCATTTATGTGTATAGAAGTTATTTTCAGTGTTTTGTTAATATAAATAATGTTTAAATGAGCACCTACTTTTGCACACTTATGTAATTAAATCTGTAGGATAAATTCTTAGAAGTGAAGAGTATATTTCCATGAATTTACGTATACCAATGATGTATAAGTCAGGCTTACCAACTTTAAGACATTATCCAGAGTACACATCCTCAAATAAATGGCTATAAGTAAGAAGAGATAAATGTTGAATTAACTTTGTCCTTGTATAAAAACACATCTCTATTTTTAATTTACCACTTTTTAGGGTGACTTTGACTAGTTGACATTACCACATAATGATTTATTCGCAATTTCCTAAGCAATTTAATTAATTTTTAGGGTTTATAGATATTTCATAGACTTTCAAATAGGAGAGCAAATGGCTGTTAAAAATAGCAGGAAAAAAAGCTATCAGCAGGAATTTGTGAGCAAAAAGAGTAGTCTGAAAAATTATACTTTCCAAATTTTCTCCTATTTAGTTCAAGGCATATCTTATTCACAGTACCTTATCGTGTGTTAAAATGTTTTATGGGTCCTTTGTGAAATACCAAAAGTTACTGAATATATGACTTATTTTTGCAAATCAAATGTTTCTTTAAAATTCAAAAAATTTTCAATGAGGTTTAATTAGGCAGAAAAGTGGTTCAGAACTCATTTGAAAACTTGCATGATAATTAGGAAACATCAAAGAGTATTGTTATACTCTAAACTGTAAACAACCGTTAATGATTTCATAAATTGCAAACATTATCCTACAGCACAGAGAACTGAAACTTATTTTTTAAAGGCGAGTGTAGATTAAGCTAATGATTGACTCAATTCCTCTTCTCAACAAATGTTTCATCAGAAACTGCATTTATCACTGCAAGGGTCAAAGTTCATGGAATTTTGGAGCTGGGAGAGACCTTAGGTATCTTCCTATCCAGCAGATGAGGAAACTGATTTAGCCAATGTCATATTTGGTTACCAACAGACTGAATGGGGACACAGTTTTCTTGACTCTCCACCTGGGCATTCTCTACTATATATTGCTGTATCTGTATTAACATATATAAAAGCACTCACAACAGCATCTAATAAATTTAGCATGGCATTTTTTAAATTGATATTTAAAAAATCTTTTATGTTGGCCGGGCGTGGTGGCCGGGCGTGTAATCCCAGCACTTTCGGAGGCCGAGGCGGGTGGATCACAAGGTCAGGAGTTCGAGACCAGCCTGGCCAACATAGTAAAACCCCGTCTCTACTAAAAATACAAAAAAAATTAGCCAGGCCTGGTGGCAGGCACCTGTAATCCCAGCTACTCTGAAGGCTGAGGCAGGAGAATCGCTGAAACCCGGAAGGTGGAAGTTGCAGTAAGCCAAGATCACGCCATTGCACTCCAGCCTGGGCGACAGAGCGAGACTCCATCTCAAAAAAAAAAAAAAATCTTTTATGTTGAGAATTTCTGTGATAAGTAATAGGGATACATCAACAGGGAAGAAAGTTTTTCTCTCATTCAGGAATCCATATTCTGGTGGGAAGACCATATTTCCATAATTAGACAATGTTCTAGGGCAAGAATGGGACAGTCTGCTAGGATTGATTAGCCTTTCTCCTTGGCTTGTTGAGAGTTGTGGCATGTCCCATATATGTCATGACTGCCCTAAAGGAAACCTAAAGGAGAAAAAAAAAAACCTGAGTGCAGTGGCTCACACCTGTAATCCCAACACTTTGGGAGGCCAAGGCAGGCAGACCACCTGAGGTTAGAAGTTCAAGACCAGACTGGCCAACATGGCAAAACCCTGTGGAGCGACAGGACTAGCTGGAATTCCTAGGCCGACTAAGAATTCCTAAGCCTAGCTGGGAAAGCTGATCACACCTACTTTTGAACACGGGGCTTGTAACTCAGCTCACACCCAACCAATCAGGTAATAAAGAGGGCTCTCTAAAATACAAATTAGGCTAAAGCAGGAGGTAAAGAAATAGTCAAATCACATATCGCCTGAGAGCGCAGGGGGAGGGACAATGATCAGACTATAAACCCAGGCATTCGAACAGGGAGTGGGCAACCCCCTTTGGGTCCCCTCCCATTGTATGGGAGCTCTGTTTTCACTCTATTAAATGTTGCAACTGCATACTCTTCTGGTCCGTGTTTGTTATGGCTCAAGCTGAGCTTTCACTCACTGTCCACCACTGTTGTTTGCCCACATCGCAGACCCGCCGCTGACTTCCACCCCTCTGGATCCGGCAGGGTGTCCGCTGTCCATGGAGGCACCCATTACTGCTCCCGATCCGGCTAAAGGCTCGCCATTGTTTCTGCACGGCTAAGTGCCCAGGTTCGTCCCAATCGAGCTGAACACTGGTCTCTAGGTTCCACGGTTCTCTTCTGTGACCCACGGCTTCTAATAGAGCTGTAACACTCACCGCATGGCCCAAAGTTCCATTCCTTGGAATCCATGAAGCCAAGAACCCCAGGTAAGAGAACAAAAGGCTTGCCGCCATCTTTGGAGCGGCCGCCCCATCTTGGGCGTGGCCTGCCACCATCTTGGGAGCTCTAAGAACAAAGACCCGCCCATAACACCCTCTCTACTAAAAGTAAAAAATTAGCCAGCCCTGGTGGCAGGAACCTGTAATCCAGCTACTGGGGAGGCTGAGGCAGGAGAATTGCTTGAACCCGGGAGGCGGAAGTTGCAGTGAGCTGAGATCACGCCACTGCACTCCAGCCTGGGTGACAGAACACAACTCTATCTAAAAAACAAAAACCCTGAGGCAAAATTAATGTAAGTAGATGGTTTATTTGAGCCAATTATTCAAATTGTCCTGAATGTACATTCTAATCAGCAGCAGTTATAAGTGGGTTTTTAAAAGAAAAAAGACCAGACATGGTAGCTCACGCCTGTAAACTCAACGGTTTGGGAGGCTGAGGCAGGAGTATCATTTGAGTTCAGGAGTTAGAGACCACCCTGGGCAACATGGCGAAACCCTGTCCCTGCTAAAAATACAAAAATTAGCTGGGTGTGGTGGTACGCCTGTAGTCCCAGCTTCCGGAGGCTGAGGTGGGAGAATCTCCTCAGCCTGAGTGGTGGAGGTTGCAGTGGCGTAGTTGCAGTGAGCACTGCTGGTGCCATTGCACTCCAGCCTGGATGACAAAGTGAGACCCTGTCTCAATATAAATAAATAAATAAATAAATAAATAAATAAATAAATAAATGCAAGCAAAGAAGAGGCAGTTCCTAAGTTGTTCACCAAGAATTTACATTAAAATAACATAAGCTATTGATTGGTTACACATTGTTTGTGATATTCTTTGTATCACATGTTCCAGGAGCATGAGGATAATGGGTGAGGCAGCTAGTCAGAAAAAAAATGCCTTTAAATAATTGCCCCAGACATAGGTTGGGACAGGGGCATGACTGAAGTCTCATACCCAGGTCTCCGTAGGGCTGATACATTTTTCATACCTCACATATCTCTCTCTGCTCTGAGCTATTTTTCTTTTCTCACATTTAAATTACAATGTTATTTTTTACACTTTTGCTGCCGTTTGTAAGTTTTGTTTTGTTTTGTTTTGTTTGAGACAGAGTCTCGCTCTGTCGCCCAGGCTGGAGTGCAGTGGCACCATCTTGGCTCCCTGCAACCTCCACCTCCCGGGTTCAAGCTATTCTTGAGCCTCAGCCTCCTGAGTAGCTGGGATTATAGGCCTGCACCACCACGCCTGGCTAATTTTTGTATCTTTAATAGAGACGGGGTTTCACCATGTTGGCCAGGCTGGTCTCAAACTCCTGACCTCATGATCCGCCTGCCTTGGCCTCCCAAAGTGCTGGGATTACAGGCGTGAGCCACTGCGCCCGCCCCATACGTTATTAAAGCATGTATCCATTACTGTACCTGATCCTTGCAATAACTAGCTAGGCTATATTATTGTCTCCGTTTTTCAGTTCCGGAACCCATAGCTCAAAAGGGTGACTTCCCCAATGCTTCACAGCCAGGAAGTTGTAGAACTGGAACTAGAATCCTAGGCTTCTGCCTTGAGTCCAGTGAGTTTGTGATAATATTAATCAACTTGAATATCTCAAGTTCCAAATATTTAGTTTTCTGGGAATTCTGAGGTCACTTTAGAAGGAGATCCTTCTGTGGAAGTTTGGGTAACCTAAATATCCAAATTATTGCATGCTTTCTTGGAAAAGGAAGATAGTAACGCCCAAAAATTCCATGCAAGTGCTTGTGGCTGTTAGTGAACTGTGAGGATGGTATTTTGCTAGAAGCGTGAAACCACAGTCCTCAGTTTGTTTGTTCCATTCCTTGTCATGGGGATAAGGAAACTTGAACATAAAATATCATTGAAATTAAATAAGTCTGGAAAGAAGCATACCAAAATATTACCAGTCTCTGGGTGGCTGAATTACAAGTTAATTTTATTTTCATTTTCTGCATTTTCCACATTTCCTACAATAATTGTGTTACTTTTATAATAAGAAATTATGCAATTCATCTGTATCTGCATATAATTCTCAGCCTATTCAAAAGAAAGAAGTTCAAACTTTCTTAAGCTTGATACTTGGACAGACAGATACTTGGAACTGCCTCTGATAAATGAATGTTCTTTAAAAAAAAAATTAGCTGAGTTGGCTAAAGAATTCCTTCAGGCATTTGTACATTCTTTTAACAAATAGTTATTGAGCACCTACTGTGTGCCAGGCAGTTTTAGGCACTTGGAACACGGCACTGAACAGAACAGATAAAAATTCTTGCGTCTGGACCTTTCATCCTAAAGGGGGAGACAGACCAAAGTACAATAAAATTAAAAATCACTGTATGTATAATATAGTATGTTAAATAATGCTAAATGATTGGAAGAAAAATAAAGCAAGGAGGAATAGAGTGCTTGGAGGGTGGGGCATTTTGCACAGGGTATTCAGGGAAGACCTCAATAAGGAGGTGACCTGAAAGAGGTGAGATGTGAGCCCTGTGGGTTTCTGAAGGAAGAGAACTCCAGGTAGCGAGAGCAGCACGTGCAAAGGTGTGAGGCAGGAGTGTGCCTAGCATGTTCTAGATACAGCAAAGTGGCCAAGTCTGGAGGACTATGGGCAGCAAAAAGAGTAGGAGTTGCCACCAGCAGGCAAAGAACATGATCTGACTTACGTTTCTGGATCATTTTGGCAACTGTGGTAGGGACAGATTAAAGACAAGCAAATAAGATGGTGCAGGAACCCTTTTGTAGGGGCCTCTGGCCCCCAAGCATGGAAATAAAAGGAAACCTTGAGTTCTTTGAAGGGAAATGGCAGACACCTAGCTAACCCTGGAAGTAAAGAAGCAACATTATAAGGAAGGAGGTAATAGTAACCTAAAACAATAGCCAAGAAAGTTAGAGTCAGGAGAATTTTTATTCTCCTATAGAAACTAAAGATAATATCTTTTTTTTCCTTACTTACTTTCTTTATTTTTTTTATAGAGGCAAGGTCTCCCTGTGTTGCCCAGACTAGTCTCGAACTCCTGCATCTGCCCCCTTGGCCTCCAAAGGTGCTGGGATTACAGGTGTGAGCCACTATGTCTGGCCAAGATAACATCTTAAAAGATGTCCTGAGTTGTTTTTCAGAAACCTGGACCCCCACTGATATGGCCTGGCTCTGCGTCCCCACCCAAATCTCATCTCAAATTGTAATCCCCACTTGTTGAGGGAGAGGGGTGATTGGACCATGGGGGTGGTTACCCCATGCTGTTCTTGTGATAGTGAGTGAGTTCTCATGAGATCTGATGGTTCTATAAGTGTTCGGAAGTTCTTCCTTCGTGGTTCTCTCTCCTGCCACCTTGTGAAGAAGGTACTTGCTTCCCCTTGGACTTACACTGTGATTGTAAATTTCCTGAGGCATCGCCAGACATGTGAAACTGTGAGTCAGTTAAGCCTCTTTTCTTTTAAATCACCCAGTCTCCAGCAGTTCTTTATAGTGGTGTGAGAATGGATGAATACAGGCTTCAAATGGATTCACTGGCAGGTAGACCTCAGATAAGAGAGAACTGAAGGCTGAACTCTGACCATTGTTCTTTGTTATTAAATTTCTTCCTGAGGGTCCTGGAGGGAATCACCCACTCTCCTCAGCCTGAGCTAGTATTCTTTTCTGTTAATCCCAAATTTTTGAACAAAATTTCTCTTCCTTTACCAGTTGTAAATCAGAAAAATCTTTGAATCGGCCTATGACCTGTAAGCCTTCCCCCTTCAAGGTATCTTGCACTTTTAGGCCAAAACAAATGTATAAGCTCCATGTATTGATTTACAATTTTGCCTACAACTTCTGCTTTCTTGAATTTTACCTGTGCCTTTAAAATCTCTTACCTGTAAGCCAGGGGGAGGTCAAGATTTGGTCATTAGCTGCCTAGTCCTCCTTGCTTGGCACCCTGCAAATAAACACCTTTTTTTGTACTGCTGCAAATTCGGTGTGGATATTTGGTCTTAGTGTGCCAAGCAAGCGGGCCCCAGTTTGGTTCTATAACACAAAGGCAGAAGCAGGGGGAAAACAGTGGGAGATTAGATATATATATATATATTTGAGACAGGGTCTCAATAGGCTGTAGTGAAGTGGTGTGATCATGGCTCACTGCAGTCTCAACCTCCTGGGCTCAAGTGATCCTGCCACCTTAGCCTCCTGAGTAGCCTGGACTACAGGCATGTGCCACCACACCCAGATAATTTTTGTATTTTTGGTAGAGATGGGGTTTTACCATGTTGCCCAGCCTGGTCTTGAACTCCTGAGCTCAAGCAGTCCTCACACCTTGGCCTCCCAAAGTGCTGGGCTTACAGGCATGAGCCACTGCACCCGGTCACCTCTGGGTATGTATTTTTAAGGTGGGGCTGCTTATGGATTGAAAGAGGGTTGTAATAGAAAGAGTCAGTGGTAACTCAAAAGTTTGTAACTGAGCAATTAAAAAATTGGGGTTGTCATATTCTTAGGAAGACTATGAGAAAAACAAATTTGAGGTGGACAGAATTTGGAGTTCATTTTTGGACATGCCAGGTTGAGCTGCCTCTCCTCTATCAAAGTAGAAATGTTTATTTGACACTTGGATATACTCAGGAGTTCAAGGGAGTAGTCTGAGGTAAAGCTGGGACTTGTGAGCACATAGATCATATGTAAATCCATGAGACCAGATGGGAGCAACAAGAGCAAGTGAGAATACATAAGAGCAGAAATCCAAGGTTGACCCTGGGTCCCACCTACATATCGTGATCAGGGAAATGAGGATAACTACCAGACAAGATTATCTTGGAGGCCAAGTGGCAAAAGAAGTTATGATCTATTGATGGTAAGTCAAATGCAGCTGAGAATGACTGTATTTGGGACCAATTATTTCCCAGAAAATTCTGAGTAGTGTTTGTTTCAAGGATTAACAGCCCATAACAACTGTGCCAGAGGAAAAGCATTTTAGAGGCCACAGTTTAATGGAAAATGAAAGTTGGAAACATGAATTTGAGGGCCAGCTCCACCGCTTATTGGCTGTGTGATCTGGGGAAAGTCAATTAACCACATCAATCCTAGGTTCCTACATTGTAAAATGGAAGCAGTAGTAGCTGCCTCGTTCTGTTGCTAGGAGGAATAATGGAAATAAATCTTTATCACTGTTTCTAACAAACAACGGGCACTCAATAAATGTTAGCCTTCTCTTTGTCATTAAACAGGATAGTTCTTGGCGTCAATGTAATGGATCGTTATGAGCATACTCTGTATTTTAAGTTCTATGAATTTGTTACTTGGTAATCCAATTCCCCATTTTCACTTTTTCTAATTACTCAGGTACCAAATATGTGCCCCTTGCTAAATTTTTAACTTGTCTTCTCAAACGAAAAATTCCCAGATTGAAGAATATTTATAGACTAACTGGTCCATGTTCATCAAATTCTTTATGTCAAGAAAAGCTAAGGAGTTATTCCAGATTAAAGTTGAACAAAATGACATGAAAACTAAATACAGTATGTGATCCTGGACTGGATTCTATACCTTTGAGGGCAAAATGCTGTAAACACATAATGGGGACAATTAACAAAATTGGAATATAGAAAACTAGGCTTGGAAAAACTTTTTTTCACATACATTTTATATGTTCTTTTACATATATAAGAAATTTTTCACAACAAAAACAGTAAACACAATAAGAGATGTCTATATGTCTGTATTCATATGGAAATGTGTCGTTAAACGAAAAAAAGAAGTTGCAGACCTTTGAATTATGTGAACACCTTTGCTTAAAGAAATATATCTCACACACACACGCACACGTTATGTTTGGTCAATGTCCGAAAAGATACAAAATAAATTTAAACAGTGATTATTTCTGAGGATTCCAAATGTAATTTTCTTCTATAACCTTCTTGCCTGTTTGAAATGATTATTGCTTTTCTAATTTTAAATATATTTTAAGGTGGATAATAAAAGAAACTTAAAATCTAAGAACGAATTGACACTGTTAGAATTTGTGAGCCAGTAATGAGGGAGTAGGTTTTAAAGAGAGGAGTAGGGTAGTTTCACCTGCTGCAAATAGAAAGATAAGGAAAACTGGGTTTCTACAGTCTTTGTCTGTCACCAAAGACCTCGTTGTTCAGGACACAGAATTATGACTACGCATGGACAATGCAACTGTAATTTGGGACCTCACTGGACTTTGGATATTTAGGTAAATTAGTCTTAAAATTTCCTGGGCCTCTGCAAATCCAGAGTTTCCTCATGATTTCTGCTAAAGTCTGGCCTTTGGATCCTGTTTTTCTCTGCATCTCCATCATCAGAAACCACCTTGTTTCTGCCTAGAGTCACTCTGCTGCTTTTCACAAGGAATCTCAACACACTCATGGTTTAGAATTGAGTAACTTAAGAAAAGAATCGAAAAGTAGTGGAAACACCTTCACTAAGCATTGTCAAACCCTCCACTGTTTCCCCCTCTCACATTCCACTGCCATCCAAAAATGTACCCTACTGTCCTATGATCTTGCAGCTGCGTGCACTCCTCAGATGTGTAGTCAAATTCTCTCCGCAGTTTCATCTCTATTAGACCAGCTGGGCTAGACCAACTTCCCTGCCCCAGGATTCCCCACTTCCCTTGGAATTTTGATAAATAAAGTGCTCATCAATAAAAGCTGAAGATGATAAAATGCTCATCATAGATGATGTAAAGTGATAAAAAGATGAATAAAGTGCTCATCAAAAAATCCTCCCTACCCTTGGAATTTTTTATTTATTTATTTATTTTTATTTTTATTTTTTTTAGAGACAAAGTCTCACTCTGCTGCTCAGGCTGGAGTGCAACAGCGTGATCGTAGCTCAAGTCCACCAGGATTATAGGCATGAGCCATTGCACCTGGCCTGCCCTTGGAATTCTGATGAATAAAGTGCTCGTCAATAAAACTTTTCTTTACAGACCAAAATCATGGTTTTTGGTTTTTTTAGACATGAAGTCTCACTGTGTTGCCCAGGCTGGTCTCAAACTCCTGGGCTCAAGCAATCCACCCACCTTGGCCTCCCAAAGTGCTAGGATTACGGGTGTGAACCACCATGCCCAGCCAGACAAAATCATGATTTTTAAATGAAACATTTGATCAGGCACTTTTGCGGCAGGAAGTGGAACTGATTCATGGAAGCTATGCTTTAAGAATTGAGTTTGGGGTTACTTTCTCATGGAAAATTTTATAATTCACCCCCTTCTGCAGACTGATCATCTTTGGACACACATATTAGTTGAAATCACTCAAGTATGGTGGTTTTAAAGGTCTATGAAATACAGAAGAACAGCAACAATAAATAACAGTGGTTAGAGATGAAGGTTACAGAGCCCAGCTGCCAGGATTCAATCCTGGATCCCCTAATTAATAATAGTTCTGTCACTCAGGGGCTTACTAGATAAGAAAGGGAGAAGAATTACACATATGTCTTTGAGGATTGTGTGGAATATAGTTTATTTTCATGTAAAAGAGAGTGTATAAGGAAATAAGGGAAGTTTATAAGGATATCAATCAACAAAGATTAATATGTCTTCAAGTGAATTGCTGCCCTCACTTCTCATTCTTAAGTATTCCACATCTTTTTTCATTCTTTTCCCAGTTACAGTCATTGACCAAAACATTTGCATGTTTCTCACCAGACCAAAACCAAAAGTCATAAAGATCTTTAAGGACCTGTCTCAGTAGGAGTCTTGCAGCTAATCAAAATCCAAGATAAAAGATAATATCAGCCGAGCGTGGTGGCTCACACCTGTAATCCCAACACTTTGGGAGGCCGAAGTGGGTGGATCACTTGAGATCAGGAGTTCAAGACCAGCCTGGCCAAAATGGTGAAATCCTGTCTGTAGTAAAAATACAAAAATTAGCCAGGTGTGGTGGCAGGTGCTTGGAATCCCAGCTACTCAGGAGGCTGAGGCAGTAGAATTGCCGGAACCTGGGAGGCAGAGGTTTCTGTGAGCCAAGATTGCACCACAGTACTCCAGCCTGGGCAACAGAGTGAGACTCTGTCTCAAAAAAAAGAAAAAAAAAAGAAGATAATATTCACCTCCAAGTTGACATCTGCCCTATCCATCGAATCTAGGGAACTTCTTGGCAATTGTAATAGGTAGCATAATAGGTAGAATGTCACTCCAAAGATGTTCTCATCTAAATCCCTGAAACCTGTATGTATGTCTGTTACTTTACATGGCAAAGGGACTTTGCAGATATGATGAGATTAAGTATCTTGAGATAACGGCTTGACTATTCTGGGTAATCCAAGTGAGCCCAGTGGAATCATAAGGGTCCTTGTAAGTGATGGCAGGAGAGTAAGCGTCAAAGAGAGATTTGAGAATGCTGTGCTGCTGGGCTTAAAGATAGAAGAAGGAAATTTGAGCCAAGGACTACAGGTGACCTCTAGAAGCTGAAAAGGCAAAGAAACAGATTCTCTCCTACGGAAAGGTTCTCTGCCTATTGCATGAATCTGGTGAGAGAGAACCCTTGCACAAGTTAGGCAAAGCAGATTTATTACTCACAGATAGGCAGCAAGGATAAACAGAAGCCAAGGATCCATGACAAACTGGTCCCCCAAGACTCAGGAAAGCTGCCTAAGGCAGATTGTCTTGTCTGCACGTGCTTCCTGTTGTACTGCAGCTGAGGGACTCCAGTGGCGTCCCACCCTGGGTTTATATACCCTGGGTGCCACTCAGCTCACTAAGCTCAAGCATTGTAGAACATCCTGTTCCAGGAGCAATGAGGACACACCCAGGTTGTTCTGGACATTTCTTCCTTATCTCAGGATGTTGTATTCTCAGCACAGTCTGCTTGAGAATTGCAAGTAAGAGAGGATTGTTGATTAGGCCGAGGTCATCTGGGGACCTGTCCTCCTGTACACTAGAGCCCCCCAGAAGGAACAGAACACTGCCTACATCTTCATTTTAGCCCAGTGAGATCCAATTTGAACACTTCAGATTTTCAGAACTGCAAGGTAATAAATGTGTGTTGTTTTAAGCTACTAAGATTTATTACAGCAACTGGAGGAAACTAATATATCAAGTCACCTATGATTTTCTTCTCATGCTAATCACTAGATGAAATGGTGTTGTTCAATTTATTCATTAGTTTTCTCCTCACCACTGTATTCCATCCTCCAGGAATACAAGTTCCACAAAATGAGGTGGACTCTCAGAGTGAGCCCCTTGCCTGTGATACCTGAAACTCAATAAATACATGAATTTCTTTGTATTTACATGAGTGCATGAATTGCTAATAATGTTGCTGAAATTTTTTTAACATTAGTAAATGGCACCAGAGATCATGAACGAGTATTCATTCTGAGGTGTTCTTAGGACTCTACTCTGTGTCAGGTAACGTGGGAGATGCTGGGCTTTGAGAGAGGTATAAATGTAGGTCCTGACACCCAGGAGATCTCCATCCAATAACACAGAGTAACAATGTCATATTGATTATAATTCTGTATTAGGCCATTCTCACATTGCTGTAAAGAAATACCTGAGACTGAGTAATTTATAAAGAAAAGCGGTTTAATTGGCTCACAGTTCTGCAGGCTGTACAGGAAGCACAGGGCATCTGCTTCTGGGGAGACCTCAGGAAACCAATCATGGCAGAAGGCAAAGGGAGCAGGCACATCACATGGGGGAAGTAGGAGCGAAAGAAAGAAAGTGGGAGGGGCCACACATTTTTAAAGGATCAGATCTCACAAGAACCCACTCCTGAGTTGCAAGGACAGAACCAAGAGAATGGTGTGAAAATATTCATAAGAAATCTATCCCCATGATCCAATCACCTCCCATCAGGCCCCACCTCCATCGCTGGGGATTACGATTCAACATGCAATTTGGGTGGGGACACATATCCAAACTATGTCAACTTCTGAGATTTTACTACATGTAAGATTGTTTTCGAGAAATTAAAATGCTAACTGAATAGCAATGTTTTGGAAGTCAGTGTTATAGAAGGGAGGCACTGTGGGCTCAGTGGTTAACAGCAACAGCCTTGAACTCAGGAGCCTCAAAGTTGAGAATCCTGACTCTGCCACTACTTTGCCCCAGTGTGACCTGAAGTAGTGACTTAATTCCCACAGACCTTATTTCCTTATCAGTAAAATGGGGGCAAGGCGCAGTGGCTCACGCCTGTAATCCTAAAACTTTGGGAGGGCAAGGCAGGTGGATCACCTGAGGTCAGGAGTTCAAGATCAGCTTAGCTAACTTGCCAAAACCCCATCTCTACCAAAAATACAAAAATTAGCCAGGCATGGTGGCATGCACCTGTAATCCCAGTTACTCAGGAGGCTGAGGCAGGAGAATCACTTGAACCCGGGAAGCAGAGGTTGCAGTGAGCCGAGATCACACCACTGCACTCCAGCCTGGGAGACAGAGCAAGACTTCATCTCAAAAATAAATATAAATAAATAAAATAAAATGGGAATAATGAGATCCATGCCACAAGATAGTGATAATTCAGTAATAAAATGTAGACAAGATACTTTAATGTAATGCCCTGGCACAAAATAATAGCTCAATAAATGATAACATAGAATCTGATTCATTCCTCAATATGCAGAGGCAATTTTTCTGAAACTAAATGGTTTCCCAACTTTCCCTCACCAGGAACCACTGAAGCTGAGTTATCTTATTTTGAGGAGCCTCACTTCCCACATTCCCACTCCTTTCCCCATTCCCAAATTCATAATTTCTGCTTAGCGTTGAAATGATGTGCCAAACCAGATTCTGTCAGCTAAGGTTTCCCTTTGCCTATTTTCCTTCAAAGGATGGACCCCAGCCAGAAAAAGGGTTTTGGAGGTTAGCTAGGAGCCTCTCCAACTGAAAACGCAAATGTGGCTTTGGGGGCACCATAAAAAGGCAGAAATATAAGAACAAAATGATTCCTTGTGGTCAAAATGGATCAGCTACATTTGTTAGGACAATTTTGTTTGCCTATGTTCTTTTTTTAAAAAACACTATACATTAGCATAAAATCTCTCATCGTTCATTTTCTACAACCGAATCTTTGTCAATACAGTATTTACTGTTTTCTTTTCAACACCTCACTGCCAAGCAGATGGGAAAGGCAGTAATCCTATTTCTTACTGGTTAAATTGTGAAGTTATACATATATGCCAGATTTTATCTTTATTAACATATAAAATTGCTTTGTCTTATTTCTCTCCCATGTAACTTGACACACACAAATTACTTAATCTCATATTTTGAATACTCACTAGCTGATGGGAGGAATAATTAAGAATGATCAAGTCCACTGATTCTTTGGGAGTTTAAATGGTGAATTATTACAATGTGGAAACAGATGTATCTCCTCTCCTTTGTTTCCCAAAGATAAAAAAAAATTAGGTAGCAGCGGAAGTTGGAGCTATTGAATGGGGTTTATCATCTGTAATGTGCTCACATGCTGGAGTCTTTCAGAGAATCCAACCTTCCCATGGTACAAAGAATCCTTCCCACTGAGTGAAGGGTCTCAGCAAATATGGTGTCTCTCTCCAAATATGGCAGCTCTTCAGGAATCTATAATAGGGTCATGTTCCTTTTAGAGAGGTGGGAAATTCTAGGAGAGTAGTCAATGGAGTCATGCTTCAAAGGACAGACCCCTGGGAGGACTCATATGATTTCTAACGGGTGGTAGCTGGGACTGCTGTTGATCGCAGCATGTCCTGCCTGGGAGATCACAGTGACACTGAGTCAGCCTTCTGGTGCCTGCTGAGACCCACGTGGAGCCTCGGTAGGCACAGTAGGCTGGATATAATTCCTGGGCTCTCATAAGGCAACAGAAGCCAACTTCAAACCCTTAAAAGAATTCAGGCTGTTTAACAGTGGGGATCTTCTAACAGAAGTGTGTGAATAAATGTCAGCCTCCCTCATGTAGAAATGTAAACCATAGTACACATTTTGCCAAGTGAGTGTGTGAAGACTGGAATCTGTCCTATCTCAGCCTACTAAATTCAGCTCAATTCATCGTAACTATTTATTGAATGCCTTCTTTGTGTCTAGCTCTTTGCTTTACTCTGTAGTAAATACAAAAAGGAGTAATTAAGTCAGAAAGGCAGGCTATACAAAGTCTGTTCTGTATATGTGCTTTGATTTTTTCTTCTTAAACATTTCTCAGAGCAACCTTGAAAGGCTGTGCAGTTTAGATGGAAGGTCCAGCTTCATGTAGTGGAGAGTCAAAGTATTGACTTAAATAAGGTATAGATTTCTCTCTTTATAATCTGAGAGTCCAGAAGTGGTGGGGGGGGGCGGGGTCCAGGACTAGTATGATGACCCTGCTGCAGGGACCCACACACTATCTGTTCCATTGCTCAGCCTTTGTGAGATGTTGCTTTCAGCCACACCGTCCAAGATGGCACTCCCCGCACCCACAGTCCCTTCCCTTGCAAACATCACATCTGCTCACAGCCTGTTTGCATGGCCAAATCTTTCTGAGAAATAGAGGTTTTGTTATGGGCAGCTACATAGCAGAAATTCATTTAAATGGAAGAAAAGAAAATGACCCAGATCTTGCAAGCTGAGAATCATACAGCTTAAATAACCTTTCTAAGTTCCACAGACGTCACTACACTCCACTGCCTCTCTGTAATACTGTCCTATAGTTGCTTTAGGCTTTTGGCTGAGCTATTCCTGCCAGTATGAAGCCAATATGTGCATTTCTACAGTAAGTTCTGTATCTTTTCTTTTTCTTTCTTTCTTTCTTTCTTTCTCTTTCTTCTTTCTTTCTTTCTCTCTCTCCTTTCTTTCTTTCTATTTCTTTCTCTTTCTCTCTCTCTCTTTCTTTCATTCTTTCTTTCTCTTGCCTTTCTTTCTCTCTTTCTTCTTTCCCTTTCTTTCTTTCCTTTCCTTCCTTCCTTCCTCCCTCCCTCTCTTCTTTCCTCCCTTCCCTTCCCCTCCCCCCTCCCTTCCCTTCCCTTCCCATTCCTTCCTTCCTTTCTTTCTTTCTTTCTTTCTTTCTTTCTTTCTTTCTTTCTTTCTTTCTTTCTTTCTTTCTTTCTTTCTCTCTCTCTCTCTCTCTCTCTTTCTTTCTTTCTTTCTTTCCTTCCTTCTTAGGGTCTTGCTCAGGTGCCCAGGCTACAGTGCAGTAACATAATCATGGCCCACTGCAACCTCAACCTCCTGGGCTTAAATGATCTTCCCATCTCAGCCTCCTAAGTAGCTAGGACTACAGGCATGTGCCACCTTGCCTGGCTCATTTTAAAATTTTTGTAGAGATGGTGTTTCCCTGTGTTTCTCAGGTTGGTCTCAAACTCCTGGGCTTAAGCGATCCTCCCGTCTCAACCTCCCAAAGTGTTGAGATTACAGATGTGAGCTACTGCTCCTGGCTCATATCCTTTATAAAAGGGGAAACAAGGCTGTGATGAAAAACTATTTCAGGTAGAGAATTTAAAAAGCTTAAGAGCTCTCACTTACCAAAATAACAATAATTAATAATAATAATATTCTGAGTAAGTGGAAAGCCCATGAACTATGGGGAGAAGTTCAGCAAACCAAGCAGAGAGGCTGCCAAGGTGGGTAAGGCTGCCTAGAAAAAAATCAAGGAATTGGCCCTCCATTGCTCTGCTTTCATACTGTCATCTCCACAGCGGTCACTATCACAACTACTTACCTCTGCCATTGTAACATGAAAGTAGCAATAGAATGCATAAGCAAATGGGTATGGCTAGGTTGCAATAATACTTTATTTATGATCATTGCAATTTGATTTTCATATGATTTTCACATTACAAAATACTCTTCTTTTAATTTTTTTCAACGTTTAAAATGTAAAAATAACATTGAGCTCATAAGTCATTTAAAAGAAGATGGTGGGTACATCCATACAATGGAGTACTATTCAGCAATAAAAAGAAAGAAATTCTTGATACAGGCAACAACTTGGACAGACCTCAAGGACATTAAGTTGAGTCAAAACAGCCAATCTCAAAGGTCATGTGCTGTTAGATTCCATTTACATAACATTCTCAAAATGATGAAATTATAGAGATGGAGAACAGATGAGTGGTTAGGAGTCAGGCATGACTGGATATAGTGCATGGCGGTGACTATATAGAGGTAGCTTCGGGGAGATGTTGTGATAAGGGAATATTTCTGCATCTTGATTGAGGTGGAGGCTGTGTGAATCTACACATGTGATAAAATGGCATAGACACAAACATATACTGTACCCATATGAATTTCCTGGCTTTGACACTGTACTATAATTATGTAAAATGTAACCACTGGGGAAAACTGGGTGAAGAGCACATGGCACCTTTCTGTACTATCTTTGCAACTTCATGTGAGTCTATAACCATTTCAAAATAAAAAGTTAAAAAGATGAAAAACAGTGGGTTAGATTTGGTTCCTAAGCTATATAGGTTTTCAACAATTGGAATAGGAAAATTACATTTGCAGTATACATAATAGGGAAAATTAATATGCAGAATAAAGATATACGATTCAACAAGAAAATAACAACTTTTCTGTCTCTTTTTTTTTTTTTTTTTTTAAACAGAGTTTCACTGTTGTTGCCCAGGATGGAGTGCAATGGCGCCATCTCGGCTCACCACAAACTCCACCTCCCGGGTTCAAGCAATTCTCTTGCCTCAGCCTCCCGAGTAGCTGGGATTACAGGCATGTGCCACCACACCCAGCTAATTTTGTATTTTTAGTAGAGATGGGGTTTCTTCATGTTGGTCAGTCTGGTCTAAAACTCCCGACCTCAGGTGATCCGCCCACCTCAGACTCCCAAAGTGCTGGGATTACAGGCATGGGTCACCATGCCCAGCCACAACCCATTTTTAAAAATGGATAAAGGATAAAGTAATTCACAGAGAAATATAGACAATAAAAATATTTTTAAAATTGCCAAATAGTACAGTAATAAAAAAATTAACTACAGCAAGCCTTTTTCCACAGTAACAAAAACATACAAGATGAATATTGTCAAGTATTGACAACATTGTGGAGAAATGTATAGTGACAGACACTGTTGATAAGAGACTATATTGGTGAATTAACTTTAAAAGATAATTTGGTGGTTTATATAAGAAATTTGAATAAGTCCACCATTCCATATCTCAGAATTTATTCTATGGATATACTTATACAGATATGAATAATATCTCATAGTATGGATATACTACATTTTGGTTATCAATTCACAAAGATATAAATGGAATGATGTTCACTGCTGTTTAGTTGTTTTTTTTTAAAAAAAAAGGTTTATTGAGGTTTAGTTTACATAGCATAACATTAGCTCATTATAAGTATACAAGTCAATGACTTTCAGTAAATTTAGTCATACAATCCTTACCAAAATCCAATTTTAGAACATTTCATCACCCCCAAATGATCCTTCATGCCCATTTTCAGTCACTCCCTCTTCTCACCCCTAGCCCTAGGCAACCACTAATTTACTTTTGTCTGTATAGATTTGTAGCTCCTGGACATTTTATGTAAGTAATGCATTTTAGTTTTAATTGGGGTATGGCCAATACTCAACATCATAAATCATCTTTCACTAATGCTGTAGTACCAGCTATGGATATGATTTAAAATCATGCTCAAATTTAGCTTTAAAATCAAGAATACAGCTTCAATAAGGAGGAGATTAGGGAATATTAAGTGGCATGTGATAGAAATTGATATTAATACATTTACATGTATACTGACTTTATTCAGAATTTGATAAGCAAAATCAGTTGAACTTTGTCACAGAGTAATTCTGTGCAGCTGTTACATTTTTCCTCACCCGTAGGGGGATACAAATTTGATCTGTGCATTTTCAAGGCAGGAGGCATTGGTACTTTGACAGAGTTCTATTCTGGCGACAGTATGCCTATTATGCCAAATGTCTAATGTACACCTAATGATTGTATTATACACAGAAAGCTGTTATGCACTGATTACCAACTGCTGTTTATAATCTTTTGAATACATTTTTCTCATGCTGAAGAAAATGATGGAAAAAAGTCACATGAAGGAGAAAATGGAAAAGAAAGTGATCCATAAACAATGGGGCTTCATATAGCTCTATGTGGCTACATCAAGCCTCATGTGTTTGAGAATCACTGACAAGTTTTAGGAGCATAATGAATTTTTAGGTTTAAAAGCAATAAAGCAAATAGTAGCCTCTGATTTAATATGTACATAGGTGCCAGGGGTGTGGCAACACTTGATACTATAAGTCCAGTGCTGCTTGGGTCTAACGGCAACTGCTGGGCTGACTACACCCAGCCATAAATCATCAATCATCCTAATCAATGAGAGATCAGTTTTCCCATGGGGAAACTGCTGGTTTAAATGTTCAGGGCTGCTTTTTATGTGTGTTATCCAATTATGTTTTCAAATATTTTAGAGGTTCAGTAGAAAAGAAAATGAAGGGATTTGGTTCATTTGAGAATGGTAGGCACCAGGAAATTGAGCCACCCTGGTAGGAAATCAAGAAGGCACGGGGTATTCCCAAATGGGACTAGATCCCAAAAGTGCTACTTTCTTTCTACATAGCATTAGAAGGCTACCATTTTGGAAGAAAAGTGAGAAGGCAGTAAGAATAGATGAATCAGTTCCTCAAAAACTTGAACACAGAATTACCACATGATCCTGAAATACCACTCCTAGGTGTATATATAAATATACCCAGAAGAATTGAGAGCAGGGACAGAGATACTTGTACACCAATGTTCCTAGCGGCATTATTCACAAAAACCAAAAGGTAGAAATAATCCTAGTGTTCATCACCAGGTGAATTGATAACCAAAATGTAGTATATCCATACTATGAGATATTATTCATTCTTTTTGTTTTTTTAAAGAGCCGGGGTCTCAGTATGTTGCTCAAAGCTGGTCTTGAACTCCTGGGCTCAAGCAATCCTCTTGCTTCAGCCTCCCAAAGTGCTGGGGAAATATTATTCATCCTTAAAAATGAAGGAAATTCAGATACATCTACAACATGAATAAACCTCGAAAATATTATGCTGAGGGAAATAAGCTAGACTTAAAAGGAAAAATATTATACGATTTCACTTACATAAGGACCTAGAATAGGCAAATTCAAAGAAGCGATCAATAGAATGGTAGTTAGCAGAGGCTGGAGAGTGGGAGGAATAGGTAGTTATTGTTTAATGGATACAGAGTTTCTGTTTGGGCTGATTAAAAAATTCTGGAAATGGATAGTGGTGATAGCTACATAATACTGTGAATGTATTTTTTTTCTTTAAGAATATGGGACACTTCATGAATTTACATGTCATCCTTGCACGGGGGCCATGCTAATCTTCTCTGTATCATTCCAATTTTAGTATATGTGCCGTCAAAGCGAACACATGAATGTATTTAATGTCACTGAAATGGCTAAAATGGAAACTTTCGTGTTATGTATATTTTACCACATTTTTTTAAAAGGACAAAAAAAAGCATAATTGGGCAATAGGAAGATATAACAACAAATGTTAGAATTAAACCTTTTGACAGCTGATAGTCCTGTTTCAACCTTCTCTGGGGTCTTAAGAAATTAGAATGCCAATTCTGGCCATTTATTTTCCTAGTGGGAGGAAGAAATGAGCTACTTCAACATTCTTTCTTTTTTTCTTTTTTTTTTTTTTTGAGAAAGGATCTCCCTCTGTTGCCCAGGCTGGAGTGCAATGGTGCGATCTTGGCTCACTGCAAACTCCACCTTCTGGGCTCAGGTGATCCTCCCACCTCAGCCCCCTAAGTAGCTGGGACCACAGGTACACGCCACCACACTCAGCTAATTTTTCTATTTTTAGTAGAGACAGGGTTTCACCATGTTGCCCAGGCTGTTCTCAAACTCCTGAGCTCAAGTGATCCACCTGCCTCAGCCTCCCAAAATGTGGGATTACAGGCATGAGCTACCGTGCCCGGCTGCTTTAACATTCTAGATTACAATTAATTTTTTCATTTATTGCTTCAATAAATAATTATTAAAGGCTTGCTACGTGCCAGGCACTGTTCCAGTTGTTAGTAAACAGAAAGAAAATGCTCTTCCCCAGCTTAGTGGAAGAGATATAATAAACAAAGAAATATTTATTTATTTATTCACTTATATTTTATTTTTAATAGAGATGGGGTCTTTATTCTTGGGTTCAAAGGATCCTCCCAAAGTGCTGGTATTACTGCCAAATGTGGTGTGAGCCACCACACTTGGCCATAAACAAGGAAAGCTTTAAATGAGCAAGATAATTTCTGATAGTGAAATGTCCCATGAAAAAAATAAAACAGGGTGACAGGAAGTGGGAGTGAAAGAGGGAAAGATGCTAGTTTTGAGAAGGAAATCAGAAATATCAAGACCAGAATGATGTGAAAGCAGCAGCAAGTCCCAGACCTAAAAGCGTGAATTTCTGTTAGAGGACACACTTACAAAAAGGCCTGATGGTGGGAAATAGATTGGCATTTTCAGGAAACAGAAAGAATGTTCTTGTGATGGATCACAGGAAGAAAAGAGAGCCAGGAGATGAGAATGGAGAATTAGGGCACTATGTGCTATATTGAGGAGTGCCCAAAGGGAACTCACTGGAGGGCTTTAAGCAGTGTAGTGACATGATCCAATTTATGTTTTGAAAAGTAACCCTGACAGCTGCATGGAGAATGGAATAAGACTGAGTTAAGAATGGAAGCATGGAAAACAGTTAGCATGGAGGTCAGGTTTGAGTCTAAGGCAGTGGTCCCCAACCCTTTTGGCACCAGGGACTGGTTTCATGGAAGACAATCTTTCCACAGACTGGGGCCAGGGGTGGGTGGGCCAGGGGAGATGGTTTTGGGATAAAACTGTTCCGCCTCGGATAATCAGGCATTAGATTCTCATAAGGAGCACTCAACCTAGATCCCTCATGTGTGTGGTTCACAATAGGGTTTCCACTCTGTGAGAACTTAATGCCACTGCTGATCTGACAGGAGGCAGAGCTCAGGCAGTAATGCTCACCAGCTGCTCACCTCCTGCTGTGTGGCCTGGTTTCCAAAAGGCCACGGACCAGTACCAATCCAAGACCCAGGAGTTAAGGACCCCTAGTCTAATGCAATAGTGCAAGTGAGAGATGATAGTAGTTTGGAACAGGGAAGTGGTGATGCTAATGGAAGGAGGTAGAAGAATTAATGGCAACTGAGAATAAAATGTGTCAGGGATATTTCAAAGCACTTTAAAATATCATTTTCTTTAATTTATAATCTGAATTGTGACTGACACCCTACAGCTTTTTCATAGCATGTCAGGTGGTTAATATTTGAAAGAAAGCATACACTTTCATAGGAAGAAAATAAATAATTGCGTATAGTAAATCTCCAAGGCTATGAGATCTCTTTGCTATACACTATTAATTATTAATTAATTTATTTATTTACATTTTTTGAGATGAAGTCTCACTCTGTCACCCAGGCTGGAGTGCAGTGGTGCTATCTTGGCTCACTACAACCTCCACCTCCCAGGTTCAAGTGATTCTCCTGCCTCAGCCTCCCAAGTAGCTTGGATTACAGGCATCCACCACCACAGCTGGCTAATTTTTGTATTTTTAATAGAGACGGGGTTTCGCCATGTTGGTGAGTCTGGTCTCGAACTCCTGACCTCAGGTGATCCACTCTTCTTGGCATCCCGAAGTGTAGGATTACAGGCGTGAACCACCGCACCTGGCCACTTTATTTTTATATAACGTGTTCACATAACAATTTACTATACACTTTAACAGTTCAACCCTAACCAGTGACAATTATATAAATGGCATACATAAGTTCTTAAGGGAGTATTTGATGAAGAGAATATGCCTAAAGAATTAAATTCTTCTTCAAAGACTTCACTGTTATATTATTCATTGAAATGTGACAGAAGGCAATTCAGTTCCACATGTATTTTGTGTCCAGCTCTACATTAGGTGCTAAAAATGCAAAATTAGATAAGCAAGAGACTTTGCTTACAAGGTCTACAGTCTTTGCGGATCATATTTTGTAATGATGATGATGATGATTCAAGGAAGCTTTTACAGGGCAGAGTCCCAATTTCCTTCTTTACTACAAGTAAGTCCCTTCATGTTTAATTTAAAATGCTCTATTCTCAAAATGGTTGTAAGACAATTCATTCATTCACAAATAAGTTTAGGAAATGTGAATTTTAAAAATGTTAAAAGGATTTAACTCTATTGCAAAAATCTCAGTCTATAATATATTAATGTGCAAAAGGAATGTAGTATGTATACTTATTTTACATTGTAACTCTTTCTCATGGCACTCCTTTTAACATTCATTTAAACAATGCCCTATAGGACCCAGTTTAGGAAATGTTACTTTACACAGTCTCTTTACCTTACCCTCTGCACCATTCTCCTTTTCCTTCGGGAGATAATCCAGTCCCCTTCATTCCTTGACCCTTGTGTTAGGGTCTTTCTATTCTTAAGGCTATAGGAGATTCGTTCTTTTTCATGAGTTAGTTTTCTGCTTTTCTGCGAAAGCTTTGCTTCCTAGTAACTAGTTTCTGACTTTTACAAGTTAAATATGACCTACTTGCTGGATTGGTCAATTCTCACTATATTATTGGGCTTCAATAGACTCTCTTCTAGAAGCATATGCTGGATCTATCTCTGTAGGGTTAATATGACCAAGGAAGTTCCCATATTTTTCTCCACACTGATTCATGAAGACCATAACCTTTCAGATCAGGAAAAATGTTCTAAGGCACCACTCTCCAAACTTGTCTGTGCTTCCAAGTCATCTGAAGAATTCTGCAATAACACAACTTTCCTGGCCCTATCCCAGGCCTAACAGAATCAGAAAAACATTCCAAAGTGATTTGAATGCAACTAGATCCTAGTCACTCAAATTCAGTTTTATTTCTCCTGCCTTAAATTTAGGAGTAGAGCTAAGTTTATAATAAAGTAACTAATATTTGTTTATTGTTTTATAGATTTAAAAATGTTTTCTTAAATATCTTTAAAACCTCTGAGATGTAGGCTAGGCAGTTACTATAATTTCCATTTAATAAATGAAATCTAGCTGGGTGCGGCGGCTCACGCCTGTAATCCCAGCACTTTGGGAGGCCGAGGCAGGCGGATCACGAGGTCAGGAGATCGAGACCATCCTGACCAACATGGTGAAACCCCTGTCTTTACTAAAATGCAAAAAATTAGCCGGGTGTAGTGGCACACACTTGTAGTCCCAGCTACTCGGGAGGCTGAGGCAGGGGAATCACTTGAACCCGGAAGGGAGAGGTTGCAGTGAGCTGAGATCGCGCCACTGCACTCCAGCCTGGCAACAGAGCAAAACTCCGTCTCAATAAATAAATAAATAAATATAAATAAATGAAATCTATAAAATGTCTAAGAGCTCCTGACCAATAGCAATCAAGGCCAAGGTTCCTGACTTTAGTCTTCACAGTCTACCTGTGTCTAATGACAAGCAGTAACAGTAAGGAATGAAAAATGCTGTGATGAGGCAATGGGAGGAGCACAGAGGTATGATGACAGCACATGGCAGGGGCAGCCAACACAGTGTGGGGATGCCCAGACAAGGCTTCCGACTCAAAGACTGAGTAGATATTAGACATTAGAGAAGAAGGTGTTCTCCAGGTTGGAATGATAAACATTTGAGAAAAACCAAGGCAAGATATTGAGAAAGAGTTTGTTTAAGAAACAGAAAGAGTTCAGAATGTCTAAAGCAGAGGCTCCAGGGAGGAAGGTGGCAAAAGATGAAGATGAAGTAGTAGACAGGAGCCAGGAAGCAGTGTTAAGGTCTTGGAAATATATCTAAGGACAATGGGGAATTATTGAAAGATTCTGAGCAGAAGAGTGGCCTGATGAGATTTGGTTTTAAGGGTTCACTTTGGGTGAAGGATGGAGAATGGTGTGCAGGAAGGTAAGGCTGGAGGTGAGGAGAACAGTTCAGAGACTCCATGTCAGAATTTCTTAGGAGAGGTGATCATACTTGCACTAGCACAGTGGTGGAGGTGGAGAGAAGAGATAGATGGTGGAGTCTACGCTCCTTGGGTAACGAGGTGGCTAGTGGCACCATTCATTGAGAAAGAGATCAATATGTGAGGAGCTGGTTGGGATGATGTCTAATTTGGACACATTGAAGTGTAAATGTTCATAAAGCAAATACTTAAATATTATGGGTCTGAAGTCCAGGAAGAGAGATAAGGAAAGCAGCAAAGACTTGAGAGTCAGACATGAATGCCATGGGGGTAGGTGAGATGAGAGTATGAGGAAACTGGGATCTAAGAGTAAAGATGTCATGGAGATAATATTATTGGAGCTGGGATCATAACCCAGGTCTTCTGATTGCTATTATGGTGGTCTTAGCAAAGAAACTAAAGAGAGAATCCCAGCATAATAGCTGAGAGCTCTGACTCAGAGAGCAGAAAGAGAGCAGTCTGAATGCCAACTTGGCCACATATAAGCTAAGTGATATTGGGCAAGTGAACTATTCTCTTTATGCCTTACTTTCTTAAGCTATAATGAGGAGGTAATAACAATATCAGCCTCAAGGATGTTGTAGAGATTAAATGACGAAGCATATCTAGGCCGGGCTAGCTGTGGTGGTTTACAGCTGTAATTCCAGCACTTTGGAAGACCAAGGCTGGCAGATCACTTGAGGTCAGGAGTTCGAGACCAGCCTGGCCAACATGGCAAAACCCCATCTCTAGTAAAAATAAAAAAATTATCTGGGCATGGTGGTGTGCACCTGTAATCCCAGCTACTCAGGAGGCTGAGGCGTGAAAATGCTTGAACCTGGGAGGCAGAGGTTGCAGTGAGGTGGGATTGCGTCACTGCACTCCAGCCTGGGTGACAGAGTGAAACTGTGTCTCAAAAAATAAAAAAAAGTTTTAAAAAAGAATGCATATTTAAAGCATCCAGTTTAGTGTCTGACATATAGTAGGGAATCAATAAATGGTAGTTCTTACTATGATAGTCAATAAACAAAAAGTTTCTTTGAAGATTGCTACATATAGATTATGTTGGATTATATTGATTTTTAATATTTTAATTTAAATTTAGTTAACTTGTCACTTTTAATTTTTACTTAAAAGGTTAATATTAACTTACACAAATTGTCACTTTTCCTTTAAGCAGTAGTTGTACTATCGGGGATTGTTTGACCAAACATCAAAGTTGATGTGGCCAGAGATACAATTTGTGTTCTATTTTAAAGTAGTTCTGCCTAAAGCTGGGAAAGACATAAGAACCACCAACAAAGTCACCCTTATTTACATTAGGGGCTATTGGTATTATACATAAAAATTATATATATGATGTGCAGGAAAGTAAGGCTGGAGGTGAGGAGAACAGTTCAGAGACTCTGTGTCAGAATTTCTTAGGAGAGGTGATCATGCTTGCACTAGCACAGCATTATAAAAATGGTCAATTTCTCTATAAAGAGTTAAGTATCATGTTTGGAAGGAAAATTGCCTACAAGCATGGGCAGTACTGTTTAATCTCTCTTGGGGAAGAAAGGTCCCATATAGAAAGAACATAATAAATATGCTAAGTTTATACAATATGTGCTCAGTGATAAATATTCTAAGCATGTACTTTGATAATTCTTTCATCAGAGCAGCCTTGTTACCCCCACCATCAGCAGATACTGATAATTAATCAACTGAAATGAATAAACAAATCTGTTATACATGAATGATGATTATGTCTCTTTCAGTTGTGAAGGCTTTTCATAACTTATTCATGCCAATGTTATGAAGACTTTTCCCTTAGGGAACAAAATTTCCTTTTGGATGAGACCTCTTTTTATATTGTTTTTGGCAATCAGTGGTATTTCAGCCACATGCAGTGGCTGTAGATTATGGTAGGGAACATATGGGGGTTCTGGGGTATTCTTTCATTTCATTCCCAAGAGGGAGAGAGTGGGCCCCTTCCTCTGTCTCATGTACATTTACAATCTTGCTAGAAGAGCAGGGATGGTTTTCCCTGATCTGCGCTTATGGAAATGGACATGATGGCTATCTTTTCCAGATAAAAGCAGACAGCTCTACTGATAAACTGCTGTATAGGCTGCTTTGCAGACTATATATGTAGACATTTACCACTATGATTAAGGAATAGGAAAAGAAAGTAGATATGCCAGGCAAGAACAGGTCTCAGGCTGGTCATGAAGAAAAGAGCATGCACCAAATAGACAAAATATGTGATATACTCTAATTAGTTCCTAATACAGCACTTATTCTTATGTTAAAGATAATTATCCACAGATATCTTGCAATTTTTTTTGCATCATATGAATAGAAGCTCGAATGGCCTTTACTCCAAATTATCTTATCAGGATGTTTATATAACAAATAGCCTTGGACACTCCTGAATAGGACAGCATTCTTAATGTCCACTATAAAAAAATTCAGGTTCCCTATATTCAGAGTTCCTCTCCTGTGCTGTGACCTCTTGCATATACAGGTATCACCTGTACCTCTTTCTGTCATCCTGTGGGAATTGGGGCTTGAAAAACCCAAGGTGATATTCTGGCTGTTGATATTGCTGTGAGTAATAAACTGTGCTTTGTCTCTGACCCAGGCATCTCATGTCTCATGTCCCTGTGAGCATCCATGAAACTTGTGAGTTTGCAGCTAGGTAGGTAGGGTAAAATCTCAGACCTCTTACAATTCTTAACACTAGATTTCTGTTTGTCTAATATTTGTTTTGAGTTATTTTAACATTTAATGTTCTTTAGCTTAAAAATTTGCCTTTGTGGTTCATTCCTTCTAAAATGAAATTTAAGACAGAGAATAGACCTATAGTCAGTACAAAGGGAATATATTTCTGAAAGTGATATTAAGTAGTCATAACATGTTCTAAATTATCTACAGTATGGAAAATTAGAAAATTCTTGCCTGTACTTAAATGACAAAAATATAAAGAATGAAAAAAATGGAATAATATTTTCCTAAAGAGTCAACATAAAATTTCATAGTAGAAAGATAGCTTAAAAATCAGTTGCTTAAACTCTCTGCCTCCATTAAAAAAATAAGCCATCTGAGAACTAACTCACATTGAGTTCCTTTGCATTCTCCATAGTGGCTTTTATAAACTTCTTCCACTTTCCTTAAAAATTCAGAACATGTTTGGTGTACAAATGTATTCATCACATTTTACTTATGATAGATAAAAAATGATAAATGACTTAATCACCCATTCATTAGAGAATGGTTGAAGTGTTGGAAAATTCTTATGATATAATATTAGCTAGCCATTCATAATTATCTTGTTCAAGAATAATGATATAATAAAATACTTATGACATATTGTTAAGTGAAACTGTAAGAGCTAAGAATTGGATATTTCAGTAATAGAACATATCACTATAATACACATTCATGTCAATAAAGAAAATAACTAGAAAAATTACTTTAAAATATTAAATTAGATATAACTGAGTTCTGGGAGTTCAGATAATTTTTATTTTTCTTCTTTGCTGTCTTCTTTCTGTGTTGCCAAAAGTCTTTTTAATCAGAAATTTTTAAAATTATCCCTTTTGCAATAAAACCAAAATTCTATACTTAAGTAAGTAACTTACACTAAAGTGAAGAGGCTCAATCTTTGTTTTATCCACCATGGGGCTCATTTCAGCCTTTTTCTTTCCCATTTGTAACTCTGTTCTCCACCAGTGAGAAACTACACTGTGCAATGTAGTTTTGAAGAGTGTGGTGGGGTTATAGAATCTGATCTGCTCCCTCAGCCTCCTACTCCATCCTGCCCCTCCAACCAAATTCATCATACCTGAGCCTCGTGTTAAGTCACATAACCTGAAAATCCCTACAATTTTTAGCTCTGGTAATTCCAGTTAGTGCCCTGGCATTATGGAACGTTTCTTAGCCTGCTGCCTAATGGTGCAATTAAATCCAAACTAGAGATAAATTAGGAAAAATGTTTTCTTGACTCACTCCCATCTCCATCAAGCTCCTCCTTTGCTATATGAACTCCTCCACCCTCTCTCTCTCTCTACACACACATACACACACACACACACACACACACACACACACACCCCTCTAGCTCTAGATCAGCACCATCCAACAGCAAAATATTGTAAGCCGATAAGTAATTTAAGATTTTTCTAGTAGCCACATTAAAAATATTAAAAGCGATGCAATTAATTTTAAGATATATTTTATTTAACCCAACATGTCTAAAATATTGCTGTTTCAAAATGCAGTCAATATAAATGTATTTAATGCGTTATTTTACATTTTTTTATGTTAATCTTTAAAATTCAATATTTGTTTTATGTTTTCAGCACACCTCAAATCACAGTGGCCACATTTCAAATGCTCAGTGGCCACATGTAGAGAGTAATTATAGTATTGGACAGAACAGTTTGGAGAAATATTTTCTCTTCACTACTTCTGTTCCATGTCCCCATAGCCTTGGACTTCTAAAAATGTGAATGGATAGTGGTGGCTTTTTGAGCTGGCTCCACCAGGAGAACTGTTTACCTTTAACCAAGGGCTTTGGGGAGAATTGCCTGTCACAGATTGTGACACCGAGAATGAGGGACATCGGTAACTTTTGTTGTTTTACCACATGCAGCAGGCAGTCACCTACCTATCTGGCTTATGAGTCCAACCAGGGTAAACAGGACTGAGGAGAGATCTGCCCCCTGATGAAAAGACACTTTGCAACTTCAGGGCAGGGCCATCGCTGTCCTTAATATATACCATCTTGCCCCCAAAGTGAATGACTTCCTATTCCACCTCATGCCTGAAGTTGGCTGGCTATCTAAGTGAATCAGGAGAAGAAAATAGAATGTTAGTTATTTATCTAAGCCTATTCAAAATCAACTGCAGTCATTTCATTGGTGAAGAAACTGAGCTTTGGAGAGGAGAAATGATTTGCCCACAGTTAGACAGCTGCCAGAACTGGATTGGAATTAGAATCAGGTCAGTCCATTCCATCAAGTCTCAAGTCACTTCTGACAATGTTGACAGTTAATGACTCACGTCATTTACCAATAGAAAGTCACAGGACCTACTCTAGAAGTACAGGCCACTCACCTTCCCCACCTAGCTCCAATCAGGCTTTCCAATGTCATCTCCTGACAGCAAAGCTAAGTAAACAACCAACCAAAAGTAATTACTCACTGTGATAAGTGCTAAAAAGGTCAGAAATGGGATGCAGAGATAATGACAAGGAGGTTCCTGCTTTAGAAAGGGCGGTCAGAGAAGGCATTCCTGAGGACCTGAAGGATGAGAAAGATGATGTAGAGAGAGGCTGATGGGGCTCCAGGCTGAGGGGCTGGCAAGTGCAGAACCCTGGGACCAGGAAGGGATTGGCCTGCTGAGGAACTGGAGGAACAGAAGTAAGGGACAGGAGGGCCTGAGAGGCAGCTGGGGCCACATTATGCGGAGTCTTGCAGAAGGAAGCTGGACATTCAGCTAGAATTTTCTTTCCTCTGTCTCTTTCTCTTTTTTTTTGAGATGGAGTCTCACTCTGCTGCCCAGGCGGGAGTGCAGTGGCGTGATCTCGGCTCACTGCAACCTCTGCCTCCTGGGTTCAAGCGATTCTCCTGCCTCAGCCTCCCGAGTAGCTGGGACTACAGGCCTGCACCACCATGCCCGGCTAATTTTTGTATTTTTAGTAGAGACGGGCTTTTACCATGTTGGCCAGGGTGGTCTCAAACTCCTGACCTCAGGTGATTCGCTCACCTCGGCCTCCCAAAGTGCTGAGATTACAGGCATGAGCCCCCGCACCTGGCCAGTCTCTTTATGTTTAATTTTTAATAAAAAATATGAAATGCTTTGTGGATTGCCTATCATCCTTGGGCAGGGGCCATGCTAATCTTCTCAGTATTATTCCAATTTTAGTATATGTGCTGCCAAAGCGAGCACCCTCTGTCTCTTTTGTTATAATGGTGAGTTTCATTTCAATCTTAAATTTTGCTGTTTCGAGATCTTCTTTGTTGCATTGGAACCTAAAAAGACTTAGCTCTGCCACCTGCAAGAGTCATTGGAGACTGGATGTGCTACCTCCATTTCTAGCAGTGGGTCCTTAAGGGACTCAGGCAGTAGCAGCAGGAAATAAAAGAATGTGCTGCAAAGGCTAGCAACCCTGAGGCTGCAGTTGTGATTGTATCCAACTGACAAACAAGTTCAGACATGAATAATTTGGCCCAGTATCTTCAGATTGGAAAGCTACAGCTAGCACTAATAGTTTGTTCTTAAATACTCAAGTGCTTTCATGCTCTCTACTTTATCCGAGTTTAAATTTCCAGCTTCAAAAGTAGATTTTTCCACTTCTAAAATGGATCTATCTCCCTCCCTTTCTCTGCCCTCCTCCCCTTTCTGCTTTAGAAAGATCTTGGGAAAGCAAGCCTAGGTGTAAATGGTCTTCATCTGTGTAGCAGAATACTAGAAGGTTAGCTGGAAGGCATCTTAAGGAACAGTAGTTCTGACCTTCTCATTCTAGTATTATTAGTGGTATTTCTAATAGATTCCTATGTATCAGATGATTTATGTACATTTAATATCACAGCAACTTTGCAAAATGGATTTTTTAAAATCTCTGTTTAACAAATCAGAAGACTGAGGCTCAGAGAAGTTAATAACTGACCAAAGGTTGCATAGCCATAAATAGCAGAGGTGGGCCTCAAATAAAAATCTGTCTGATTTCTAATTCACCATGCTAGCTTAGGTTATTTAGACAGAGATTGATGGGGAAATAATAAGAGCCAGTCTCTCTCTCTCTCTTTTTATCTGTCTCTCTCCCTTTCTCTTTCTTTTCACATCATGATTAAGTGTAAAGGAGAATACGAAAGATAGAAATAATATTTGAATACAATGTTTTTTATGAAAACACAGGTCTCCTTCCTTAAACCCGTTTTGGTAAGATTATTTTACTTAACACTTAATTTCTTAAAAATTTTGTAGGACTTGTGATAAAATTTCAGCAATTCTTACAAAAGGAACTGCTATACTTAAAAGAAATGTCCCTTGCTGTGAGATGGCCAGGGTCCAAGAGCCCACTGTGTACATCCCTGGCTGCTGCTCCTTCTTCTTGGTCACATGATGGGCTGCTGAAGCACCTGCCACTTCTGATATATGCCTCTGAGTGCACTGAGAAACCAGGGTGGCCTAAATTTGATTTGTTACTGCCTTGAGTGGTATTGCTGGGCCCAGGGACCTTAGCCAGATTCGTAAACACAGACTTGGGCTTGATGCAAGACCAAGGGGGATTCTGGTTCTGGGCCAAAGAAAGTGGGTTTGACCTCTTTAAAGACTTTTGATGTAATTCCCCTGAGGAGTCAGTTTTACTTTACTGAGCTCATATAGGACTGTGGTTAAACCAAATATTCTACTCAAAGAACTAATACTTCTCTAAGGTTTGCTATGGACATTGGCAACATTTTCAGGACAAGGTGTGTTAGGCAAAATAATAGCTTCCCAAATATGTCCACGTCCCAATCTCTGGAACCTATGAATATATTACATGGCAAAAGAGAATTAAGATAGCAGATATATTTAAAGTTGCTAATTGTTATGGGTTGAATTTTGTCCTCCTAAAATTCCTATGTTGAAGTTCTAACCCCTCAGTACTTTGAAAGGTAACTGTATTTGGAGATAGAGTTTTCACAGAGGTAATTAAGTTAAAATGAGGTCATTAAGATGGGTCCTAATCCAATATGACTGGTGTCCTTATATGCAAAGACTAGGACACAGATATGCACAGAGAGAAGACACAGGGAGAAGATGGCCATCTGCAAGCCCAGAAGAGAGGCCTCAGGGGGAAGCAACCCTGCTGACACTTGACCTCAGACTCTAGCATCCAGAAATGTGAGACAGTGAATTTTTGTTGTGTAAGCCATCTGGTCTCTGGTATTTTATTTTGGCAGCTCTAGCAAACTAATACACAAATCAACTGACCCTAACATTGAGAGGCTATCCTGGATTATCAGGGTGAGCCCAATGCAATCACGTGGATCCTTAGATGTGGAAGAGGGAGGCAAAAAATGAGATGAGAGTGATGTGATATGAGAACTAGACTCTGCTGCTGGCTTTGAAGATGGAGAAAGTGGGTGAAGAACTAAGGAATGTAGACAGACTCTGGAAACTGAAAAGGGGAGGGAAAGGGATTCTGTCCTTGAGCCTCCAGAAAGCAACACAGCCCTGCTCTGCTCTCAGGAACTAGCTGTTTTAAGCATTTGCTCTCAGAGCATTTTATCTCAAAGCTTTGGAGATTTGTTTTCAGTTACACTTTCCCAAGGTGTCTTATGTTTCCTCATCCTGACTCACTTCCTACCTCCCCTTCCTTCCCTCTTAACTCTAAAATGTTGGCACAGCTCTCTCCTTTGGATCTACTAAGAAGCTAGGTCATATTCATTTCTGATCTACCTTTACTCCATTCTTAGGGAAGTCTTGTCATGTGTGATCTGATACTCGGCAGGATTCCAGACCCAAATGAATGCAACAGACAGCCTCTCTGTGTCCTTCAGTTGCAGAGTCTCAATTGTAAGGTCAGAATTTGGGAGCTTCTTATTCACATGGTGCTTCTTTAGCTCTGTCACACTATGTCCTTTACCAGCCCTGGCATTACCTTTGCAAACTGCAATCTACACAAGGAATCATTATTGCAATCCGTAGTTAGTTGTCTAAAATTTCCAGTCAACGATGTGCTTGGCAAGCATTGTTGCTGGATATCCTTTCCAGCAATCTAATCTGGGGAGCACGCTGGTAGTAGTAATGGTGCCTTTGTTTTCTTGTTTGTTTTAAATGAAGTTGAAGAGAATAAGATAGCTTAAAAGTAGGGTCAAAGGGCATCTACAAGGCGCAGGTATTCTGGAAAAGGTGAAAGCTCAGAGCAGGCCATGTTAGTCATTCTTCTGAACTCCCATGGCTTGGGCTCATGCTTAAGCTGTGTGCCTTGTTTGCATATAGCATTCCCCGTGATTTGAGTTGGCTGCTTTCCCAGCTGACAAGGTTGGCATATGGTGCTATAAAACACAGGTGGCTTTGGGGCCTGTACTGGTTTCCCAGGGCAGTTTTAACAGAGTACCACAAACTGGGTGCCCTCACACAACAGAAATTTATTCTCTAACAGTTTTGGAGGATAGAAGTCACAAACTGAGTTGTCAGCAGGGCCATGATCCCTCTGAGACTCTGGGTAGCATCCCTTCTTGCCTCCTGCTAACTTCTGGGGGGGTTGTTGATTCCTGGCATTCCTTGGCTTGCAGCTGCATCCCTCTAATCTCTGCCTTTGTTAACACATGGGACTCTCCCAGAGTATCTCTGTGTCTTCTTACAAAAACACCAGTTTATATTGGATTAAGGACCCACCCTACTCTGTATGAAATCAACTAATTACAACTTTAATTTCCAAATAAGGTCACAATTGGAGGCTGGTATTGTTTGGCTATGTCCCCACCCAAATCTCATTGTGAATTGTAGTTCCCATAATCCCCACATGTTGTGGTAGGGACCTGGTGGGAGGTAACCGAATCATGAGGGAGGTTACCCCCAGGCTGCTGTTCTCATGATAATGAGTGATAATGAGTAAGTTCTCATGAGATCTTATGGTTTCATAAGGGGCTTTTCCCCTTTGCTCAGCACTTCTCCTTTCTGCTGCCACGTGAAGGACATGTTTGCTTCCCCTTCTGTCATGATTGTAAGTTTCCTAAGGCCTCTCCAGCCATGCTGAACTGTGAGTCAATGAAACCTCTTTCCTTTATAAATTACCCAGTCTTGGGTATGTCTTTATTAGTAGCATGAGAACAAACTAATACGTAGGTACTGGGGAGTTAAGACTTTTGGATGACACAATTTAATCCATAACAGGGCCTTTTCAGTCAAAATTCAGTGCCAGCTACTGTTAATGGTAGGAAAGAGGGTAATCTGGGAATAGTGAAGAGGGACAAATATCAGGAGGGCATGTAAGCCTGTAATGATAAGAAAAAATGAAAGATACCTAGCCAGTTCACACTTTATCTTCTTAGATGATGTTTCACATCATGCTGTTATTTACAGATGAAATGGAGCCCAGGGAGCATCTTTGACTTCTTTATTTCTAGGTTCATGACAGTTTAATATTTTTAAAATTTCATATTTTGAGGAATTCTAGAATGAGGAGGGGAGCTTAATCAAGTAAGTATGACTCCAAATGTAAATTGAAATATACTTTTACAATATGTATCCATAGTGTGGTAGGTTTGGTAAACTGAATGATAGGCCCCCTAAATATGTCCATGTCCTGATCCTAATCCCTAGAGATTTTGAATGGTACTTTATGCAGTACAGACTTGGCAGATGTGATCAAATTAAGTATCTGGAGATGGAGAGAGTACTTTGGATTATCTAGGTGGGCTCTAAATGCAATCACACATGTCCTTATAAAAAGGAGGTAGAGGAAGGTTACAGACAGACAGGTCATGTGATAAAAGCAGAGTCAGATATATGGTGCTATGCCCATTGGCTCTGAAGGTGAAGAAGGGTGCCATGAGCCCTTAGACAAGACAAAGAAACATCATTCTCCTGTAAAGCCTCTGAGAGAGAACAGTCCTGCTGACACTTTGATTTTAGCCCCACAAGACTCACTTCGGACATCTGGCCTTCATAATGGTAAGAGAACAAATTTCTATTGTTTTAAGCTACCAAGTTTGTGGTAATTTGTTATGGCAGCCACAGGAAACTAACACAGAGTATAATTCATCGTTTTAAATGCAAAAATATGGTCAGGTGGGTGGTTCATGCCTATAATTTCGGCACTTTGGGAGGCCAAGGTGAGTGGATCACTTGAGTCCAGTAGTTCAAGACCAGGCTGGGCAACCTGGTAAAACCCCATCTCTACCAAAATATACAAAAATTAGCTGGGCATGGTGGTGTGTGCCTGTGGTCCCAGCGACTTGGGAGGCTGAAATGGGAGGATCAATTGAGCCCCAGAGATCAAGGCTGCAGTGAGCTGAGATCACGCTACTGCACTCCAACCTGGGCAACAGTCTTAAAAATAAATACATAAACAAAATAGGCCAGGCGCAATGACTCATGCCTGTAGCCCCAGCACTTTAGGAAGCTGAGGCAGGAGGATTGCTTGAGCCCAGGAGTCTGAGACCAGCCTGGGCAACATGGCAAAACCCCATCTCTACCAAAAAATATAAATTTAGATGGGTATGGCAGTGCATGCCTGTGGTTCCAACTACTTGGGAGGCTGAGGTGAGAGGATCCTTTGAGCCCAAGAGGAGGAGGTTGCAATGAGCTGAGATCACACCACTGCACTCCAGCCTGGGCAACAGGGTGAGACCCTGTCTCAAGAAATACAAAAACAAAAAATAAAGTAAAATAAATATGTCTTGATACACACACATAAGCACAGCAAGACATGAAAAAATACAGTAGAATGTTAACAATGGCTAACTCTATTGATAGGATTATCAGTGATTTTTTGGCCATTACTATGATTTTCTGAATTTTCAAAAATGTCAAGAAGAAGTATAATGGACTTTTTCTATTAAAAAAATTAATGGAATATTGTTCAACCTTGAAGAGGAAGGAAATTCTGACACATGCTATATAACATGTATGAAGGTTGAAGACATTATGCTACAAAACACAAATACCATATGATTCCATTTATTAGGTACCTAGAGTAGTCAGATTTATAGGAGCAAAGTAGAATGGTGGTTGTCAGGGGGTTGGGAGATGGAGTGGTTGTTTAATGAGTACAGAGTTTCAGCTTTGCAAGATGAAAAGAGTTCTGGAGATTGGCTGCACAACAATGTGAAAGTATTTCACTACTAAACTGTACATTTCAAAATGGTCAAGATGGTACATTTTATGTATATTTTATTACATTAAAAATTTTTTGTTTCATTTACATTATAAAAGGAGAGCTTTAATGATGCCCTTAAAAATAAATACGTGGTACATGATGTAATTTTGTTCTTTACATGAGGTTGTATTTTCTCACCTCCTTTTACACTCCCCTTGTGGCAGCTGGGGCCATCCTCCACAGGAGCTTCAGACTTGTCCCCTTGTCATAATTTTCTCTAACAATTCTCCTGGTTTTCCTTTTGTCTTTTTTTTTTTTTTACTTTTTGCTGATCTTTCTTCTCTGCCTATGAACATGGTCAAGTCTTCTGGGCTTTGTTGAACCTTTTGAGAGTAGGTTAAATAGTTGCTTCTTTCTGTAATGCTTCTTTCTTAAGCTTCTACAACATAATTTGTATGTTGGACATACATTCTCCTTACAGACAGACTCACACACCTCAAAACACTCCTCTTGAATTACCAATCTCAGGTGTTTTTCCAGACACCCATACCACAAGTCTATGTGCAATATGGCACAACTCCCTTTTTCCGTCCCAACCCCACTAATTTTACCTTCTATGTATTCCTCTAGTCCTAGCCCATCCCCAGCCTGTCTCGTCTGGACATCCTGGTAGTTCAGTTGGAACCCATCCTCCATACTGCAAGCAGTGTTTTAGTCCATTTTGTGTTGCTGTAAGGGAATTCCTGAGACTAGAAGAACAGGACGGAAATGTATTTCTCACAGTTCTAGACGCTAGGAAGTCCAAGATCAAAGTGCTGGCAGGTTACGGCCTGGTTTCTCTGCTTCCAAGATGGCTCTTTGAATGCTGTGTCCTTCAAAGGTGAGGAATGCTATGTTCTTATATGGCAAAAGAGCAGAAGAGCAAGAGAGAGTGAACCCACTCCCCAAACCTCTTTTTATGGCAGCATTAATCCATTTATGAGGGCAGAGCCCTTGTGATGAAAATACCTCCCCAAGGACCCAACCTTCCAACACTGATGCATTAGAGATTGTATCCAACACATCAATTTTGGGGGGCACATTCAGACCATAGAGAGATCTTTCTATATCGAAAACCTAGTCATGCTGCTTCCTGACTTAAAACCCTTCAGTTAAGGTGCATACCCTTCAGCAAGGCGCCTAAGACCCACCATGACACAGCCCCTACCTGCTGGGCCAGACTCCTTCCACTAGTCGTGCCACTGCCCCAATCCCATAGCTCAAGATCAAGTTACCTTTTGATATGGTTTGACCGTGTCACTACCCAAATCTCATCTTAAATTGTAGTTCCCATAATCCCCACATGTCATGGGAAGGACCCGGTGAGAGACAACGGAATCATGGGGGCGGTTACTCCCATGCTGTTCTTGTGATAGTGAGTTCTTATGAGATCTGATGGTTTTACAAGGGGCTTTCCCCCCTTTGCTTGGCACTCATTCTCTCTCCTGCAACCCTGTAAAGAGGTGCCTTCCACCACAACTGTAAGTTTCCTGAGGTCTCCCAAACCATGCGAAACTGAGTCAATTAAATCTTTTGGTTTATAAATTACCCAGTCTCAGGTATTTCTTCATAGTGGCATGAGAATTCTCAGTATTCTTATTGAGCCCTGGGAACAGTCTGCTGCCTTAACAGGTTATACTGAAGTAAACATTTATGTGTCTCTTTCCCAATAGCCCTGAAGCTGTTTAACGGTTGGAACCAGTTCTTAAGTCATTTCGGGGTTTCCAGCACCAAGCACAGTGCCTAGCACATAGTAGGAAGGCACTCAATCAACGTTAATGAATTAAACTGATTAGTAATAAGTGCTTTTTGCTGCCATATTACATCCACAACCTACAATACATTAAAAGTCCTTTTCCCTGATCACCACTGTCTTATAAATTTTGATTACAAGGACAGAAGAATGAAATCCTGATGAAGAGGAGTAAGGCCTGGAGGTCATATAAGCAAATTTTCATTAAAATGCTTGTTTATTTATTTTAGTAGGGCCTATTTGGGGGAAGTCTTTTGACCCGGGCCTTTTGACTTCTACCGTTTTAACAGGTAGGGCTGAAATGGAGTAGTTTCATGAATATACGTTCTGCACTACATTCACTTGTTGGGTTCTTAAGAGTTCACCGATTTTGATCTAAAAGTAGGCGTGCCAGCAATATTTGCAATCTCGCCTTCTAAGTCAATGCTTTTGGATCAAAGTCTTTTTGGATCCAGTGTAAAGTGGAGCTCCTTCAAAGGGAACGCACAGGGGAAAAAATATCCAGCAAAGTATGTGTCCTAGTGGAGTTCTCAACTTCCCCAGGCCGTGCACCATCTGTCGTTACTTGCCCCTCCCATCGGTCCGAGGGCCCAGTAGCCCCTGGTATCAGCAGAAGCCAGCAGCTTCCCTGGTGGGGCCACCTGCCCTCAGGTGACGGGCTTGCACACGGCCAAGTTACCTCTGCCCACGCCGCAGAGGCCGCCGCTGCTGGACAGCGCAGCGGGGTCACGTGTCCCTGTCCAGCCACTGCCCCAGGATCTGAGCCCTCCCCGGCTGCAGGGCAGAGGCCGCTGGATCACGCGCACCCCGGCGGCCAAGGCTGGGCCCAGCCAATGGGCGGGCAGCATCCACATGACCCGCGCCGGCGGGAGGGCGTGGGGAGGCAGGCCAGGAACGCACGCTGCCTGGCCGTATCGCCGCCCCCACCGCCGCCGCCGCCGGGACTAGAAGTGAGCCGCCCGGGTCCCAAACGCCAGCCAGCCAGTCAGTGGGTCCCGCAGTCGCCCGCAACCGGGGCGAATCATGGCGGCCGCCAAGGTAACCGCGGGCCCGAGGCCGGGGGGAGCGCGCCTGCCGGATCAGCCTGGGGGTGCGAGAGGCTCGGGCGCTCACGTGTCTGGGTTGGTGCCACAGGCGGAGCAAAATGGGGTGCCGGGCAGCCGTTCCACCTTGCGGCTGCTGGAGGGAGGGGGCCACTCCTCCCGGGCAGCACAGGCGGTCGGTGCAGAGACCGAGGCCCGACCTCGCAGCGGAAACTTTGTGGGCCGGACACTCCCACTTGGCCGGGGAGGGAAGTTGGTGCCTGACGGGGCTGAGCCAGGGCCGACGAGGAGGAGCGGGCGCGACTGGGGCCTGGTGCACCCTGGGCCGGCAAGCGCTGGGGGTCCTCTCTACCTTCCCAGCGCGCTCCTGCTCCTGACCCCGCTGGTTGTTGACTCCGGCTTCTTCCAGGGGCCAGAGCCCGGGCTGAAGCCTGATCCTATTACGTTTCAAGGGCTCCGCCCTCCCGCGGGTGGGGAAGTTACTTTGACTTCCGTTTTGGAAACTGCCTAGGAGACTTGGTCTGCGCCTTTGTGAATAAAAAGTCCAGGGACTCTCCCCCTCCCCGCTTTCCCATCATTCCCATCTTCCCCCTCCCTCTCTCCATCTGACAACACTTAGATACCCGCCTCGGAGCATTTGAGAGGCTTCTTTTTGGGAACGATGAAACAGATTGTCCTGGGAGCCTGTCACTCCTGTGAAGTTGTACTTGAAAGGGGTTCTGTGTAATGTGAATCATTCACTAACCCAGAGGAAAGGCAACTCCAACACTTGACCTTTCCTCTTTCACCATTTCTTGAAACCTGGACACCATTTCAGTCTCTTTGGACTGCATTTCAACTTCTCTGGCAGAATACCATATTTAGTCCCAATCACTTGAATCATTTGGAATTTATTGCTTTTAATTTAAGTTCACGAAGGCAGCCCTCTAATCAAGCCTATACAACTTCTTAGCTCATTTTAAGTGCAGTGAACTTAAATATACCTAACATTTCAAACATTTGTCCTTAATCAAAACTCTGTGATAACCCTCAAGAGGAAAACATGGCCAACACATCATATTCCTATTTATTCAAGCAAACTAATCACATTTGCAATGGAAATTGTAAGCAGACAAATATATTTAAATGCTGTTCTATGACTTAAGTCTCTCCAGGCTCCCCAAATCCGTAGGCTTCTTCATGTTGTTAGTTTCTGTGGTCTAAGTGGCATTTCTCTTTTCTGTAATTACTCTGAGTTTCATCCTTAGGAAAGTACTCTGGGTGTGTGGGCTCATGTATGTTTGCATATGAACACACAGGTGTGCGTGTGTATATCTATCTATAACTTTTCAGCAGTTTCTCTGAGCATCACTAGGATTCAATTTTGGAAGCTGCCTTAACCCTTTCAAGCCCAATAGCCCTTGACCTTTTTTTTGCATTAAATTTGCATGCAACCAAGGTACAAGGCTTGGTATGAACTAATTCCCTAGAGTAGGTGGGACTAGGTACCCATTCTTTACTGTTAGTTTTATATCTGCAGGTAATGTAAATACTTTTACTTTATTAGGAGATAAGGTAATTGAGGAACATAAATTGAGACGTGTGCATAGAAATGGAGTATAAGACTTGAGTAATATTAAGTAAAATAAGTGACCTGGTGCTGTGGCTCATGCCTGTAATCCCAGCACTTTGGGAGGCTGGGGCGGGCGGGTCAGTTGAGGCCAGGAGTTCGAGACCAGCCTGGCCAACGTGGCAAAACCCTGTCTCTACTAAAAATACAAAAAAGTTAGCTAGGCGTGCTGGTGGGCACCTGTAATCCCAGCTACTCAGGATGCTGAGGCAGAAGAATCGCTTAAACTCAGGAGGCGGAGATTGCAGTGAGCCGAGATTGTGCCATTGCACTCCAGTCTGGGCAACAGAGCAAGACCCTGTCTCAAAAACAAATAACAACAACGACAAAACATAAAATAAGTGATATGGAAGTTAGTTCAACTCTTTGGTTGTACTTCTACATAATAGTAGAAGTGTCACATATCAAGGGCAGTTGATTTTTAGCTAAGTATTGAGTCAGGGAAAATGAAATGTTCATTTTTACTACTTGGGAGCTTGTGTTTTTGTTTATGTCTTCATTTGCACTCACCTCTTTCTGTGATATCTGATGGCTCACATCATATATACTTATTTTGCAATCCAATAAGATATATAAAAATCAATTCCAAGTAGATGGGAAAAACAGGACAAAGGGAAAGTAAGACAAAGCCAGGACTAAGGTTAGTGGAACATTATGTGCTTACTAGAGGTGATTGCATTTTCTCCCAGCCAAAGCAAAGAGGAAATGATCAGTGAGGTCATTTACTTGGGAGAGAAGTCTCCTTATACTGCTCTCTGAGAGCAGTTTTTTTTTTTTTTTTTTTTTTGAGATGGAGTCTTGCTCTGTTGCCAGGCTGGAGTGCAGTGGCATGATCTTGCCTCACTGTAACCTCTGCCTTCTGGGTTCAAGTGATTCTCCTGCCTCAGCCTCCCAAGTATCTGGGACTACAGGCACGTGCCACCACACCCAGCTAATTTTTGTATTTTTAGTAGGCCAACATCATGTTGGCCAGGCTGGTCTTGGATCTCTTGACCTCGTGATCTGCCTGCCTTAACCTCCCAAAATGCAGGGATTACAGGCATGAGCCACCACGCCCAGCCGAGCAGTTTCTTTTATATGCTGTGAGTGAACGGCATTTGAATCTACCTTGTGACCACAGATATATGTCTGTGGGTTACATAAGGCCATTTCTTATCATGTCCTTCATTATAACTCAATGGCAGTGCAGTAAATGTGGCCTTAAAAGGTCCCTCAATGAAGCTGCTGGTCTAACTTATTCCAAGAATGTCCCTTATTGAACTGCCTTTGGGCATCACCTTTATCGGTTGATTCTGTTGGCAGCCTGAGTTAAAGGCTGTGCTCCTTGCTTTTTCCCTGGAGCATAGCTATTCCATGTTGCCAGCTGAACACAGAGCCATAGGGGTAGGGTTGGCATTCCCTCTTAAAAGTTGAGGAGCCTGGATAGGAGAGGACTTCACCTCAATGGACTGTTAGGAAATTGGGCTGAGACTCTGGGGACTCAGCAACTGTGAGAATTCCAACACTCACTACACTCACTGTGACAAATTGTTTGAATATTTAAGCAGATTTGGTATTTTCTGGATAGATGTAGCCACAACTAGCAATTAGTTTTCTGATCTGTTTCTTTCTTTGGTCTTTATACTTATTTAAATACAGCTAATTATTCATGACCTTCCTTTAAATAGTTTTAATGGGGAGATGGAGAATCTAGTCTTTGGCTGCTTTTTATTTTGAATTTTGCTATGAAGATTACTAGTTAATGGTTCAAGAAGTGTTTGTTTTCTTTCGTGAATGAACATTAATCTAAAACTCTTAGTATTCTGAGATTATCTCAAAAAGTGTCCATTCTCTTGCTGCCTACGTTTGTAGGAATAATCCTTGTGGGTTCCCTTGTTAGATCTGCCTGTACTGTTTGCGTTGTTTGAATATTTCTTTTAAACATTTCCCAAAACTGCCATAAAAAAACAGTTTTAAAAGGTGGTAATTGAGAGGTCACCCTTTTCTTCGTCTCTGCCCTTTTCTTGGTTAAAGGAGAGCTTTCTTCTTCGTCATTGGTTAAATTTATGCGTTACGAATGATGTAATTAACCTATATGAACCTACTAAAAGTTAGAATATGCTCCCTTGAGTTCAGACCTGTGAGATGTTCTGGGGTAAAACTGAACACAGACCAATATTAGCCTAGAACCAAAAGAAGGAAATTTGGGGGCACATTAAAGCATTAATAATAAAGACAATTTGGTCTGTAGGACTAGTACACTTTGTATTGACTTTTCATTCTTGGATGAGTTGTTGCTGTGATCATTGATTCATTTATGTGTATTGTGTTCTTTCCAGTGTTGCAAATGGGACAAAATTGAGAATACTAAAATGAATTGTTAGCTGGGCATGGTGGCACGCATCTGTGGTCCCGGCTACTTGGGAGGCTAAGGCAGGAGGATCACTTGAGCCCAGAAGGCAGAGGTTGCAGTGAGCTGAGATAGCACCACTGTACTCCAGCTTGGGTTACAGAACGAGATCCTGTCTCAAAAAAAAATAAAATAAAGTAAAATAAAATAATAAAATAAAATAAAATAGAATAAAATAAATAAAATGAATTGGACTCCATTTTGATGTTCAAGAAAACCAAAACCATTCCAGGGGGCTAAGTTCTCTGATGGAAATGCTCCCACTACAAGGTTTGTGGGAGCAGTAGGAGAAGAGCCCATTTCTGAGGAGATGAGGGAAGTCTTCTGAAAATTGCTAGTATTTCAGAAGGAATGGATGGGGAAGAGTAAAGATCCAATCCAGTGGTTGGAAACAAATGAAGGGCTGGGAGGTGAGAGCACAGGCTACATTTAGTTAACAGCAGGTAATAAAAACTAAAAGCAGCTGACACTTACTGAGCGCTTACTAGATACCAAATTCAGTTCCAAATGTGTTTCATTGTTGATTCATTTAAAATTCAGTTCCAACTGTGTTTCGTTGTTGATTCATTTAATGCCTCAGCCTTTTGAGTTAGTTACTATCATCCTTTTTTTATAGATGAAGGCTCTGAGATACCAAGAGGTGATGTTAGTGGCCTAAGATCTGATAAGTATGGCTGGGTACGGTGGCTCACACCTATAATCCCAGCACCTTGGGAGGCCGAGGCAGGTGAATCACCTCAGGTCAGGAATTTGAGACCAGCCTGGCCAGTCTGGCCCATCTCTACTAAAAATAGGAAACAATTAGCCGGGCATAGTGGTGCATTCTTGTAATCTCAGCTGCTCGGGAGGCTGAGGTAGGGGAATTTGCTTCAACCTGGGAGGCGGAGGTTGCAGTGAGCTGACGTCGTGCCATTGCACTCCAGCCTGGGTGACAGAGCAAGACTCTGTCTCAAAAAAATAAAATAAAATAAAAAAGATCGGATAATTAGGAAATTATCGAGCTGGGGTTCAAATCCTGCCAGTCTGGCTCCAGCAGCTGTGGCCTCACTCTGTCCACCATGTGTGCCTGGTAGTTTAGTGTGGTGGAGAATAAAGTATATGGGAGAGGTGTGGGAGATGACTTAGGAGAGGGGTAGGTGTCTCAGTGTAAACCAGACTTTTATTTGAGAACTGCCTTACCTAGTGCTTTTTGCATGCCAGGTACTTTTCCAAGAGCCTTACAAATAGTAACTCAATTAATTTTCTTAATTCTAAGAAGTAGGTGCTTTCTGTTTTTGACTTCAACTTACAGGTGAGAAAACTGAGTTAGGGGAGGTTAAGTAATTTCTCACGCTTGTGCAACAGGTAAGTGCTACAGTCTTGATTTGAACCTTGCCAATGTGTCTTCAGAGTCTCTGCTCTTAACCTCTGCGCTGCTCTCCCAGGTCTTACCAAGAGTTCCATTTGCGAAGGTGTATGTGTGAGAGTTCACATGCCATCGGGTATGGATGTGTATATTTCCTGATCATCCCAGTCCAGTAGTTCTTATCTTAGAACACCTTTGTCACTCTGTATATGCTTCATTTCAGTGTTTATTAAGTGTATTTCTCATCTCTCCAACCAGATCGCAAATCCCTGCAGGACAGGAATTGTCATATACCTTTTATTTAATTGCTTTATTGAGATATAATTCAAGTACTATACAATTTACCCATTTAAAGCATATGATTTATTGGTTTTCAATATATGCACAGAGTTGTGTAACTGTCACCACTGTCATATACCTTTAATCCAGTTTCCATTAGGATTTGGACTATAATATATATATATATATTTGGGACAGGGTCTCACTCTCTCACCCAGGTGGAAGTGCAGTGGTGTGATTATTGCTCACTCTAGCCTAGACCTCGTGGATACAAGAGATCCTCCCACCGCAGCCTCCTGAATAGCTAGGACCTCAGGCACACACCACCACACCCAGCTAATTAAAATTTTTTTTTTTTTTGTAGAGACGGGGGTCTTGCTATGTCGCCCAGGCTTTGGGCTGTATATTTAACCTCCATGTCTTCCACATTGTTCACCCATCATAAAACCCTCTTCAGAGGTTTGTCATTGAGGATAAAATATATTGAGGTTATTAAAGATATTCTTCAAATGGCAGGGTTTTTTCTCCCCTATGTAAAAACTCTACTAAGTATTTGGTGATATCATAATAAAACAAATCAGTTTTTGTGCTAGGAATGGAGGAAAGAAGGTTTGAGTTGTTTTTATGCTACCATGATGATGATTATTAAAACAAATATCTATGGCTCCACTGTTTGGGTTTTAGGGGTTCTTATCTTGTTGGAGCTGGATGGCCTTGGAATTTATGTTAACACAATGATCTTTACTCTTTCCTTCCTCAGTCCTGTCCCCTTTTACCAGGAGAGTCCTAGAAATGGAGTCCCAGAAACATTTGTTATTGGTCCAAATTCCCATGAATGCCTTTGCTTTTGGCACTGCTCTAGGCCAGTGATTCCCTACATACTGAAGTCTTCTGGACTGGTATAAAAAACTGCTGATGCCTGGGTCTCCCTCCAGAGATCATGATTGAATTGGACTTGGGTGTGGCCTGAGCCTCAGGATTTTTGAAAGCTTGACAACCACTGTTATTTTGGTGCACATTGCTTCAAGAGACCTGCTGGCTCCTTCTTGGAGTAAGAATGGAATGCAGTGAGATTAAGTTAAAGTCCCTGGTGTGTCAGTTCAAAGGAGGGGTATGTAGGGGTTTCTCCAAATTTCTCTTCTTTCTTGACAGCTTTGTCTTAGTCCTGCCTGGTGTCTCCAGGGTGCTTAGGCATCAAGTTTATACAGTTTTGTGATAATCCTGGAATAGAGGTTTTAATCCCAAACTTGACTGAAAGCTCCATTTGTCTCCTGCAGAGTCTCAGTGGTTTTTTGTGATCAGAGAAGGTGCTGGAGGAGGGAAGCATTACAAAGAGCAAACCTGGTCTCAGAGCCCTCTCCTGGGCTAACCTCATCCAGGGCCATGTGGTGCCAGTGTTCCCTGGCTTAGGTCATATGGCTTCACAGCAAATAGAGGGTTGGAAAGGTGTGGGGAGAGTTGAAAGGTGATATGTAGCGTAAAAAAGTCAGGGAGCAGGTCTTTTTTGGATATTGAGTTCTTTTAGAAGATTGTCCGAGGAGCTCTGACTCCTCTGTGCTTTGGTCTCTTAGACCTTTAGTCCCATGACCAGTCTCTGCTTTTGATGAATTCTTAGAGGGAACCATTCCTCCCTTTGTTCTCCACTATGTGTGAGGATTATCTATTATGGCATTCCTGCTGAGCGCTTCCTCCTCTCTGGTTGGCATTTGCTGCCTCATAAACACCTACAGATTTCCTCATAAGACTCTGTGGGTTTGCCTTAGGGTGGACCTTGCAACAGAGGAATGTGTGACGCTGAGACATGTGTTGGTTCTGCTTGGAGGTAAGGAGGGGGATATGCCTTTGTGTAGTGATACAATTCCTTTAGCAAAGTATTTAACAGCTACTGAGCAAACTCTATTTTCATGGCCTGTTTAACCAGACAGACCCTCTAATTGGGTGAAATGAACTAAATTAAATGTCCTTCTCCTAAAAGTCACCAGTAACCTCAGTTCTAAACCTGTTGGCTTGTCCTCATTTCTGGCCTCACATGACCCTGTGTCCTACCCTTTCTTTCTCGCCATCTGCTTTCATGATGTCCCCTCTCATTATTGGCCTCTAGCATCTCATATTACCCCTTTATTCTCCTTTGCAGGCTTCTTCTTCTTCTTCCTTCTTCTTCGTCCTTCATCCTTTCTCCTCCTTCCTTCCTCCTTCTTCCTCCTCCTTCTCCTTCCTTCTTCTTTCTTCTTTCGTCTTCTTTCTTCCCAGCAAAGATATATTTTTATTTTAGTGTTTAGCAGCATGACATATGCATATAGAATGATAGTACACTTTACCCTAATCTTCAAAACAGAATGTACTAGTTTACCAATGAGGAATTTTGGCCAAAAATGTAGTGTTTTTCCCTTCCCTGTACAGGTCAGGTATATGTAGGTCCAGCACTAATGCTGCACCTTTTGAGAAGCATTACTTTAGCAAAAATCTAGAAATCTTTCACTTTTTCTGAATCTAACAAAGGGTCTTACTTTCTTTTTTTTTAAATGTACATTTTAAAAAATAATTTCAACTTTTATTTTAGATTCCGGAGGTACATGTACAGATTTGTTACCTGGATATATTGCATGATGCTGAGGCTTGGGGTACAGTTGACCCCATCACCCAGGTACTGAGCATAGTACCCAATAATTAGTTTTTCAACCCTTGTTCCCCTCCCTCCTCCCTCTAGTAGTCCCCAGTGTCTATTGTTGCCATCTTTATGTCCATGAGTACCCATTGTTTAGCTCCCACTTATAAGTGAGAACATGTGATATTTGGTTTTCTGTTCCTGCATTAATTCACTTAGGATCATAGCCTCCAGCTGCATCCATGTTGTTGCAAAGGACATGATTTTGTTCTTTTTATATCTGCAAGGTATTCCACGGTGGATATATACCACATTTTCTTTATGCAATTCACCATTGATGGGCACCTAGGTTGGTTTCCTGTCTTTGCTACTGTGAATAGTGCTGTGCCTTGTGGGCTTCTCTTCATTCTGCCTGGACACCTGGAAGGTTAGTGTCCCCCAAGGCTGTGCCTGAGATTGTCTCCTCCCTCCAGTTCCTGCCGCACTACCTGCCCCCTTAATGGGTATTGGCTCCTTAACACTCCTCAGCCTGGGTGGCTGTCTCAAGCTCTAGCCCTGCACTTTTAGCTGTTTAGTTTGAGCTGGAAGACTCAACTTGTCTGTCTCAAAGATATTTCAAACTCTGCTGACCTAGAACTCACCAGTTCTTATAACTGAATCCATCTTTTTGGTCATTCCTGACTTCATCCTGCAGCTTCACTTTCCTGATAAAGTTTCTAGTTAGTTCAATTAAGTACCTGTTATGGGCAGATAGGAGAGACACCATCAGCCTGAATTGGATGTGGCAAAAGAGGTGGATCAGTGAAACCCTTCTACGGCCATGGAGCATGTATGTCCTATCTTCTCTGTTCAAATTCAGGGCCTCTTTATTTTGTAGCTGTACCATTGCTGTAGCTCCCACTGATCCCCTTGCTTTTGATCTCATCCCTACACCTTCCTCTCCATTCTGTCCAGACTGCCAAAGGACTTTTCTAAGATTGGCTCTTGTTGCCATGATAATAGCACTACCGTGTTCATGGGTACAGTACTTAGCAGCTTTAAAAAGTGCATTCAAGGGCATAAGTGACGACGACTGTTTGTCAGTGCCTACACTGTGCTGGGATTCCAAAAACAGGTAAGCTACTAGATTTGTTTTCAAGAAGCTCAAAGTCTTCAGGGATTAATATAACCAGATAATATAAAGACCCAAGCTTCATTATTTGATCTTTATAATCATCTACAAGGTAGCAGGGAACGTGTTGATAACCTCATTTGTCAGATAAAGAAACCTAAGGCTCAAAAAGGTTATGCAAATAATAATAATAATATTAGCATATGTTTATATAACACTTGTAAAAGCCGGACACTGTTCCAAGCACTTTATATCTACTAATGCAATCTTCATAACAATCCTATGACATGTAAGTGCTCTCACCTTCATAATATACATCGAGAAACTCATTTGTACAGAGTAGTTAAGTTCTTTGAGGTACAGAGAGATTACATAACTTGCCCAAGATCACATGGCTTGTAAATAGGAGAGCTATGATTTCAACACAGGCAGCCTGGCTCCAGAGCCCAAGCACATAACCAGTGTGCTGCATTGCCCTCTTTAATTTATCTTGCTATGCAGTGTGGCTTCTGTTGCCTGCAGAATAAAATTTAAACTCTTTAGCCAGCTAAAATCTCCTTGGTCTTGGCTGCATTTTCAATACTTTTAATTTAGTACTTTCCCAGTATTACCCCAGACTCATTCGATTTTCATATTCTTCACAGCAGTTTGTGAACGGGACATAACAACCTCTGTTCATATTTCTTGCCATAAAGCTATGGCAACAGGGTAGCAGGATAAAAGAGAGCCTGTTTATTTGTTTGTTTAACATAGAGGTCAGTCAGAGACAGAAATGTTTCTTTTTTTTTAGCCTTTGTCAGAAAGAAATACTTCTTTTCATTTCTCTGTATTGGTGGGCAGATATATATATATTTGTCTGAGTTCTTCTCTTCAGTTTTCAGAAGGGGTTGTGGTTCTATTTTCCCATTTCTTGAAGTCCCTGTAGGAATGCTAAAACCCATGTCCTAAGATTACAGTTTTTATAGTTGGTTTGTTCTAATCAATATTCAGATATAGTCCACACATGGCTGGTTGATACGTCTTTTAAATCTTGTTAATCTATAGGTTTTCCTGCCCCCTTTTTGGTTGTTTCCTTGCAGTTTATTTGATGAGGGAATTGGGTCGTCTTTCCTGTAATTTCCCACAATTTGGACTTTGCTGATTACGTCTTTGTGGTGTTGCTTGGCCTCAGTATTTCCTGCAAGTGACAGTTTAATCTAAAAGCTTGATCAAGTTAGAGTCTTTTTTGGTTTTGGCTAGAATACTTCCTAGATGGTGCTTAGAGCTTCCCATCACATTGCTGGGTACTTGGTACTGGGTACTCACATGAGGAAGCACCTAATTCTTGGTTGTTTCTTGTGATGTTACGTTTTGGTCAGTGGTTTCAGATGTTGTTATCTTAAGTCCACCAGCTTTTTGCATAATGGTTTTAATTAGCTAACTTTAAATATTAACATTTGCCCTTCCTGGTACATTGAGTTAAAAGTGATTTTCATTATTTAAATACACACTCTTGTGTGTATGTATGCATATTATGTATGTATGTATGTCTATATATGAGTATATATCATTGTTATAAAAAATAATGGCAATTAAAATTCAATTGGATATTAATGGGTTTAGAGTTTATGTTTGGGATGATGAAATGGGTAATGGTGATGTAGAACATTGTGAATGTACTTAATGCCACTGAATTGTATACTTAAAAATGGTTACAATGGTAAACTTTATGGTATGTATATTTTACCACAATGAAGACAAATCAATTGGAAAGGGATTGTAACACATGGAATTAAAAAAATCCAACACAACATAATGAGTGATAATTATTGCTCCCTAAAAGGAGCCAAAGTGAGTTGGAGAATAGACTGATAAAGTTTCTTTACTGAAGAATGCTAGCTAATAAAGGTAGAAGCTATGCTAGAATTAGAAAAAGGAAAAAAAATTGACTTTGCCACCTGCAAGTAATAATTGATTCAGGCATGGATCATCATTGGATGCTGAAGCCTTTCAGTAAAAGACTGTTGGAATTCCCATTGTCTGAATGCATCTCCTAGTAAATTACTTGCTGTTTACAGAGGGGAAAAAGTACCTTTACAATGGAGAAATCTGCTTCAACCAAGTGATCATCAGCAAATGGGATAAACTAGCATTATGTTACCGACTGATATTATGCATTGGGAAGTATACAACATGAACCTAAAAATGTTCTTGCCAAAAATATTTAATCTGGATCTAATCGTGAGGAAACAATCAGACAAATCCAGAAAGTAGGACATGCTGCAAGACCTCTGGCTTGACTTCAAAAATGTCAGTGTTATGAATGAAGAAGGCTGGAATAAAGGAAACTCCCAAAGAGACCTGATGACCAAATACAATGCTTGAGCCTGGGTTAAAAACAAATAAAGAAAAGAATCGAAACAGCTGGAATATGGGGACCATATTAAAAGATATTGTATTAGTTTGCTAGGGCTGCCATAACAAAGTACTAGAGACTGGATGGCTTAAACAGCAGAAATTTATTTTTTCACAGTTCTGGAAGTTAAAAGTCTGAGATGGAGACCCCAGCAAGTTTGGTTTCTCCTGAGGCCTTCTCTCCTTGGCTTGTAGATGGGTGTCTTCATGTGGTTCCTTCTCTGTCTGTATCCTAATTTCCTCTTCGTATAAGGACACCAGTCTTATTGGATTAGGGTCCCCTTCATCATCTCATTTTAACTTAATAACCTTTTCAAAGACCCTATCTTCATATATGGCCAGTCATCTTCCGAGGGGCTGGGATTGGAACTTCAACATATGAATTAGGTGTGGGGGACACAGTTCAGCCCATAACAGTTATTGAATCATTTAAAAATGGCTTGGGTGAGATAATGATGTCAAGGTTCTGAAGGGAAGTGATCTTTGCTGCTGATTTATTTTGTTTCCTCCTAGATTTTGAACTCTTGAGGACAAGGACCTTCTCTGGACACAGATATGCCTCAGAGTAACTGTTGCATAGCATTCAGACACTGCTGGTTGAATTGTCCATTTACTTGGCATGCCAACACATGGCAAAGTAAAGGGGGAAGGAGATTTTCTGCTGCATGTATGTGGTTTGTTGTAAACCTTTTTCTAATAATCCATTTGCTCAATCCTCTCCATCCCCCAACAAAGTAATATGATGAGAATTTGGAAATACTTGAGGAGTTGTGCATGGGTAATCGCCAGGTGAGCACATCATGGAGAATCAGAAATTCAGAACAGACCTTGGCAGGGGTTGTGCTGTCCCAAGGTAGATGAATCTCTATGACTACAGAAAGGCTGCTTCAAAAGGAGGCACCTAGAGAAACTCTCCCTTGTGATTAAAAAAGCCCAGGTACATTAGAGGGCAAAATTCCCAGCAGGTCCAAACAATGTGTTCCATTGCTGCTGTTTCAGCCCTGCTAGTCTCAGTAGTACCCTGGGTCATCAGATGGCTTGAAGGACAAGAGGGTGATATCCTGTCTCTTCTTTGACTTTGTTGTGCTCACTGGCAAGGAGTTTCATTCACTTCTGAGAATTCACACACTCATTTTATTGCAGGCTGATGTTGATTCTGAGTTTGAGGATGCCAACATCTTTTCATTGCCTCCCAGCTCAGTTCCAGAAGTGAAAGCTCAGTCCTAGATTCTTTTTTTATGGTGGTTCATGAAGATTTCAGTTAATCCATTTGTGGTGTCCAACAGCAACTTGAGAAGAGCCTGGTCTTGACCTTTGCCCAATTTTCTATTGGTTTATTTGCCTTTTCACATTGATTTGTTCTAAGAGCGCTTGTAAATGAAGAACATTGCCCCTTTGTCCTATCTATTGCAAATTTTGTTGTTGTTTTTCTTCTCAGTTGTTGTTTAACTGATTTATATTCACTTTTTAAATTGTTATGTCAAATATTTATCATTTTTTTCTTTATGGCTTCTGGATTATATGGCTTCTGAGTTTGTCATGTTTGAAATCAGCTTCCCTACTTAACATTACATAAGAAACCACCTGTGCGTTTTTCTAGTACTTTTTGAAATTCTCTCTCTCTCCTTTTAAAGATTAACTCTGATCCAGCTGTAGTTCTTTTGGTATAAGATGAAAGGTAGGGAGCCAGTTTAATTTTTGTTGCTCAACCCCAGGAGTTCGTGACCCTTCACTAGTGCCACATCATCAGCTAGAGAGACCTGCTGCTAATTCAGCCTGAATCTGCTGGTTCAGCCTTCAGAGGAAATCTGATTAGTTCAGAAAGCCAAGATCACCTCCCCACAGGGGTCAGGTATCTGCTGCTGCCTCAATCAGCTAGGCTGCTCTGAATATGAAGAGTAACTGGGAAGCAAGGCGCTGCTAGATTGTCTCAAGTTGTGCTGTTTTCATTCAATTGTTATTCTCTATTCTCTTACTTTTAGCAGATGAGAAAACAAGAGGTCATGCTGCTGGTTAACAGTGGAGTCAGATTTTTTTTTTTTTTTTTTTTGGAGATGGAGTTTCGCTCTTGTTGCCCAGGCTAGAGTGCAGTGGCACGATCTTGGCTCACTGCAACCTCTTGAACCCTGGTTCAAGTGATTCTCCTACCTCAGCCTCCCGAATAGCCGGGATTACAGGCATGTGCCACCGTGCCCGGCTAAATTTTTGTATTTTTAGTAGAGACTGAGTTTCTCCGTGGTGGTCAGGCTGGTCTTGAACTCCTGACCTCAGGTGATCCACCCACCTCAGCCTCCCAAAGTGCTGGGATTACAGGCGTGAGCCACTGCGCCCGGCCGCAGTGGAGTCAGATTTAAATGTTCCATTGCAAAGCTCATGAAATAGGAAACATTCTATGAGGGGAATCTGGTTGGAGAATCCTGGAGGAAGAGGCATTTGACTTAGTCCTTGAAAGAACAGCATCATTTTTTAAACTTCTCATTATGGAAATTTCCCAAAAAGTGCAAAACTGGAATAGTATAATTAACCCTCATCTCCCTATCTAGCCAGTAGTAATCATCAATTTATGTCCTCAATATTGTTTCATTTATGCCATGCCCTCTTTCCTCCTTCCATCCCTACTTTTTTTTTTTTAATTAAATTTTTGTTTTTGGAGACAGGATGTTGCTCTGTCACCCAGGCTGGCGTGCAGTGGCGCGATTATGGCTCACTGCGGTCTCAACCAACAGTCCTCCCACCTCAGCCTCCTGAGTAGTTGGGACTACAGGCACATGCCACCATGCCTGGCTAATTCATCCCCATATGTTTTTCAAAGCAAACTCAGCCATCCTATCTGTAAATATTTTATGTATCTCTAAACAAGATTTCTTCAAAGCACAATCACAATATCATTATTATACTTTAAAAAATTATAATAATTCTTCAATATCTTCAAATAGGTGTTCTGTACACATTGTACACATTTCCCGTATTGTCTTAAAATTTTTTAAATAGTTGTTGAATTGTGATGTATATAAGGTTCATGCATTACAACTGATGTGTCTTAATTTTCTTTATTTTTTTTTTTAAATTACAAAGCTACCTTTATACTTTTAAGCCCCACAGGAATAAAAAACACTGGGAAGGGCTAACCCCCTCACCCCAGGAGTGGCCCATAGGGAGAGAGGCTACCTGAGGGGAAGGAAGTACAAAAGGGACCCACCGCAGACTCATGGCAAAGGGAAGCCATCGGTGCTGGGACCTGTGGTCACTACAGGAGGAAATGCGAGTGTGGTGGGACTGGCTCCAGGCACACAAGTGAAGGGCAAGAGAGATTGGAGTGAAGCCACAAAGCTACTTGGGTTCCTCCTTCTTCTCGTTTGCCTTTTTCTGCTTCTGCTGCATGATCTCCTGAGTCCCTGGGGGTAGAGATGATAGGGCACTAGGAGGTATCAGAGGGCAAAAAGAACAAAATGCAGAGGGATGAAGGGCACAAAAGAGAAGATGGAAGTGGATGGGACTAAGCTCACCGTTTGGCTGCTGTACTCCCATCCTAGGAGAAGAAGAGGAAGAGAGCTGAGGCTCAAAAGGCAATCAGTCTCCATCCTGCAGTTGCCCAAGAGGTCAGAAGTCTGGCCACATAGGCCCAAGGCTCTCTACCGTTTGGCTGCTGTACTCCCATCGTAGGAGAACAAGAGGAAGAGAGCTGAGGCTCAAAAGGCAAGCAGTCTCCATCCTGCAGTTGCCCAAGAGGTCAGAAGTCTGGCCACACAGGCCCAAGGCTCTCTATTCTTACACCAGTAAGAAGGTTGGGAGAAGGGAGGAGAACCGGGAACAGCAAGGAGGGCCAGAAGCACTGGGCTGTCATAACCACAGGTGTATCTGAAATGGGAAGCTCCCTGCCCTTGCCCTGAAGGTCAGACTGGGGGATGCTCAGAAATCAGACTCTTGTGTCCTAATTTTCTTTTGATCTCTGGATTCTCTTGCCTGCTCAATACTGTGCTTTCTTTTCCTCTGAAGGACAGTGTCACATAATGGCTGAAATCATAGATTTGCAATCAAATTAGGGCTCTGCCACTTGCTAACTGTGTGACTTGGGGAAGTTACTCAACCTCTCTGTGCCTCAGTTTCCTCATCTGTAAAATGGACATAACGGTGTCTACTCCTCAGGGCTGTTGAGAGTGTCAGTAAGCTAATGTTTGCAAAGCATTAGAGTCATGTCAAAAGCTGTGGGCTGTGGAATAGGGCCCAGGAGGGCTCACTCAAGTGAGATGGTGTGTCGTCTTTGAGATGAGCCTCCAGCTGTGCAGAGAGCCCCTTTCCTTTTCCTTTTTGCTTCCTTCTGGTTCTTGACGTGCTTCAGTTAGATGAGGTTGATAGCAGGAATTTGGACAGGTAAGGCATATTTAATGGAAGCAACTTCTTTATTGTCCTTTCATTTTTGGCTTCCTCTTCCTCTGTATTTATTAAATTAGCTTTTCTCTCTCAGAAGTGTTTAACTTTTTATGGCATTATCTGGGCTTCAGCAACTTGTGATCTCCTAAGTAGAGCTTTTCAGCACTTTATAAATACGTCATATACTTTTTATATTCCTTTGTTCCCCATCAGGAACATAGCCCCAGTCTTCAGAATAGCACAATCAGTTTTTATTCATTTAAGGAGCAGTAGTAATTTGACACTTGCTAATATGTAACAAATTATATTGGGCGTGGTAATTACAATTGCAGCTGGTTCCTAATTATACTGTAACCTTGATGCTTACAAAAATTGAGACTGAATTCAGCATAAAATACTGGAGAATAATATTCTGCACTAGGCATTTCTGCCTTCTACTGAGCCATGGGCATTTATGAATCATAATGCCAAATTAAAAAGAATTTATTTTAAATTGGTTACAATTACAATGTTGTCCAGTGTCTCCATTCTTAAAGGTAGCTTTAAAGTCCCCCTTTTTGCTTGCTAAACTCTGGGAATATCCTTCAGGTATTATAATTAGTGTCTAAATAACCTGAGCTCAGGGGTCATTTCTGGCTGTGTGATCTACTGGTATTCATTTAAGACTCTTTAGTACCTCAGCTTCTTTATTTGAAAAGTGGGGATATTACTCACTCTTCCCCTTAAAGAGTTTTAATGATACAGTATATAAATGAAATAAGATAAAAAGCCATTAGCATAATGCCTGGCATAGAGTTAAGGACCCAGTAAAAGTTAGCTGGTCATTGTTATCGTTATAATTAATAATAAGTGATCCGGCTCCAAAGACTGCCTCTGTGACCCTCAACTTTAGCAGAATTAGTGTATTAATTCTCCTGCCACTCTGCCTTATGATAGCATGTATCATCATACATTTTGTACCAACCACTTGTCGATAAGTCAGCTTTCCCTGCTTGGGGCAGGGTTTCTGATTTATTGGGTGTTTTCTCCTCGGTGCCTGGCGCTGGGCCTAGTACACTGCAGCTTTCCCATAGGTGATTGTGTTGCATGGATGAGCAAGTAGAGCATCACCATCTAAGGAGTGGTTGTTAGCTGGGGGGTGGGGTAGTTTGGCCCCCAAGAGGATTTCTTTTAGCAACCTCTGGAGACAGTTTCTTGGTTGTTGCAGCTTGTTGGGGAAGGGGTTGCTACTCCCATCTAGCAGGTAGAGGTCAGCTTAATAACAATAATAGTAAAATCCAGAACTAGTATGTTTCAGGCTCTTTTGGCATAACAGAACCCAGCTAAAACACCACCATTCATTCTTAACTGTTATACTCTGCCTCTTAATATCAGAATTTTAATGATGATGGCTTTCTAGTTTATGTTCTACAACAGAGCAGAGTGAAATCTAACATACATCACAACCTACTGAATCCTTCTGATAAACATCTCTAGTGCCTCTGAAATGACTCGCTGATGTAATTACCCAGTGGGTTAACATTTGTGGTGTCTGATACTTTATAAGTCAACTGTTGAGTGAAATGAAGTTTTGCCAGCTGATTACATAGAAATGTTGTGGTTTGAAGAATGCTTAACAGGGCATCTTGTCTTTGTACTAATTTATATTTCAGTAACTTTTCCCATAATGACTGCTCTTCATTTATTAGGTCGTAGGGAAACTGTAGGATGAAGGATGAGTGACTCAGTGGTTTCAATAAAAAATTATTTTCTTAAGTTTGAGATACCTTTTTCTTCTTCTCAAGTTAATGGTAACTGTGGTTTTAGGGAATTCCAAACTTTCTTTTGCAATTACTGATTGTATCAGTCAGGGCTCACTCGCAGAGAACAGAATCTACTCTAGCTGGTTTAAGCAGAGAGAGATTTATTACAGGATATTAAATGGCTTACACAATTTGTTGGGAAGGTAAAGAAACAGACTTGAGGTTGAGCTCTAAAGAATGACGTCTAGAGTCTCAAGCAGAGCAGGCCACCAAGACAGCAGTGACCTCCTGTGCAGTCACAATGCTGCCTGCCAAGTGGAGAGTGTTTCAGGACCATGTGGCCACTGACATGGGAGGGCAGGAGGTTGCCACAGGAAAACTAGACACTTCCAGCAATGGTGCGTGCTTGGCAGAAACAGCAGAAGGTGCCCCCCAACTCCCAAACATTTGCCAAATCTCACTCAATTTCATCTAATTGATGGCACATAGGCCGCATAGCAGCAAGGGAGTCTGGGAATTGTAGTTTCAGCCTTCTAGTGTCTTTAGTATAGGAAGATAAAGAAGGAGGGTGGGCCCCTGCTTCTAAGTGGTTAGGTTACACCCAAGAATACTTTTCTTTGGGATTCAGGGCCATCTACTGCACTATTTCCTCAGGTTCAAAAGACTATGCAGGACTGTTTCTCCTTCTCTCTCCGTTTCCTGCTTGTCACTGCATGCTTATTTACACCCACCCACCCACACACACACCCAGAAGCTTGCTTTTGATGAGCTACCTCTTTGAGTTTGTAGTTCTTATCTAAGGCAAATATTTACTTTATGATAGTAGAATTTTCAGTGTAAGTCTGTGCTTGTCTTGGCTTTCAGATGTTTCAGGTTTGGGAGGGTGACTGGGGAAGTATTGCTGAGGAAGGGCTGTGCTGTACAGTTGGTGACGTAGCAGCTGAGGTTGGGCCTCGGGTCCTAACGCAGTTGTTCTCAGTCCACCCACACATGGTAATTTCTTGAGGGAGCTCTAAAGATATCCATTCTAGAAATTTTCATTTGATTGACCTTTGGTATGGTTTGGGTTTTGTAAAACCTAAAAGCACCTCAGGGGACTTGAATATGCAGCGAGGACTGAGAACCTACATCTTATAATCCGTACATTAAAATTGGACATTATCTAAAGCTGTGGTTCTTAAACTTTAACTGCATCAGGGTCACCTGGAGGGCTTGTTAAATCATAGGGGATTGCTGGGCCTCACCCAGTTTCTGATTCTTTGGGTCTGGGATGGGTGTGATAATTTGTATTTTTAAAAGTTCCCAGGTGATGCTGATGGTCTCCACACTTTGAGAACCATTGGTCTGAAGAGAGTTGCCTATTTTCATTGTAAATGTCAGATTTTTACTGACCTGAAAGACTTTATTCTATATTCAGCACTTCCAGAGAATCTACTTTGTTTCCTGATCTTTGCCAGAGTTGGGGTTGATCTGAGGAGTAAGGTGCCCTCACAGAGATGGTGGTCTCACATCTCTACAGCCTCCCAGTGAAAGAGGAGAGCTTTGCTTTTCTTTGCATTTTATTTTTCAAATTAGCATTTCTTATTTTCGTGTAGGTTTTCTTATATTCTTCCCCACCATCCTCTCTTAGATCTGACAACTATTTTGAATACACCATTCTATACCACTGTGATTTGTTAAAGTAATGAGCCTGCAACTGTGGCTTGATTCCCTTGTAAGAAAGTCTGTTTAAAAAATATTCCTACAGGTAGGAATTTTCTGGTGACCCCCTACCTATGGCTGCTCTAACTCATATTAGGAGAGTGAATTCATTTGTCCTGAAAGATGACTTTTGTATTCTTCTTGCCATGTTCTCCCCTACCCCCTGCCTTTTTAAAAACACCAGTTCTTGAAATTGTGTTATTGTTTTTCTTTTTATTTCTAGGATGTACCTACCTAGTATGTGTTTTGCAAACGCTATTGATGACTTACACAATTATAACCAGTGTTTATCTTGTCAAAAAGTTTTACATATTCAGTGATTCTCAAATTTTGCTCCTGTGGAGCATAGACTCATTGAATCGACCTGAAATTTCCATACTAAATTTAAATAATGATAGACTTTTCCCAGTTTATGGAAGAAACTATGCATAGAGTTTTTCTGTTCCAACATTGCCACTTTCTGGGCCAGGCATGGTGGCTCATGCTTGTAAACCCAGCACTTTGGGAGGCCAAGATGGAAGGATCACTTGAGGCCAGGAGTTTGAGACTAGCTTGAGCAACATAGTGAGACTGTCTCTACAAAAAAATTAAAAAATTAGTGGGGCCTGGTGACACATGCATTTAGCCTCAGCTACTCAGGAGGCTGAGGTGGGAGGATTGCTTGAGCCCAGGAGTGTGAGGCTGCAGTAAGCCATGATCGCACCACTGCACTCCAGCCTGAGTGACACAATGAGACCCCCAACTAAAAAAAAAAAAAACAAAACACCAAAACCCTCTCTTTTTCCCTTAAATTTGGAATCAGAGTAAAATGTTATCAAATTTCAACAAAATTCTTTATCTTGTTAGCAAATAATATTTCATAGTAATCTGTAAAGGACCCCTTTCTTCTTAGTGAATTACTCTGTATGTTTGAAAACCAGTTACTTGATTTAAAATTCTTGATATAAAATTTTTGTTTTAATGTTGGAATCCATTCTTACAAATGCAAATTCAGAAGAAGAATCATAAAGAAAATCAGGCAGTTATAACAATAGTAGCTGTAAATATTTGCATGCTATTAATATATGAGAAAAAAATGTAACAGTGAAAGTAAGCCTTCTGGAAACAATCTAAAGTTTGATGACTCTTCTAAACCCCAAGAATGAACGAAGTCTAATAATTCCAGGCTTCTAAAGCCCAAGAATGAACTAAGTCTAATAATCCCAAGCTTATGTGATGCAAAGTATGCATGCTGGACAGCTGTTCTGAATTGACTTTAAAAGGGTGGCTACATTTCTGTGGCTTCCTTTTTCCAGCTCATAGAACTTCCTGGGTATTGGTTTTGCCACCAGGTAGAATTCATTGAAATACACCTTTAAAAAACTGGTACATCTCATGGTAACTTTGCATTGTCTTCAATTAAGTTGTGTAAGTGTTCTTCATTCATAGCAAATGACACTTAAAACAAGAAGATAGGAATGGGAGGTAGCAGTATAAATGGAAATTCCGAACAGCCACACAGCATTTGACTGGTGAATAATAGATGGAATTACTATAGAGATGAGGCCCAGGAGGCTGGTAGTAATTTTTCTGAATCCATCCCCTGTTGAACCATACTTATCTATCCTTAAATAGAATGTACCAGGACCTGAGCCAAATTTTAGTGGGCCTCAGAGAAATCTTGTGGTGATCATTAACCATTTGCTGTACCTGGAACTCTGGGTTGGGGGTAGGGTAGCTGAGACAATTATCAGTTAGGATGGCCACAATGTTTATTTAGTGGTTTGGTGAGTGTGTTTGAAGACCCATGAGTTTCTCTTCTCTTTTGCTAATTTATCCCTTCTAAATTATGAGCCAGTTTACCCATCATTTAGATTTCTTAAGGAGTAAACATGGTAGAACATAAACATCTTTGGATAAATAATACAAATAGTAATAGATACCATTTATTGAGCACTTTAACTGTGTGGCCCTTTTGGTGCTAAGCACTTTGTGTAATTATCTCATATTACTTTTCTAGCTGTCTAGGACTCCCCATTTTATAAATGAGGAAAGTGAGGCTGAGAGGTCAGGGCCTCCAAGTCACATGGCCAGTGAGTTTATGAGGTTGGTCCTGCTCCCTATTTGAGGATGATCTGACACTAAGGCCATGTTCTTTTTTTTTAATGAAGATGGGGTGTCACTATGTTGCCCAGGCTAATCTCAAACTCCAGGGCTCAAGTGATCCTCCCACCTTGGCCTCCCAAAGTGCTGGGATTATAGGTATGAGCCACCATTCCTGTAAGATCATGTCCTTAATCACAGCATTGGACAGACACTACACACTGTTAGGAGAAATTGGGAGAGTTTTGATTTTTAGGCTTGTACTATATTGCAGTTATGTACCACATAAGGATGTTTTCATCAATGAAGGACTGCATATATGATGGTGGCTCCATAAATTATAGTGGAGCTGCCCTGTACAGGTGTTCCACTTTTTATCTTTTAAAACCATATTTTTACCACACCTTTTCTATGTTTAGATACTTGTTTTACAGTTGCCTACAGTAATCAGTATAGGAACATGCTGTATAGATTTGTAGCCTAGGAGCAATAGGCTATCTCATTTGCCTAGGTATGTAGTAGGCTACACCATCTAGGTTTGTATAAGTACACTATATGATGTTCACACAATGATGAAATCACTTAACAATGCATTTTTCAGAATGTTATCCTGTTGTTAAGTGATGCATGACTGTATTATATTGCCAGCTAATGCAAGTTATCAACACTTTGAAGCTGCCTGTAATGTGGGTCTGTAGGAAGGCCACTACGGTAAGAGATGGAATATTTGGGATCTGATCTCAGCTCAGAAAACATTTAGAAATGTCAGCACAGATTGGCACTTAATCTGACTTTTTGGGGGAAATAATTGATGCTTTCTGAGCTTTGGTTTCCTCTTCTGTAAAATTAGGGCAGTAATATCCATCTTATCTGACTGATTTGCAGTGAGAATCCAACGAGATAATAGTCTTGCTTAGAAAACTGTAAATGTTAGGCAACATGCCTTATAAGTGTTGGGTCATTCTCTGTCTTTGTTTTGATTTGTGTTCTCTGCCCTAGACCCTGAGAAGGTTACAAAGTGAACACTTTTTTTCCCCCTTTGAGGTGTAGTTCTGATGGGGAGCACTGAATATACATTTCAGGATCCTTAAGCAGAAATGTGCTATGAAAATTGAGGGCAGGGGAGGTTCACTCTGAAATAGCATTGCCCAGGCAAGACCTTACAAAGTTCATGGCATAAAGAATTAATTCTATTTTAGAATTACGAAGAATACTTCATTTTGTGGAAAATTTATTTTGCTTTTAAGAGGAAAACAGTTAAGAACTTAGGGTACCATATGCTTTTGAAAAAAGTGTTATGTACTTCCATGAGATGTGGGACTCTTACCATCAAGGAGGAGATTTTTCTGCTCTTAAAGTGGAGGATGGGGGCATTTTATGCTGTCCCATCTTCTCTTGTGTTCGTCCTACCCTACCTTTCTCAGAATAGAGACCTGAGAGGAGGGAGTCCTCTCTGAAGCTTTTAGGGCAGCAGAGTCATTCATCTTAGGTTAACTAGCAGTACATTTTCTTCTCCTCTATTGAACAGCAGAGAACACTTACTAATTCAGGATTTTTAAAAAGATTAAAAATTCATGGCTGGGCACAGTGGCTCATGCCTGTAATCCCAGCGTTTTGGGAGTCTGAGGCGGGCAGATCACCTAAGGTCACGAGTTGGAGACCAGCCTGGCCAACATGGTAAAACCCCATCTGTACTAAAAATAAAAAATTAGCCGGGCATGGTGGTGCATGCCTATAATCCCAACTACTTGGGAGGCTGAGGCAGGAGAATCGTTTGAACCTGGGAGGCTGAGGTTGCAGTGAGCTAAGACTGCATCATTGCACTCCAGCCTGGGCAACAAGAGTGAAACTCCATCTCAAAGAAAAAAAAAAAAGTATTACAAATTCTTATGAATAGCCTTGGTGGTTACAAGCACTCAGCTGAAATGAAGAGTTATCAGTCTTGCTTTGGGAAACAAGGTGACCAACCATCTGGTTTCAGAAAGACTACTCCCATTCTAGTGATTAGTTAATAAAATTATTCCTGACAGTGGAGAGCCTAGGAGCTCAGGCAGTTCCATATTTAGAGACAGAGAACTCATTGTCCAAAGATCTCAGAACAGCCTTCACTAGCTCACAGAAGGGATTTAGGACAATTTGCATAAGTTTCCCTGTGGATAGCAACATGGGTCCAGTGTTGGGTGGTTCCAGGAACCTCTCCTTGGCTTCATCATGGGGTGGCTCTGTGCTTGGTGGGAACCCAGTCTCATGATGTTTTTTGCTAGGAGGATTGGGTGTTGGGACATTGAATAAACCCACTGTTTGGTTCCACATAAGGGCTCTTTTGTGTTGGCCTGAGGAAGCCATGTTGAAGTTTGTCTTGCTTTTCCCCAGCAATGTTTTTGGACTTTGTGGCCTGCAGAATTAAGCACAACACCCATTCTGAGCTAATCTGTCAATTTTTGCTCTTCAAAGATAACCACAGCCACTTGTATTTCTAAAATATGTAGAATAATATCATACCTTTGGAGACCTATGATTTATTAATTAAAAACTGAGGAGAGGAGGAGAGGTTCTTTGGCATGCCCAGGTAGTGAGGTATACATGCCTGTTCATGGTGAAACTGTGAGAAGTAACTCCCTTGAGTTAATATGATTTCCCTAGTTCACTGACTTCTTTAAGAAATATGTTCTCTTGGCTGGGCACGATGGCTCACGCCTGTAATCTTAGCACTTTGGGAGGCTGAGGCGGGCAGATCACTTGAGGTCAGGAGTTTGAGACCAGCCTGGCCAACATGGTGAAACCCTATCTCTACTAAAAATACATAAATTAGCTGGGAGTGGTAGTACGCGCCTGCAATCCCAGCTACTCAGGAGGCTGAGGCAGGAGAATCGCTTGAACCTGGGAGGCAGAGGTTGCAGTGAGCCGAGATTGCACCACTACACTCCAGCCTGGGCAACAGAGAGAGACTGTCTCAGAAAAAAAAAAAAGAAATATGTTCTCTTGCATAGTTGACAAACATTTGTTTACTTAAATTCTCCTGTGAAAGGGCATGGTTTACACTGGATTATAAGTAAAAAATGACAGGTGTTTGCAATGTTTCACCTTTTCTTTTTAAGAAATGATATACATTCAACATTAGATATTAAGAGATTTTGCTACTGGTTCCTTGCATAAAATTTTATCATTTTAGAAGCTGCATAAGGAGTCTAATTTAAAATGGGAAGGGGGCATAGTTTATGCACTGGGGCAACATGGTATTTAAGTACAAAAATGAAATGCACTAATTTTTAATCTGAGATTTATTTTCCTTTAGTCGGCTAGCTTGATTTCTCAGCTTTGTTGTAATAACATAAACATTTTTATGTTTATTTATAGGTGGCTTTAACCAAGAGAGCAGATCCAGCTGAGCTTAGAACAATATTTTTGAAGGTCAGTATAAAGGAATCTATTTTGTTTCTTGTTTGATTTGTGTTCTATAACTTTTAAATATTATTTTCAAACAGCTCTTTATTTCGTTGTTATATTTTGAAAAAGTCCCAAAGTGTCAGCCCGGCACGGTGGCTCATGCCTGTAATCCCAGCACTTTGGGAGGCTGAGGTGGGTGGATCCCCTGAGGTCAGGAGTTTGAGACCAGCCTGGCCAACATGGTGAAACCCCATCTTTACTGAAAGTACCAAAACTAGCCAGGTGTGGTGGCACGTGCCTGTAATCCTGGCTATTCAGGAGGCTGAGGTGGGAGAATCGCTTGAACCTGGGAGGCGGAGGTTGCAGTGAGCTGAGATCGTGCCACTGCACTCCAGCCTGGGCGACAGAGCAAGACTGTCTCAAGAAAAAAAAAAAAAAAGAAAATCCCAACATGTCTTAAGAGGGGAGAGCCTTACAAATACGTCTGCTTTTTAAAATGTAGGTGACTGTGATGACAACATGGCTTATATTTTAATTTCTTTTATCTCATGTGGTGTAAGGTATGTGAATAAAAGCGGTTGCTGGAGTATTCAGTTTTGCAACCCATTTACCTTTCCAGGATTGACCCGTATAGCTTTTTCTCCTAGGAAGTTTAAAGCTCATTGTAAACATCTCAGTAATCCTTCACTCATCCATGGGACTATACTGTCTCTCCCTGGTAGAAGCCTATTGTTGTGGTCATCATCATTATCATCACTTTATGATGACTGCGGTATCCTGAGAGGAGGCTCCAGTATGGATAATACTAGATACTAGAGCACAACAGACACCATGGAAGTTTGTGTCTTATACTGGCATCTTATATTTCCACCTATTTTGTGATAGTGGGCAGTGAATGATTAATAGAATAAAAGTCTGTCTCAGGTTCCAGACACCGAAACACCTTTATGTTATTCAGCTGAAATTAAAGTACTCAGAAAAGAAAAGGCCACTTTTGTAAGATAATATACACACATATAATATATATGTATATATACACACACATATATGATATATTATTAATAACATATATTAATATACACATATTTTATATATATATGTTTTTCTAAACATTATGAAAAGGCAGCTGAGTTGTATGGAAAGAGGACCAGGGTGTCAAATGAGAAATTTGATGTGTACTGAATATGGTGTAGAAAGGTATTAAATCTATGAACCTCTCTTTCCTCATCACAATGTGTTACTATTAAAACTAATTGAGACATCAAGGACTTTGAACATGGACAGGATATTTGATATTAAGGAGTTGGTATTAATCGATGTTTAGGCTGATAATATTCTCATTATGGGAAATATAGAGTCTATGTTTTAGAGATATACACTGAAACATTTTTACAGATGAGACTACCGTTTCTGAGATTTGCTTTTAAATAATCCAGTTTTGTTGAGTTGAGGAAAATGAGTAGGCAGTATGATGATAACTTTTGAAATTGGGAAATGGAATATTGGGTTTATTACACTGTTCTCTCTACTTTGTATATGTTTGAAAAATTTTCTTTTCTTTTCTTGTTTTCTGAGACAGAGTTTCACTCTTGTTGCCCAGGCTGGAGTGCAATGGCGCTTTCTCAGCTCACTGCAACCTCCACCTCCCGGGTTCAGGTGATTTTCAGGCTCCTGGGTAGCTGGGATTACAGGCATGTGCCACCACACCCGGCTAATTTTGTGTTTTTAGTAGAGACGGGGTTTCACCATGTTGATCAGGCTGGTTTTGAACTCCTGACCTCAGGTGATCTGCACGCCTTGGCCTCCCAAAGTGCTGGGATTACAGGTGTGAGCCACCACACCTGGTCTGAACATGTTCATAATAAAACATTTTTTTAAATTGTAACGATTCAGTGAGGTAACTTATATGAAAGGTGTCCTGCATCTGATATGTGTTATGTATTGATTCAGTAAATGCTTGAAATTAAGTAATGATTTAAGTAAAGGAGAAATAAAGACTCCAAAAGCAAATGAATTAAAAGCAGGGATAGTTTTGTGGGGAGGAAAAAAAAGGACACATTTGTAAGGAGATTTAGATTATACATAAAAAATCAGGATTCTGGACACCTGTAATCCCAGTGAGAGGCTGAGGCAGGAGGATGGCTTGAGCCTAGGAATTTGAGGCTTCAGTGAGCTATGAATGTGCCACCACATTCCAGCCTGGATGACAGAGTGAGACCCTGTCTCTTAAAAACAAAGCAATGTTCTTTATAAATTTGTTTTTAGCCCAGAAATACAGTGTAGAGTTTCTTTTTTTTCTTTTTTTTTTTTTCTGAGACAGAGTCTCACTGTGTCTCCCAGGCTGGAGTGCAGGTTGCGCATGTCAGCTCACTGCAACCTCTGTCTCCCGGGTTCATGTGATTCTCATGCCTCAGCCTCCCGAGTAGCTGGGATTATAGGCATGTACCACCACGCCTAGTTAATTTTTGTATTGTTGTTATTATTATTTTTTTATTATACTTTAAGTTCTAGGGTACATGGGCACAACGTGCAGGTTTGTTACATATGTATACATGAGCCATGTTGATGTGCTGCACCCATTAACTTGTCATTTACATTAAGTATATCTCCTAATGCTATCCCTCCCTCCTCCCCCCACCCCACAACAGGCCCCAGTGTGTGATGTTCCCCTTCCTGTGTCCAAGTGTTCTCATTGTTCAATTCCCACCTATGAGTGAGAACATGTGGTGTTTGTTTTTTTGTTCTTGCGATAGTTTGCTGAGAATGATGGTTTCCAGCTTCATCCATGTCCCTGCAAAGGATATGAACTCATCATTTTTTATGGCTGCATAGTATTCCATGGTGTATATGTGCCACATTTTCTTAATCCAGTCTATCATTGATGGACATTTGGGTTGGTTCCAAGTCTTTGCTATTGTGAATAGTGCCGCAATAAACATACGTGTGCATGTGCCTTTACAGCAGCGTGATTTATAATCCTTTGGGTATATACCCAGTAATGGGATTGCTGGGTCAAATGGTATTTCTAGTTCTAGATCCTTGAGGAATTGCCACACTGTCTTCCACAATGGTTGAACTAGTTTACAGTCCCACCAACAGTGTAAAAGTGTTCCTATTTCTCCACATCCTCTCCAGCTCCTGTTGTTTCCTGACTTTTTAATGATCGTCATTCTAACTGGTGTGAGATGGTATCTCACTGTGGTTTTGATTTGCATTTCTCTGATGGCCAGTGATGATGAGCATTTTCTCATGTGTCTTTTGGCTGCATAAATGTCTTCTTTTGAGAAGTGTCTGTTCACATCCTTCACCCACTTTTTGATGGGGTTGTTTGTTTTTTTCTTGTGAGTTTGGCTGAGTTCTTTGTAGATTCTGGATATTAGCCCTTTGTCAGATGAGTAGATTGAAAAAATTTTCTCCCATTCTGTAGGTTGCCTGTTCACTCTGATGGTTGTTTCTTTTGCTGTGCAGAGGCTCTTTAGTTTGATTAGATCCCATTTGTCAATTTTGGCTTTTGTTGCCATTGCTTTTGGTGTTTTAGACATGAGGTCCTTGCCCATGCCTGTGTCCTGAATGGTATTGCCTAGGTTTTCTTCTAGGGTTTTTATGGTTTTAGGTCTAACATGTAAGTCTTTAATCCATCTTGAATTAATTTTTGTATAAGGTGTAAGGAAGGGATCCAGTTTCAACTTTCTACATATGGCTAGCCAGTTTTCCCAGTACCATTTGTTAAATAGGGAATCCTTCCCCATTTCTTGTTTTTGTCAGGTTTGTGAAAGATCAGATGGTTGTAGATGTGTGGTATTATTTCTGAGGCCTCTGTTCTGTTCCATTGGTCTATGTCTCTGTTTTGGTACCAGTACCGTGCTGTTTTGGTTACTGTAGCTTTGTAGTATAGTTTGAAGTCAGGTAACGTGACGCCTCTGGCTTTGTTCTTTTGGCTTAGGATTGACTTGGCAATGCAGGCTCTTTTTTGGTTCCATATGAACTTTAAAGTAGTTTTTTCCAATTCTGTGAAGAAAGTCATTGGTAGCTTGATGGGGATGGAATTGAATCTGTAAATTACCTTGGGAAGTATGGCCATTTTCATGATATTGATTCTTCCTATCCATGAGCATGGAATGTTCTTCCATTTGTTTGTATCCTCTTTTATTTCATTGAGCAGTGATTTGCAGTTCTCCTTGAAGAGGTCCTTCACATCCCTTGTAAGTTAGATTCCTAGGTATTTTATTTTCTTTGAAGCAATTGTGAATGGGAGTTCACTCATGATTTGGCTCTCTGTTTGTCTGTTATTGGTGTATAAGAATGCTTGTGATTTTTGCACATTGATTTTGTATCCTGAGACTTTGCTGAAGTTGCTTATCAGCTGAAGGAGATTTTGGGCTGAGACGATGGGGTTTTCTAAATATACAATCATGTCATCTGCAAACAGGACAATTTGACTTCCTCTTTTCCTAATTGAATACCCTTTATTTCTTTCTCCTGCCTGATTGCCCTGGCCAGGACTTCCAACACTATGTTAAATAGGAGTGGTGAGAGACGGCATCCTTGTCTTGTGCCAGTTTTCAAAGGGAATGCTTCCAGTTTTTGCCCATTTAGTATGATATTGGCTGTGGGTTTGTCATAGATAGCTCTTATTATTTTGAGATACGTCCCATCTTTACCTAATTTATTGAGAGTTTTTAGAATGAAGTGCTGTTGAAGTTTATCAAAGGCCTTTTCTGCATCTATTGAGATAATAATGTGGTTTTTGTCTTTGGTTCTGTTTATATGCTGGATTACTTTTATTGATTTGCGTATGTTGAACCAGCCTTGCACCCCAGGGATGAAGCCCACTTTATCATGGTGGATAAGCATTTTGATGTGCTGCTGAATTTGGTTTGCCAGTATTTTATTGAGGATTTTTGCATCGATGTTCATCAGGGATATTGGTCTAAAATGCTCTTTTTTTGTTGTGTCTCTGCCAGGCTTTGGTATCAGGATGATGGCTGGCCTCATAAAATGAGTTAGGGAGGATTCCCTCTTTTTCTATTGATTGGAATAGTTTCAGAAAGAATGGTAGCAGCTCCTCCTTGTACCTCTGGTAGAATTCGGCTGTGAATCTGTCTGGTCCTGGACTTTTTTTGGTTGGTAGGCTATTAATTATTGCCTCAATTTCAGATCCTGTTATTGGTCTATTCAGGGATTCAACTTCTTCCTGGTTTAGTCTTGGGAGGGTGTATGTGTCGACGAATTTATCCATTTCTTCTAGATTTTCTAGTTTATTTGCGTAGAGGTGTTTATAGTATTCTCTGATGGTAGTTTTTATTTCTGTGGGATCGGTGGAGATATCCCCTTTCTCATTTTTTATTGCGTCTATTTAATTCTTCTCTCTTTTCTTCTTTATTAGTCTTGCTAGCAGTCTATCAATTTTGTTGATCTTTCAAAAAACCAGCTCCTGGATTCATTAATTTTTGGAAGGGTTTTTTGTGTCTCCATCTCCTTCAGTTCTGCTCTGATCTTAGTTATTTCTTGCCTTCTGCTAGCTTTTCAATGTGTTTGCTCTTGCTTCTCTAGTTCTTTTAATTGTGATGTTAGGGTGTCAATTTTAGATGTTTCCTGCTTCTCTTGTGGGCATTTAGTGCTATAGATTTCTCTCTACACACTGCTTTAAATGTGTCCCAGAGATTCTGGTATGTTGTGTCTTTGTTCTCATTGGTTTCAAAGAACGTCTTTATTTCCGACTTCATTTCGTTATGTACCCAGTAGTCATTCAGGAGCAGGTTGTTCAGTTTCCATGTAGTTGAGTGGTTTTGAGTGAGTTTCTTAATCCTGAGTTCTAGTTTGATTGCACTGTGGTCTGAGAGACAGTTTGTTATAGTTTCTGTTCTTTTACATTTGCTGAAGAGGGCTTTACTTCCAACTATGTGGTCAATTTTGGAATAAGTGCCATGTGGTGCTGAGAAGAATGTATATTCTGTTGATTTGGGGTAGAGAGTTCTGTAGATGTCTGTTAGGTCTGCTTGGTGCAGAGCTGAGTTCAATTCCTGGATATCCTTGTTAACTTTCTGTCTCGTTGATCTGTCTAATGTTGACAGTGGGGTGTTAAAGTCTCCCATTATTATTGTGTGGGAGTCTAAGTCTCTTTGTAGGTCACTCAGGACTTGCTTTATGAATCTTGGTGCTCCTGTATTGGGTGCATATGTATTTAGAATAGTTAGCTCTTCTTGTTGAATTGATCCCTTTACCATTATGTAATGGCCTTCTTTGTCTTTTTTGATCTTTGTTGGTTTAAAGTCTGTTTTATCAGAGACTAAGATTGCAACCCCTGCCTTTTTTTTTTTTTTTCCATTTGCTTGGTAGATCTTCCTCCATCCCTTTATTTTGAGCCTATGTGTGTCTCTGCACGTGAGATGGGTTTGCTGAATACAGCACACTGATGGGTCTTGACTCTTTATCCAATTTGCCAGTCTGTGTCTTTTAATTGGAGCATTTAGCCCATTTACATTTAAGGTTAATATTGTTATGTGTGAATTTGATCCTGTCTTTATGATGTTAGCTGGTTATTTTGCTCGTTGCTTCATACAGTTTCTCCCTAGCATCGATGGTCTTTACAATTTGGCATGTTTTTGCAGTGGTTGGTACCAGTTGTTCCTTTCCATGTTTAGTGCTTCCTTCAGGAGCTCTTTTAGGGCAGGCCTGGTGTTGACAAAATCTCTCAGCATTTGCTTGTCTGTAAAGTATTTTATTTCTCCTTCACTTATGAAGCTTAGTTTGGCTGGATATGAAATTCTGGGTTGAAAATTCTTTTCTTTAAGAATGTTGAATATTGGCCCCCACTCTCTTCTGGCCAGAGATCTGTCGGGAGATCAGTTTCTGTCGAGAGATCTGCTGTTAGTCTGATGGGTTTCCCTTTGTGGGTAACCCGACCTTTCTCTCTGGCTGCCCTTAACATTTTTTTCCTTCATTTCAACTTTGGTGAATCTGACAGTTATGTGTCTTGGACTTGCTCTTCTCGAGGAGTATCTTTGTGGCGTTCTTTGTATTTCCTGAATTTGAATGTTGGCCTGCCTTGCTAGGTTGGGGAAGTTCTCCTGGATATTATCCTGCAGAGTGTTTTCCAACTTGGTTTCATTCTCCCCATCACTTTCAGGTACACCAGTCAGACATAGATTTGGTCTTTTCACATAGTCCCGTATTTCTTGGAGGCTTTGTTCATTTCTTTTTTACTCTTTTTTCTCTAAACTTCTCTTCTCGCTTCATTTCATTCATTTGATCTTCCATCACTGATACCCTTTCTTCCAGTTGATCGAATCGGCTACTGAAGCTTGTGCATTTGTCACATAGTTCTTGTGCCATGGTTTTCAGCTCCATCAGGTCATTTAAGGACTTCTCTACGCTGGTTATTTTAGTTAGCCTTTCGTCCAATCTTTTTTTCAAGGTTTTTAGCTTCTTTGCTTTGGGTTCGAACTTCCTCCTTTAGCTCGGAGAAGTTTGATCGTCTGAAGCCTTCTTCTCTCAACTCGTGAAAGTCATTGTCCGTCCAGCTTTGTTCCGTTGCCGGTGAGGAGCTGCGTTCCTTTGGAGCAGGAGAGGTGCTCTGATTTTTAGAATTTTCAGCTTTTCTGCTCTGTTTTTTCCCCCATCTTTGTGGTTTTATCTACCTTTGGTCTTTGATGATGGTGACGTACAGATGGGGTTTTGGTGTGGATGTCCTTTCTGTTTGTTAGTTTTCCTTCTAACAGTCAGGACCCTCAGCTGCAGGTCTGTTGGAGTTTGATGGAGGTCCACACCAGACCCTGTTTGCCTGGGTATCAGCAGCGGAGGCTGCAGAACAGCAAATATTGCTGAACAGCAAATGTTGCTGCCTGATCTTTCCTCTGGAAGCTTCATTTCAGAGGGGTACCCGGCTGTGTGAGGTGTCAATCTGCCCCTACTGGGGGGCGCCTCCCAGTTAGGCTACTTGGGGCTCAGGGTCTCACTTGAGGCATTCTGTCTGTTCTCAGATCTCAAACCCTGTGCTGGGAGAACCACTACTCTCTTCAAAGCTGTCAGACAGGGACATTTAAGTCTGCAGAGGTTTCTGCTGCCTTTTGTTCGGCTATGCTCTGCCCCCAGAGGTGGAGTCTACAGAGGACTCCTGGAGCTGTGGTGGGCTCCACCCAGTTCGAGCTTCCAGGCCGCTTTGTTTACTACTCAAGCCTCAGCAATGGTGGGCGCCCCTCCCCCAGCCTCACTGCCACCTTGCAGTTGGATCTCAGACTGCTTTGCTAGCAATGAGCGAGGCTCCGTGGGCGTGGGACCCTCCGAGCGAGGCGCAGGATATATTCTCCTGGTGTGCCGTTTGCTAAGACCGTTGGAAAAGCGCAGTATTAGGGTGGGAGTGACCCGATTTTCCAGGTGCCGTCTGTTACCCCTTCCCTTGGCTAGGAAAGGGAATTCCCTGACCCCTTGCGCTTCCTGGGTGAGGCGATGCCTCGCCCTGCTTCGGCTCACACTTGGTGGGCTGCACCCACTGTCCTGCCCCCACTGTCCAATGAGCCCCAGTGAGATGACCCTGGTGCCTCAGTTGGAAATGCAGAAATCACCTGTCTTCTGCATCGCTCACGCTGGGAGCTGTAGACTGGAGCTGTTCCTATTCGGCCATCTTGGAACCATCCACCAATTTTTGTATTTTTAGTAGAGACGGGTTTCCCCATGCTGGCCAGACTGGTCTTGAACTTCTGACCTCAAGTGATCTGCCTGCCTTGGCCTCCTAAAGTGCTGGGATTACAGGCACGAGCCACCATTTCTGGCCACAATACAGTATACAGTTTCTAAGTTGGAAAAGGATTCTGGAGGATGAAAGTCCAGAAAACAGAAAAGCATTTGTTCCTTACCTAAGCTGATCTCTATGGTTGTGCATGTTGGGACCACCATGGTTGGAATGAGGTCTGTATGAGAGAACCAGAGAAGGTCTTCGTATGTGCATTTAAGGTGTGTTGATATTGTAAAACTCCAGTGACAGAAATCTGAAAGATCACTTGCAGAAAAGTAACTAAGTGGGCTGCCAAAGATCCTATCAAAATGGAAAGTAGCTCATTAGCTTAAGCTGGTAAAGAAGTCATCGTTCTTTGAACCGAGGACCTATCTGTTACTTCTGTTTTCTAAACAAGCAAGAGTGGTGGGCATCCTTCTGACAGGAAGTGGGAACACCATAGAGGGTGTCTCAATACATGGTGCATCTTACAATCTCACTGGTTGGTGTGATCCATTGATAAGACTCCACTTAAAGGCTGTGTCCACCTTTCGAGGAGGCCACATGGTCCCTGGAGAAGCTAGGCTGAGACCTTAGTTTGGAACGATGTATCTTTGTCAGCTGCTACATCCACTTTCAGCAGCCAGCAGGACTATACTGGGGGAGAGTCTAATTGATCAGGTAGACCTAGAGAGGGTGAGAATTCATGCAGAGTTCTGGAGAGACACCTGTAGTGTTTCTGTTTAAGTGCACTTGAAGGCCGAGGGTGGAATCTTTGGTATAAATGGGGAAGTACTCTCTTCCCTTGGGGTGGCTGGGACTATGTGACTTTTGAGTAACAGTTTGTGTGGCTTGGAGTCCTAAGAGATGACGTCAGGGGGACCATACCTGAAGAAAACAGCAGTCAGCAGTTTGTGGAAAGGATTGTGGATCTGGCAAAAGTTCTGGTGATCTCACCAGGCCTGGATAGTGTGGTACCAACCCAAATCTGCCTTGGCTTAGCATGCTAAGGATGTCAGGTTTACCATTTATCACAGATGGTATTGTGGTGAGGGGAAGAACGGGAAACACAGCAATGTGGGGACCGTGCCAGGCCGAGCTTCTTAGTTAATTATGGATCAGCAGTAAGCATTCTGTAAACCTGTCTACTTTGCTGATTTTCTGTGACTTTTTCCTGACTTGACTTTCTTCCTAGTAAAAATTCCATGTGAAATATCCCAGCCTTCTCTCTGCTAACCTGTGTAAAGAGAGGATTCTTCTTTAGCTTGGGAGGTGGAAGGGAGCTTCATTGCAGCCTTCACACCAGGTGTGATGGTAGCAGGAAAGTTGGCAGCTCTGTAGATCAGCGACAGCCAGTGGAACTGAGCCAGATAAGGAAAGAGGGCTCCTAGGGGATTAAAATGAGCCCAATTCTGCCCTTTTCATTTGTTTGAGAATTTAGAATCAGTTCCACTGTTTTTTTGAAGGTACCTAGATACAGTGTCATGGACTGGGTGTGTATCAATGCATACATCATGGCTCCTGTCCATTAATATCAGAGTGAGAACTGTGTGTAAGTGTAAAAAACCCCAGAAGCCATGATATGATTGATAAGTAGTGTACAGGATTAATTAGCAGAAGATGGTGTGGTCTAATTATATCTTTCTATGGAGAGTCATTAAGTTATGGAGAGGTGGTAATGTTTGAATTACGCTCGAAGATGAGTAGGTAGAGAAGGGTTTGTTGGCAATGGAAGACCTTTTTAGGCAAAGAAAACAACACATACAAAGTAAAGAGCTGTCAGAGTGCCACAGGTGTGGAGGGAATGGCTAAACACTTGGGCTGGCTCGGGGCACAGGATCCTGGGTGGTGGTAGTCAGGACAGGACTTGTTATAAAACATGTGGGGCTAAGGCATACGACAGATTTTTTTTTTTTTTTTTTTTGAGATGGAGTCTTACTCTGTCACCCAGGCTGGAATGCAGTGGTATGATCTTGGCTCACTGCAAGCTCTGCCTCCCCAGGTTCATGCCATCCTCCTGCCTCAGCCTCCCAAGTAGCTGGGACTACAGGCGCCTGCCACCATGCCCGGGTAATTTTTTGCATTTTTAGTAGAGATGGGGTTTCACCGTGTTAGCCAGGATGGTCTCGATCTCCTGACCTCATGATCCTCCTGCCTTGGCCTCCCAAAGTGCTGGGATTACAGGCATGAGCCACCGTGCCTGGCCAACGACAGATGTTTTCTTATGGAGGATGTTCTTGTGGCAAGTGTCAGGTAATGTTTCATCTAGATGTAGAAGTTAAAGTCTAGGAAGTCAGTTTTGTTTCTAGTCTTAACGACATGCGTTTTTCTGTTTGCCTAGTACTTTTGGTGTTGCTTCCTGTTAGTTTAAACAGATGTGTATTGAGTGCCTGCCATTTAAATAAAACACCAGGAAACTCTGTGGTGAGTGGGAGGTGCAAAAGATGTATAACAATGACCACATCTTAAAGGAGCTCAGATTTTATATAAGAGACCAGATGGATAGGCATGCAGGAGGTAACAAAGAATCTTAAAGTTGGCATACCCCAAGGGCCTGCGTTGTGGTTAAAGCAAATGCTGTAGGAGGTGGAAGGAGGGAGCAGCCCCCATTGTGGAGAGTGGTCAGGGAAGGCCCTTAGGAGAGAGAACTTGGGGAGTCTCAGGGACAAGTTGGAGAGGCGACAAGGAACACGTTTGAGGGAAGGCCTGGAGATGAGTTGAGGAGAAAACAACCTCTGCAGGTTGAAGGAGTATTGCTCATCCTTTAAGTGTTTATTTAAATACAACTCTGGCTCAAAGTATGCTGAGTATCACAGGGTGTGGGTGACAGGATTGGAAAGGTAATTGGGGGTTTGGAATTCCACTAAACAGTAGGAAGCATTCGAGGTTTTTTGACGAGGAGATGGGTGTGAGATTTGATTGGTGCAGCAAGGCCACAAGTTAGGCAGCCTTAGGGTTGCGGCAGCAGGAGGAATGGAGAATGGCAAGATAGAGTCACTTTGAAAGAATATTTGATTAAGATGGCTGATTTTTTATAATGGATGAGAGAGAGCAGAGAGAAAATACGGTCTGAGTGCAGAGAGGTGCCAGTAATAAGAATAGAGAAAGTGAGAGGGAGCCAGTAGCTCGAGGGAGGAAAAGAGATGATGCGTGCTATTGTATTAGTAACAGAGAAAGTGAGAGGGAGCCAGTAGCTCCAGGGAGGAAAAGAGATGATGCCTACTATTAGTAATAGAGAAAGTGAGAGGGAGCCAGTAGCTATGGAGAGCAAAAGAGATGATGTGTACTATTGTATTAGTCTGTTCTGTTCTCATGCTGCTAATAAAGGCATACCTGAGACTGGGTAATTTATCAGGCAAAGAGGTTTAATTGACTCACAGTTCCACATGGCTAGAGAGGCCTCACAATCATGGTGGAAGGCGAATGAGAAACAAATTCTCGTCTTATATTGTGACAGGCAAGAGAGCTTGTGCAGGGGAACTCCCATTTATAAAACCATTGGATCTTCTGAAACTTATGGGGAGACCGCACCCATGATTCAGTTATCTCCACCTGGCCCCGCCCTGGACACATGGGGATTATTACAATTCAAGGTGAGATTTGGGCGGGGACACAGCCAAACCATGTCAACTGTTTAGAAGTATATAGTCTCAAGTAACTAAATCTCTGTAGCGAAAGATGGGAAAATTGGGGAAAAGGGCTGAATGAGAAACAGAAGACATATTACAGAGTAACATAGTGAATTACACTTGGATTTTTATAATTGTTTTGTCAGCAAAAGCATGATATCCACTTTTAAAATGTCTGTAGGCAAATTTTGAAAAACAGTTAATTCTGTTTTTGGAAACTTTTTATCACATCAATTTTATATGCATTGAAAATTTAAAAGGCAGATACATAAACAAAAGTAACTTGTGATCTTTGTGTAGGAAGATAGATATTTATATATTTATTTATCTCTCAGTCTATGTGTCTCTCTGTATGTATATAATTTTTTTTCCCCTTAGGAGAAAAAAATACTGTTTTCTATCTAGTTTTTTCCCTTACCTGCTATGTTACAAATACTTTTTCCTATAATTCAGTGTGCTTCTATATTTTTTTTATTTTTGTAAATTATTTTGTTTCTTCCATGATGATTTAGAGGAACTACTTTTAAACCAGTACAAATATGTCATAAATAATATCTGGCCATCTTCTAACCAGTTGAGTAATTTCTTGCGCAGTAAGTTACCTCACATCTTTTGGTAAGCAATACGTTAAATTTGATTAGTAAAGACATTATACAGTTAATTAGGACACAATTAAAATTTGCTTTAAATATTTCTTTGAGGGAGTGGACACCACATTTTTACAATCCAGAGGTCTTTTTTTTTTTTTTTTTTTTTTTTTAAACACCTATTTGCCATGAAGTCATAGGAAATAGCTTCCAGCAATGCAAGCTCCTTCCCGTGAGTTCTCACAAAGTGTGCTTCTCTGCGTGGAGCAGGCTGACACCAGGTACACCTTCTTTTTCTGATCATTTTTCTTCATGCATTTCAGGAAGCTATCTCAGCTCTTAGAGTGCTTAATGTGCCCAGCACACACATTGATTCTCTTAGCAAGAGTCTTGCCCTTAACTTGTTGTTTACAACAGTGCCAACAGCATGCTGGGGGCATTGTAGACTCCTCTACTTTTGCCATGGTAACACTTGTAAAGCATTCCTTTTTGAACAGTACTCATTCCCTTAATGTCTACAATATCACCTTTCTTATAGATTTGCATATATGTGGCCAAAGGAACAACTCTATGTTTTCTAAAAGGCCTACAGAACATATATTGAGTGCCTCTCCTCTTTCCCTTTGTGTTCATCCCATTTTGGTGAATTACTGGAAGATGGTGGTTCCAGCTGAAAGGAACCCTACTACAATATTTTTAATGCTGCATAATATTCCTACATATGGCTGTTTCTGTTTTGCCCTAACTTATTGAAGCACTATTTAATTATTGAATATTTAGTTGTTTCCTGTGCTTTACTATCATGACAGCACTGTAATGATAGTATTGTACCTACATTTTTGCATATAGCTAGCATTATTTTCTTAGGATAAATTCCTAGAAGTGGCACCATTGGGTTAGAATGGGTTTAGAACATATTAAGGCTTGTGATTCCCCTTGGTAGACTGCCTCTCATGAAGGTTATTTCAATATTTATTTTGGGTGGGAACACGGAAGTGTTCATTTCCTACATTATATCAACTCAGATTATTATGAGTTTTTGTTGCAGCAGCAACAAAAAAGACTTTATGCCAATCTGTTGGTTGAAAAATTGTATCTTATTTAAAATTTTCATTTTTAAATAAATAGAGCAATATGTTTATTGGCCATTTATGTTTCTTAAATATGTTTTTAACTTTATTGTGACAATTTTCAGACATACAGAAAATAGAATAGTAAACACCCACATAACCACCATCTGATTTAAAGTAATACTTGTCATGTTAGTTTATACATTTTTTTCTGATTTATGTTAATAAATATAACTTAGCTATCACTATAATTCACCCTAAATAATTTAGCATAGAGCTTCAAATAATAAAAACAATCTCCTACACAGTCATAATACCATTGTGCACCTAATAAAGTTAATGATAATTCCCTAATATAAAATACCCAATCCAGATGCAAATCCTTAAATTATATTTTGTTCCATCCCTATAACAGGGAATCAAAGTAAAGGATGGGCAGATGCAGTGACCTGTTGTGTGCACCTTCTCAGTGGTTGGAAAACAATGTAGGGGATTTGTCCTTCAGTCCCAGGATATGAGTGATTCATGACAAAATGGGTAGCTGGATGATTATGGTTCTACCCTGGCTCATTCACAGCTTACAAACCTTTATCAATTTACTGTGACTGATGGTGAGCAGGCCAGATAGGACCCCTGCCCTCGGGGTATGGGCATTTGTAGTGATAGGTTCCTTCTGGTTTCCTTTGCTGTCATCTTCACTGAGTATGGTGGTATTTCTTGGTGATGACAATAAGTATTATACAAGGTTGCATGAGGAATCCTAAAACTCTTCCCATTTTGCAGGTGTATGTTTAATCATAATAAAACTCCTGAAAATTGCAAGGGAGGAAGGCTTCAGCTCACTAGTGAAAAATATTCCCAAAGAAGGATTAATGACATTTTAAAGATGTGGTGGATATAAGGATATAGTCCGTTCCCCCTATAGGGACCCTCTGCTCACTGCTGCAGGGAGAGCAGAGCTGCATTTATCACTACCCTCATACATATTTTTATTATGGTCTGCCTCTGTCCATCAATCCTAAGGAGCAACCTTTGACATGTTTACTTAAATCACAGAGCAGACTGCCCAGCCGTGGTGATGAGCTTGTTTTAAAAACTGGAGAAAACTATTTCTGTGCCCAGATTAACATGCTCTTATATTTAAGAAATGATTTCTTTATTGCATCTAAAAAAATGAAGCTGATAATATCTCTCAAAGACTTCTAAAATGTAAACTGTTGAAATATAAATTGAATGCATACATCACAAATGTACAGCCATGAATACTCAGAAAGTGAGTAGGCCCATGTAACGAGCATCCCAGAGGCCCTCTGATGCCCCTTCTGATCAGCACCCACCAAGGGTAACCAGTTGTCTGAATTCTGGTCACTGTATGTTAAAACTAACTGTATGTAAGTTTTGCCTGTTTATTTCACTTTGCGTGAATGGAATTATACGCTAGGTTTTCTTATGTTTCTTTTCTTTTACCCTTAGGATTCGTCTGTTGTCATATGTAGTTGGAGTTAGTTTATTCTTTTTTTTTTTTTTTTTTGAGATGGAGTTTTGCACTTGTTGCCCAGGCTGGAGTGCAATGGGGCGGTCTCAGCTCACTGCAACTTCTGCCTCCCGGGTTCAAGCGATTCTCCTGCCTCAGCCTCTTGAGTAGCTGGGATTACAGGCCTGTGCCACCATGCCTGGGTAATTTTTGTATTTTTAGTACAGACGGGGTTTCACCATGTTGGCCAGGCTGGTCTCAAGCGCCTGACCTTAGGTGATCCACCTGCCTTGGCTTCCCAAAGTGCTGGGATTACAGATGTGAGATGCCGTGCCCAGCTGGAGTTAGTTTTTTCTCATTGCTGTGTTGTATTCCATTGTGTGAATTCACCACAAGCCATTAATGTATCCTACTATTGGTTGACATTTGTGTTATTTTTAGTTTTTTGGATACTACAAATAATGCCGCTGTGGGCATTTTCACATAGTTTTTGTGTATATGCACACTTCTGTTGGTGATATACTTCTGATTGAAATTGGTGGGCTTGTGGTTGTATGTTCAGCTATAGCAGATACTGCCCAGCATTTTTCTAAAATGGTTTACTCCTTTATTCTCATACCATCAGTGTGTGAGAGTAACATTTGCTCCACATTTTTGCCATCACTTATTATTCTTTTTCGTTATCTTGGGGGTATGGCATGGTATTGCATTGTAGGCTTTTTGTTTTATGTTTTGAGACAGGGTCTCACTTTGTTGCCCAGGCTGGAGTATAGTGATGCAAACATGGCTCACTGCAGCCTCAATCTTTTGTGCTCAAGCGATTCTCCTGCCTCAGTCTCCCAAGTAGCTGGGACTACAGGTGCACGTTACCCTACCTGGTTAATTTTTTATTTTTTGTAGAGATGGAGTTCCGCCATCTTGCCCAGGCTGGTCTTGAACTCCTGGGCTCAAGCGATCTGCCCACCTTGGCTTCCCAAAGTGCTGGGATGACAGGCATGAGTCAGTGTGCCCTGCCTTGCATTGTTTTATTTTGCATTTCAGTGGAATTTTTTTAGGGAGCAGCAACTTGATAATGATTCTAAAGGTCATTTGTGGAAAATCAAGGAGTGATCATGGCCAAAAAAATTTCCAAGTGTAAAATAATTCAATGTCTTTTTTAAACCTTTCATTCTTTTAAAAAAATATTTATTTGAACATGTTTCACTATCTACCAGGTACTAGTCTGGGAATTTGAGGACACAGCAGTAAAAATGAGAGAAAAAAAATTCTGTCCTAACAGAACTTTCCCTCTAGTTATAGCATGTAATCTTGCAAGAGTAGACGAGACAATTGAAAAGGATGGTCCTGAAACATCTCTGACTGCAGTGATGACAAGAGCTGTCATTCGATCCCAGCATTCTCCCATGGAGCGTAGGTCAGCCTCAGAATACATGTTGGCCCTAGGAAGCCTTTGCCAGTTCATCAGAACTGGTACTGCAGATGGAGCCATTTTGTCACGCCTTTCCCTGGTGACCATATGATAATTAAGTATGTGATAAACATGGCATCCTAAAGACCTGGAAGAGAGAATGATTTGCTTTGTGTTCGTGGGACAACCAAGAGATTAAGTGGAAAAATTAAAGTTGGGGGATTCTTACCTTAGATCACACACAAAGATAAAGTACTAATGTACTAAAACTTAAAGGTAAAAGATAAACCTACTTTAAAAAAACTCAGATAAACTCTCTGATATTTAGTCTTGAAATGAAGAAAGACTGGTGATATGGCTTGGCTGTGTCCCCACCCAAATTTCACCTTAAATTGTAATAATCCCCACATTTAAAGGGTGGAGCCAGGTGGAGATCATTGAGTCATGGGGGTGGTTTCCCTCATACTGTTCTCGTAGTAGTGAATAAGTCTCATGAGATCTGATGGTTTTATAAATGGGAGTTCCCCTGCACAAGCTCTCTTGCCTACCGCCATGTTAAGATGTGACTTTGCTCCTCATTCGCCTTCCACCATGATTGTGAGGCCTCCCAGCCATGTGGAACTGTGAGTCCATTAAACCTCTTTTTATTTATAAATTACCCAGTCGCAGGTATGTCTTTATTAGCAGTGTAAGAACAGACTAATACAGCTAGTGTCTAAGCTTAGAAAAGTAATGGAAGAAATTTCAAAGGAGAAAAAAATTCTATACACTCAATTATATAAAAATATCAAACTGGAAAAATATTTGCAACAAATATAATAGACCAAAGTGAGTAAAGGGCATGTTCACACACTGTTGGTGGGAGTGTAAATTGGTACAATCTTTTCCGGAGAGCAGTGTGATAATAAGTACCAAGAGCCCAGAAGTTCCTCTCCTTTGACTCAACAATTTCTCTTCTGGGAGCCTAGCCTTTGAAAATTGCCAGGAATTTGGACAAATGTTATATTCAAAGCTTACTACCTTAGCTTTATTTAAAAATACAAAAAACTGGAAATGTCTACTGGTAGGAGAAAAGTTAAATTGTATAGTAAAATAAATTATTCACTATCAGGGGCAAACTTAGGTATAATTACTAAGTCATAAGATTGCTGTAATTAGCAGTGATATTTCCTTTATATTTTCATCTTGTTTTGGCTCAGTTAGGAAAATCAAAATATAATTCTTTACATGTCCAAAAAGCCGAATTAAATGCTAACTGAAGAATAGTAGGATCACTGGGGCATCTTTGAGCCTTTCCCTTGTAGTGTGCTAAAAAAAATGTTAACTGTAAGACAATACTATAGAACATTTATTTAATATAAAGTACTTATTGTGTATAGGGCGTTGTGCTAAGTATATGACATGAGTATCTCATTTAAATATTTCTAGCATCAGTCTTATGAAGCTGTAATGTTATTCTATTCATTTTGCAAATGAGGAACCAGAGGTACCAAAAGCTTTAGTTACTTACCTGAGGCCATTCAAGTGGTAAGAGGCACAGTCCAGACCCGTGGGATGCCAAAGCATATTACTACTGAGTATCTGAGCAAAGCCTTAGTCTGCATTGGAATTAAAATGTAGAAATAACAAGTGACTTTTAAAAACAGTTTTAATCAGGTTTAACTCAGATTAGAGAGAGAGGGGAGACACTGCCCTGGCACTTCACTGCGCACCCTCCATCACTATGGCTACCAGTGTGGTTCTTATCACCCAGCTAGGCTTGTTCTTGTAGATGCACTATCCTTGCCTCCTCAGTCCCCAAACCACTGCTTTGTCCCCAGGATCAAGAGGCCGTCTCCTGCTTCATAAGGACACCACATGATCCCATGTCGTTTCTCAGCATTTCTGCCCTTAGGGCTCCATGCAACAGAAATTAATGGGCTCTCTCTTATCCAGGCTGGAGTGTATCACATTAAAGGCCAGACCTAGGAGAACACTGTGAGGAAGCGTTGTTTGCCACCTAATTCTTACTGAGCATTTCTGCATGGTAATGCCTTAGAATGGAGAGGACAGTAACTAGAGCAGCATTTACTGCCTCCCTCCATAAGATTGCCCAAGATGACACGCACTTAGTAGTTTGCTGTCCAGCTTAGCTTGTTTGCCATCCTTTCTTGTATCATTGATGCTCTTAAAGCAGGAATGGGGCAAAGGAATTAGGTTGTTTGCCTCCATGACTTCGTAATTCCACTTTTTTTTTTTTTTTAAAAAGCTATGTGCCTTTGCTAAAAAACAAGACATAGTTTGTCTTTCCAAATTTCTATAAACCAGGGTTTCTGAACCTGGACACTGCCCACACTTTGGGCTGGAGAACTGTCTGTTGCAGGGAGTCATCCTGTGTATTGTTGGATGTCTAGCAACATCCCTGGCCTCTACCTGCTGGAGCCAGTAGCACCCTTCCTCACATGTTATGACAATCTTAATTGCCATCAGATATTGCCAAGTGTCCCTGTGGGAAAACATTGCTCCCAGTTAAGTTTATAAACATAAAACTTGACTTGTTTTTTCTTTGAACTGTTGGGAGATAATGGTCATTATGAAGCGTACATGATCATATCTGATATTTTATCGTTTGGATATTTTCAACTTTTTCACATATCACTCTCATGATTATATACTGTTGAAAATCAAATATATAAAATACTGTTTTTCTTTTTTTTAAACAGTATGCAAGCATTGAGAAAAACGGTGAATTTTTCATGTCCCCCAATGACTTTGTCACTCGATACTTGAACATTTTTGGAGAAAGCCAGCCTAATCCAAAGACTGTGGAACTTTTAAGTGGAGTGGTGGATCAGACCAAAGATGGGTATGTTTATTTTTAATTATTTTATTTAATTCTTTTTGTTTGAAACAGCTTTCTTTTGCTCTAATGACCAGGAAGTCATTAAATGTATACCTTCCCATCTCTTAGGACCATTTTCTGTACTTACTACTATTATTATTACATTATTTGAGTAATAATGTAGTTCCTTCAATCATTGTTTCAAGTTGGGGATTCAATATGTATATATTTGACTCTTTTAAAGAATGCTTTATCGTATCAGAGAACTATTATTGTCAACAAGGTGGTGATGTGCAGATGTATGAGAGTATTTATATGCCTTTGGTATTTTTCAAGGCAGCTGTAAAATTGTGAGTAAATGTACAACATAGCTCTATGAACGTTACTTTTCTATAATCTTTCTTTCTGAGCAAATCGCCTTTAAAAATTCACAGGTGATTCCAAAGCCCCAAGAAAGGCACTCTGCAAAAGCTAGAGGAAAGAAACTGTACCATATAGAATCAAATAGGACACGTTGCAGAATGCCTTTGGATTCTTTTTTTCCCTACCAGTCTTCTCTGCTTCCATTTTGTTGGAACTTTTTTCCCTCCTTCTTTTGAGGCAGGTTCTCACTCTGTTGCTCGGGCTGGAGTACAGTGGCATGATCTTGGCTCAGTGCAACTTCTGTCTCCCAGGTACAAGCTATCCTCTCACCTCAGCCTCCTGAGTAGCTGGTATCAAAGCCGTGCGCCACCATGCCCAGCTAATTTTTGTATTTTTTTGTAGAGACGGGATTTTGCCGTATTGCCCAGGCTGGTCTCAAACTCCTGGGCTCAAGCCATCCGCTTGCCTCTACCTCCCAAAGTGTTGGGATTACAGGTGTAAGCCACTTTATCTGGCCTTCTGCTTACATTTTAAAAATGGGTTTTCCTTAAGCTGTATAAGATTGCAATGGCTTTTACCATTACACGAAGAATTTTGGACTCTGAACTCTTGCTAATCAAACACCAATGTCTGCTAATAGCCAAAGTATAATGTACAAGAACTAACCTTCTCTAGGTAAACTGTAAAGGACCTTGCCTTCTTCCTTCTCTAGGTAAACTGTAGGAGACTTTGCTTCTGTCCCTGCTGCTTGCCAGCACCCTTTTGACAGATTGCAGTTACCTATCACTCTGAGGTGGAGTTCTCTAGCTCTGAATTTTCTCTATTTATTGGAATCTTCATGTGTCTGATTTTCCCACATGCAGCAGTTTGAGATATAACCCATGTATAATGTCTTTATGTACTTCGAATACTCTCAGTTTTCACTAGCACTTTCCTTTTCTTATTTATGCACTTGTCACCCAATTTTTTTATTATACTTTAAGTTTTAGGGTACATGTGCACAATGTGCGGGTTAGTTACGTATGTATACATGTGCCATGTTGGTGTGCTGCACCCGTCAACTCGTCGTTTAACATTAGGTATATCTCCTAATGCTATCCCTCCCCACTCCCCCGACCCCACAACAAGCCCCAGTGTGTGATGTTCCCCTTCCTGTGTCCATGTGTTCTCATTGTTCAATTCCCATCTATGAGTGAGAACATGCAGTGTTTGGTTTTTTTGTCCTTGTGATAGTTTGCTGAGAATGATGGTTTCCAGCTTCATCCATGTCCCTGCAAAGGACATGAATTCATCATTTTTTATGGCTGCATAGTATTCCATGGTGTATATGTGCCACATTTTCTTAATCCAGTCTATCATTGATGGACATTTGGGTTGATTCCAAGTCTTTGCTATTGTGAATAGTGCCACAATAAACATACGTGTGCATGTGTCTTTATAGCAGCATGATTTATAATCCTTTGGGTATATACCCAGTAATGGGATTGCTGGGTCAAATGGTATTTCTAGTTCAAGATCCCTGAGGAATTGCCACACTGACTTCCACAATGGTTGAACTAGTTTACAGTCTCACCAACAGTGTAAAAGTGTTCCTATTTCTCCACATCCTCTCCAGCACCTGTTGTTTCCTGACTTTTTAATGATCGCCATTCTAACTGAACTACAAACCACTGCTCAATGAAATAAAAGAGGATACAAACAAATGGAAGAACATTCCATGCTCATGGGTAGGAAGAATCAATGTCGTGAAAATGGCCATACAAGGTAATATATAGATTCAATGCCATCCCCATCAAGCTACCAATGACTTTCTTCACAGAATTGGAAAAAACTACTTTAAAGTTCATATGGAATCGAAAAAGAGCCCACATTGCCAAGTCAATCCTAAACCAAAAGAACAAAGCTGGAGGCATCATGCTACCTGACTTCAAACTATACTACAAGGCTACAGTAACCAAAACAGCATGGTACTGGTACCAAAACAGAGATATAGACCAATGGAACAGAACAGAGCCCCCAGAAATAATGCTGCATATCTACAACCATCTGATCTTTGACAAACCTGACAAAAACAAGAAATGGCGAAAGGATTCCCTATTTAGTAAATGGTGCTGGGAAAACTGGCTAGCCATATGTAGAAAGCTGAAACTGGATCCCTTCCTTACACCTTATACAAAAATTAATTCAAGATGGATTAAAGACTTAAATGTTAGACCTAAAACCATAAAAACCCTAGAAGAAAACCTAGGCAATACCATTCAGGACATAGGCATGTGCAAGGACTTCATGTCTAAAACACCAAAAGCAATGGCAACAAAAGCCAAAATTGACAAATGGGATCTAATCAAACTAAAGAGCCTCTGCACAGCAAAAGAAACTACCATCAGAGTGAACAGGCAACCTACAGAATGGGAGAAAATTTTTTCAATCTACTCATCTGACAAAGGGCTAATATCCAGAATCTACAATGAACTCAAACAAATCTACAAGAAAAAAACAAACAGCGCCATCAACAAGTGGGCGAAGGATATGAACAGACACTTCTCAAAAGAAGACATTTATGTAGCCAAAAGACACATGAAAAAATACTCATCATCACTGGCCATCAGAGAAATGCAAATCATAACCATAATGAGATACCATTTTTTTTTTTTTAATGGAAAGAACCTCCTGTAAAATGAAGGCCTTGATGACTGGGAGGGAGCAGGCAGGGAATTAGGTGATCTACTTGTTGCAGTATTCTGGAGGATTGTTGGATTATGCCTTCTCTCTCTGTTCCAGCGGCAGAAGGTTTCCTTTTTAACCTTCTTACCTTTGTTTTCTACCCTAACCCCAAGGGGGATTCTTTGCTTGGTAGGAAAATGTAATGTATGAGCAGGGTGGTGCAGGAAAAGGCTGGGCTATATTTCACACTAGTTCATTTAAGCTGAAACTATGCAAAACACAGACTTATGCCAGCAAGCATTTTTCTGTGGAAAATCTAGTTGTTTTTTCACCTCCTAGAATGGCTCATGTTTCAGAGGAAGTGTGACCAAGTTCACATGCAACATGGATTATCTGCCTTAATATTTGAGATCAGTTTTTTGTAATTTGGAAAAATTTTAAACTACAGAAAAAAAAATCTGAGTCACAAAAAAGTTGAGAGAAGAATATGGTGAGCACACAATCTATACCCTTCACCTAGATTGACTTTTTATTAAAATTTTTACCATCTTTGTGCTGTCTTTGTACACACACATTTTCTACACACAAACACGTACACACATAATTTCTTTTTATGGTTGGAACACTTAAGTGTAAATTGTACACATCACAATATTTCAGCATTTATCTTCTGAGACTAAGAACATTCTCCTACATAACCCCCCATGCTATTATTGCACTTAGGAGAATTAATGATCATGTCAAGTATCAGCTAATGTCTATTCCATATTTAAATATACTAGAACTTTCAAGTATATTTGCAGATCTGGTGTGTTCACCTCCCTTCCCAACCTCAAATGGCTCTTTGCCTATTCTTGTTTCTTTCTTTTTTTGTTTTTTGATTGAAGATTATACTGCAGTTAGTTATGTCTCTTTTACTCTAAAACAGAACAGAAATATTATATTGTTTTTCGTGATATTGACTTTTGAAATCCAGGCGAGTTATTTGGTTGAAGGTCCTGCATTCTGGACTTGTCTGATTGTTTCCTCATTGTCTGATTCAATTCAGGATAAATTCTGGGGTATAGGTTAGGAGCTATTCTATACTACCCATTGTATCTCCTCAGGAGGGATCGTGTCCAGGTGTTGGTGATGCTGTTTGATAAGTTGGTGAAGCTGGCATCCACCTGATATTTCCATTGTAAAGGCTACATTTTGTTGTTATATGAGTAGATAATTTGTGGGATGATATGTCAAGATCACATGGATATTTTCTCCAGCAACCTTTCACCTGATGGTTTTAGCATCCATGATGATTCTTTGCTGAACCGGTTATTCTATTGATGTTTAAAAGGTGGCGATTTTTCTAATCCTATAATTTCTCCTGTATATATTGTCCAACATTCCTTGGTAAACAGAAACTTTCTTTCCTCTTCCCCCTTTTCTTTGTCTTTTAATCTTTTTTATCAACATAAATTACTGGATTTGCATACTTTAATTCTGTATTATACTCCATTACCAGTATGCCCTTACAGGCAAAGCGTCTCATAACTGGTCAGTGGGAGGGCTGGGCCTCAAGCTGGCTTCTCATTCTCAGCTTTCAGGTGCTCCTTGCTTTTGGCAAATTAGTTGTTCCAGGCTCACCTTGGACCGTTCCTGCCTTTGACCTGGAAATCACTTTTCCCCCCAACAAGAAGCTCTGATTCCTTTTATTTAGGAATGGTGCTTAGGAACAAAGCTCTGGGCACTGGCTTATTGTTACCAGGGTGTTACTGCTTCTCTGACTTTTCAGTGAAAAGAGCTGGGAAATATATAAACTTTAAAAAATTGAAAGTTCATAATAACATCTCCTTTTAAATTTAACATTACAGGATTTTTCTTTGTTTTTTAAATTTTGTGTCTCTCTCTGCGAAAATTTTGGTTGCTACATACATTAATATGTTTATGGGCCTTTATTTGATAGAATTGGAAGACCTCTGAAGGTATAAGAAAGAGCAAAAATGTTTAAAAAATAAATGAATAAATAGGCTGAGCGTGGTGGCTTACGCCTGTAATCCCAGCACTTTGGGATGCCGAGGCAGGCGGATCACCTGAGATCAGGAGTTCGAGACCAGCCTGGCCAACATGGTGAAACCCCATCTCTACTAAAAATACAAAAAAATTAGCCAGGCATGGTGGCCGTAACCTGTAATCCTAGCTACTCGGGAGGCTGAGGCAAGAGAATCGCTTGAACCCAGGAGCTGGAGGCTGCAGTGAGCCAAGATCACACCATTGCACTCCAGCTTGGGTGACAGAGCAAGACTCTGTCTCAAAAATAAAATAAAATAAAATAAATAAAATAAAATAATAAAATAAATTGGAATACCTTCTGATGTGCTTTGTGTTCTATTTTATCCCCCTTCCCATTAATAGACATGCTTTTTCTTTTTTTAAACATATAATATCCAAAAATACAGCCTTACATTTATCAGATAACAATGTGTAATATATATTTTACATATATAGTATAACATAATGTGTGTATTTTCTCAAAAGCTTGTGACAGATTTGAAAGGCCGACTTTGTTTTCTTGGTTTTATCGATGAGATAACTGAAGCTCTTGGTATTTAAGCAGTTTGTAGCTAAAAGGTGCTCAGGCCTGTCAGGTTTTAAATTCCTTGGCCTTTTCAGTGTTCTGAGCTGCCTCTTCTCATAATCTCACAGTCCTCTTTTGACATTTTCTTTTAGATTTTGTATTATCTTAAATCTCAGTGTTTTACTGTGACACAGAAAATGTTAGATGGCCTTAATCCTTTGCCCTATAACAAACCTTTTAGTTGCAAAAACTGTGAACATCTCAGTTATTTTTTTCCTTTCATTTCTAGTTGGCGTGTAGTAATTGTACATATTAGATACAGAGTGTTAGTTCAGTACATGTATATAATGTGTAATAATCAAATGAGGGTTTTATATCAATTTGTTGACTAAATTTAGTTAAGTGTACTAAGAAGCATTTTTACGAAAGCCCGGGAATAGAAGCTGTATTTTGAATTCTGTTACTCACCTTAACAGGCTGAATAATGGCCACCCAAAGAGATCTATTCCTAATCCCTGGAATTTGTAAATGTTACCTTATTTGGAAAAAGGGTCTTTGCAGATGTCATTAAATCAAGAATTTTGAGATGAAGATATTACTCTGGATTGTTTAGGTGGGCTCTAAATTCCATCACAAATGTCATTAGAAGATAGAGGCAAAGGGAGAGTTGACACAGAAACAGGGAAGAGGAAGAGACGGGGTGACCACAGAAGTAGAGGTTGGAGCGTTGCAGCCATAAACCGAGGAATGCCTGGAGTCACCAGATGCTGGAAGAGGCAAGAGGGGATTTTCCGCAAGAGCCTTTGGAGAGTCTGTGGCCGTACTGAACTCTTGATTTAGGGCTTCTCATCCCTAGAACTGTGATAGCATAAATTTTGTTGTGTTATTATGGGAATTTGTTTTGTTTATTTATTTATACTTATATTTTATTTTATTTTTAGACAAAGGGTCTTGCTCTGTTGCCCAGGCTGATCTCAAATTCCTAGGCTCAGGCTATCCTCCTGCTTTAGCTTCTGGAGTAGCAGGGATTACAGGCATGTGCCACTGAAATCAGGTATTTATATTTCTCTTTTTTTTTTTTTTGGAGATGGAGTCTTGCTCTGTTGCCCAGGCTGGGGTGCAGTGGCACGATCTCAGATCATTGCAACCTCTGCCTCCTAGTTCAAGTGATTCTCCTGCCTCAGCCTCCTGAGTAGCTGGGATTACAGGGGTCCGCCACCGTGCCCTACTAATTTTTGTATTTTTAGTAGAGACAGTGTTTTACCATGTTGGCCAGGCTGGTCTCGAACTTCTGATCTCAAGCAGCCCACCTGCCTTGGCCTCCCAAAGTGCTGGGATTATAGGTGTGAGCCACCGCACTCAGCCCCAGCTATTTATATTTTCTAATTGACAAAAGTTGAATATATTTATGATATGCAACATGATGTTTTGAAATATGTATACATTGTAGAATGGCTAAAGCAAGCTAATTAGCATGTCCATTACCTGATATACTTATTTCTTTTTGTATTGAGAACACTTAAAATCTACTCTTAGCAATTTTCAAGTATACAATATATGATTATTAAGTATAGTCAATATGTTGTACAATAGGTCTCTTGAGCTTACTCCTCTAACTAAAATTTTATATTGTTGGACCAACATCACTCCAGGGCCTTTCCCCATACTGTCCCCTTCCCCCAAGGGAGGCCCTGGCAACCACCAGTCTGCTCTCTGTTTCTATGAGTTTGACTTTTTTAGATTCCATGTGTAAGTGAGATCATGTAGTATTTGTCTTTCTGTGCCTGGCTTATTTCACTTAACATATTGTCCTTCAGGTTCATCCATATTGTCACAAGTGAGAGGATTGCCTTTTTAAAGGCTTAATAGTATTCCATTGTGTGCATGTATCACATTTTCTTCATCCGTTCATCTGTAATGGGCACTTGAGTTGATTGCATATCTTGGCTATGGTGAATAATGCTGCAGTGAACCTGTAAGTGCAGATGCCTCTTCAGTGTACCAGTTTTATTTTCCTGTTGTAATTTGTCACAGCAGCCCCAGGAAATGAATACACTCATGTAGCTGTTTTTTCCGGGACGTTAGAAAGCTTATAGTTGTGAAGAATTTTCTTTGCCAAGGGCCAGCCTGATCCGGAAAAAAACCTTTTTCTAGTGGTAGTTTTGGCTTGATCCAGACATTTTCCAGTCAGTGACCCCTGTTGTCAACTGTCTCTGTGAGGGCATGGCTGCTTCCTAAAGACTTCACCTATGTGTGGGCTGGGATGGAACTCTGGGCAGGGAATTTAAATGCCTGTGCACTTACGGCCTTAACACCTCCAGCTTGCTGAGAGAGGGATCCTGTTTTCTGTAGCACTCTTGTTTCTAGTGGAATGATGCATGAGTGCCTTGGGTACATTGGTCAGCCTTCCATGTTGGAGCTTCTCTCTGAACACTCTCCAGTTATTCAGCAGCTCTTTGGGAACCTCATCTCTGTGCTTGGCACAGTTGTGTATATTGAGGATAACATGGTGAATGGAAAAAAAAACACAGTGCTTGTTGCCCTCTTGGAGCTTCTAATTTAATGGAGCAGACAGGTATTCATCAGGGAGCCTGAAATAAATGTGAATTGATGTAGTGATACTGCTATGAAAGAGAGAGATGGTGTGAGTAACACCAAATAAGGGCTTCATTTGGACTGGGAAATTGGGAAGACTTTCCATGAGTGACATCTGAGTTGCAGGAGTTGGAGGTGGGAGTACAGAGGACAGAGAGTTGCAGGCAGAGGGAACAGCAGTTGTAAAGGTCCTGTGTTTTGAAATGCAGAGGCTGGCTTGCCTGGAGCATGGAAGTGCAGGGCATGGTGGTGGGAGAGGTGGGCTGTGCCCAGACTGTGTAGGGACTTGTACCTCATATTAAGGATTGGGGTTCTTTATCTTGAGAGTGCTGGAGAGCCATCAAAGGCTAATTTGAATGAGGGGATTGGCACGATTTGCCTGTGTAACAGCATACTTGCTGTTAATACTCTTTGTTGTGTTTAGACCTCCCTGCATTCCACTGTTTTAATCTACTTAATGATGGATTTAATCAATTTATGAAGTTCCGTAAGGGAGATGAGAGGAGACTTTGAGTGTCTAGGGCTGGAAGCCTTTTGTTTTTGGTGGGCCTTAATGAATGAAGAGGGCTTGTCCCAGCATTTGAGGAGGAGGTGGGACTCTAAGGACTTCTCAGGGCCTAGACCTTACTGTACCACGTAACTGAACTGTACCTTTTAGATTTGGTTGTGATTATTATTTTTTCATTCAAAATGAGAATAAAGCTTTGTATATCTTCTAAGTATAATTTTTATACATTGTTCATACAACTTACCTGTTAAGAGCAAGGTGAAAATTCTTCCTTTGATCTTTGCACACGTTCTATTTGTTGTTGTTACTGACTGTTATCTCGTTAAAGGGAGTCAAGGCTAAAGAACTGTCTTCACTTGTGACTGACCTTCTCACCTGGGAAGACCACATGGGACTAGAATAAGCTGGAGGTGTTGAGTGCCTGACTTACTGAGGGTTACGGGTACCAAGCACTGTCTGTGAGGTGGGCACCGGGTGGCTCAGGGATCCAGTTGGCTTGCTAGGGTCACAAAGGAATTTACCACACATATGTCTTTCATCTCCAGTGTGGAACCTCTTTGCACTCCATGTGCAAACAGAAGTTGGCACTTCTTTTGGAAAAGGGAATGTTAGATATCTCAGTTTGCTAGTGATGAAGCTGACAGATTCACCATACCGCCTTGTCAGCCCCCTGCCACTTTGTTGTACCAAAATGACAGCAATATAATCAAACCCTTAATTTTTTTTTTTTTTTTTGAGACAGAGTCTCAGGCTGGAGCACAGTGGGATGATCTCAGCTCACTGCAACCTCCCTTACTGGGCTCAAGCAATTCTCCTGCTTCAGCCTCCCCAGTAGCTGCGATTATAGGCATGCACCACCACACCCGGCTAATTTTTGTATTTTTAGTAAAGACGGGGTCTCCCCATGTTGGTCAGGCTTGTCTGGAATTCCTGACCTCAAGTGATCCACCTGCCTCAGCCCTCCCAAAGTGCTGGAATTACAGACGTGAGCCACTATGCCCGGCCTCAGATAATTCCTTTCTGTTCAGAGTAAAGAGATTGAGTCCTGGGACAGTTCCTGTTTTGATGCATGAAGAATAAAGGCATCAAAGAAGAAAAGATGAAAAAGAAATCTAAAGTTTAGAAATATGTGGCCTATATAAATAAAGCATGTTCTCTGCCTTTCCTATGTTTGCTATTCTTTTTCTGAGGAAAGAATATATGGCCTTTTAAAGATTTCACAAGGTGAAGGAGGATATAATAATGTTGATGATAAAATCATTTTTATATACCTGTTTTCATTTTGTGAGGCTGTCGTGATGAAATCCAGGCCTTGGCCACATGCTGGGAGTTAATGAGGTTTACAATTGGCAATACTTAAAGAATATTAGGGTAATATATTTAAACATCAGCAGTTCACAGCCTGAAGTGCTCATCATCTGTCAAGTTATAATACAGAATCAATAAGGGGAGGTCTTTCAATTTGCTAATGAGGAAAGTTTTCTATACTATTAGGGTAGACATAGATTTCAGATAAACATCTAAAATTCATAAACTATAGAATTTGGCGAAAGCATCTCTTCGATTAAAAAGAAACCTTGATAATAATCAATAGCAGTCACCTGAGAAGCTTAGATTTTCTTCTTAGTCATCAGACTCCCAAATTAATCTACCAAAACAAAAAGCCTCATTAACAGCTCTCATTGAATCAGTGTTATTTTTTCCTTTCTCTCAAGGTGTCTGATTAACCCCCTTTCTTTTTGCATTACTCACTTTGTGTTAATATTTGATGTCTGAAATCATGGGGCAGGGGAGGGGTTGTGCAATGTGGTGGCTAGACACTGTCTACAAGCAGTAAATTAAAAAGAATTTTTAAAAAGGTTTGTATTATGTTGCTGATGTATTAGAAAATCTCTAGGAATGTCAGGTGCCTGGGTTTTCTTTTTCTTTTTAATTTCAGAAAGGGTTGATTGCTGATTGGGTGCTGATTTTGCTTCTCATTCATATGTACAGATAGCGCTCCTCCTCCTCTTACCCAGCTCCTCTTGCTTACCAATCCAAGCCTTCTTTTGGAGAGTTTTATTGAAAAGGAAAGGTGAGAAATAAGGCCATAACTGGAGGGAAAAGGGAGGTTGAAGGAGGGTCTTTTCTAGGTGAATGCCAATGGGAAAGACTCACTTGAGAGTAGATAAGATTGACAATGTAGGAGAGAAAGGAAAGACATTCTGGAGCATTGTCTAGGAGGTTGGCCTCTTGTAAGAGCATGGAGAGTTCATCCAGAACACCTGACCTCAAAGTGTAGCCAGTGGACTCCTGGAAGTCCCTGAGAACTTTTCAGAAGTCCAGGAGGTCAAAACTATTTGCACAGTAGTAAAAGCATGATCTACCTTTTTCACCATGTTGATATTTGAGCTGAGGTTTCTAAAAGCAATAGTGCGTAAAACTTCTGGTGTCTTAACAGCAAATAAGGTTTTGTCTGAACATTGATGTCCCTCCAAAATTCATGTTGAAACCTAACCTGCATGGTGATAGTGTGAAGAGGTAGAACTTTGGGGAGGTGATTAGGTCATGAGGGCTCTGCTCTCACAGATAGGATTAGTACCTTTGTGAAGGAGGCTTGAGGGAATCTGTTTGCCCCTTCTGCCATGTGAGGATGGAGCAAGAAGGCACCATCTATGAAGGAGAAAGCTTTTACCAGACACCAGACCTGCTGCTGCCTTGATCTTGGACTTCCCAACTCCTAGAACTGTGAGCAGTAAATTCTGTTACTTATAAATTACCAAGTACTAGGATATTTTGTTATAATAACCTGAACAGAATAAGACAGACACCAATCCAAACAGAGTAAGCAATCATTATTTTCTTCATTACACATTCATCATCTTCGTCATACTGATTCTGCTTCAGAATGTCCTTGAAGAAGCAGTCAAAATCATTGATTTTATTAAATCTTGCTCTTGATTACACAAGATTACATTTTAAAATTCTGAGTAATTAAATGGCAAGTATGCATAAAGAACTCTTTAATGTAGTATGGTGGTTGTCTGAGGAAAAGTACTTGAGCAGTTGTTTTGAATTGCTAGTTGAGCTAGTCTTCTACTAGAGGATACGGGATACCATTCTTATTTGAAAGAATGACTTTTTTGAAAGATTTAAAATTTTCATGTTTCATCTTCCTAATACTTAAAGACTTTCTGATGTCATTGGTGGTGATGTTAATGAATGTGGCTTTTAAATATAGTTTAATGAAGTTTCCTAACATTTGGATGATCTGCATAATATAGAGAAACAGTATTTTCCCAGTTGACCGGTGTGCATGGTGTTACAAAATTATGCATGGGTAACAGATAGTTTGAAAAGTGCTCATAGACCCATGAATTTTAAGGTAACAGAGAGGAGAAAAGTTCACTGATACAGTTTCAGATTGCACATTGCCACTAGTCTTTAAGAAACTTTACTTGTTGGGATTTGGTGTTGTATCAAAGAAGAACATCCCCAGTTATCTAAAAAGGCCATTAAAATACTTCTTTCTTTTCTAACTATGAATCTGTGTGAGGCTGAAATCCTTTCATATTCTTCAACCAAAACAACATATTACAGCAGATTGAATGCAGCTGTTTTCCATTAAAGTCAGACATTTAAGAGATTTGTAAAGATATAAAACTGCTTTTCTCACTAAATTTTCTGTTTTAGAAAATATAGTTCTTTGGCTGGGTGTGCTGGCTCATGCCTGTAATCCCAGCACTTTGGGAGGCTGAGGCGGGAGGATCGCTTGAGGCCAGGAGTTTGAGACCAGCCTGGCTAACATAGCGAGACCCTGTCTCTACAATTAAAAAAAAAAAGGTATAGTTCTTTTTCATACAAATATATTTATATTACCATGTAATAGAGTTACTTTTTAATGAAATAAATATTTTCTAAATTTCCCAATTTTAATTTCTAGTATGGTAAATATGATAGCTATAATCCACATAAATAAAAGCTCTGTGGGGACCTCAACAATTTATAACTGTGTTAAGAGGTCCTGAGACCTAAAATTTTTGAGAAATGCTGAGCTAGAAGAGAAGATAGAGACTAGAGTAGAGAGAGAGTGTAGATGTAGTGGTGAGATTTGGGGACAGGTTGTCTTTTGGTTTCTTTGATTTTTTTCCAGGAAATAGATGAGATGGAGGTGCAGGTTGAGGTATTGGCAGTTTGTGGAGAGAGATTCGTATACTACATAGTTATCTAGAAGTGGGAGGGTGAATGTGTGAGGAACAGCATGATGGCTGGGCAGGACCCACTTGAGTGCTTACCTGAGGATTAGTGGTCATGAAATTTAAAGTGAGACCAGTTAGTGTGGCTGTATGTTTTTCAGATAAGGCCAGTCGTTCAGGCCCAGGTAGTAAGGGTTGGATGTAGCTAGGGTTGAGGTCATGGCCACTGAATAATCCAGAGTAGGTGAGGTTCCAGGGAGGTAGGTGCAGGGGCGTGCAAGGGAGTAATTATGATGATAGACTATAGATTTAGTCTGGGCAAGGAGCAAAGAGAGGACATTGGGTAGGACGCAATGAGGGATGGTGAGAAGGTGACATGCTTAATGAATTGTGAGTTTCAGCATGGTTGAAGGTTGTTGATCAATTGGGATGTGTTTATGAGGGACTGAACAGGAAGACTAGAATATAGTGGCCATAAAGTGAGATGCATGAAATTGAGAAAAAGGAGTTTTTGGTAATGGCAAGTAAAGTCTAGAGTGTGACCATGGGAGTGAGTGGCTGAGGAAGGATGAAAGAAAGGCCATCGGAGGAGATGAGTTAATGTAATTGGAGGCCTTAGTGTTTGAAGGATCAGTATATTGAAGGATAAGTATGTTGAAAATATTGAGAACTAAGATAGAAGTTGAGAGAGTGTCATCGAGCCAAGAGCTAAAATACGGGGTGAGAGGGGAATCCAGGGTTATTAGATCACAGAAACAAGAGGTATGCTGAGTGGTATAGTCAGATGATGGGAATATTTGAATGGGTGGGGGTTAGGAAGGAGAATATGGGATCTACCCAACCTGCTTATAGGCCTGGTGCAACCTAGGACTGCAAGAGGAAAGCTCATCCCTACACGTAAGAGGGGTCTACAGTGGAAGCATTGTCCTCAAGGGACAGCCAGGTATTGGTTAGAGCAAGAAAGTGAAGAGATATTTTATGGAAGGATTGAGGAGGAGATTTTGGTCACTATACACTGAATTCTAGAGAACACAGTTGGAGGGTTTCTGGGAGATGGTGACAGAATAGGCAAAGTCCAGGGCCTCTCAGGGATTAGACGTGAGTGGTAAAGGGTAACCTGGGTGTCCGGGACTGTTGGTCAAGGCTGACATTCACGGAATAAAGAGAAGAATGCAGTTAGTCCTGGTAGACTCCAGATTGTGCCTGCTGGTTGATAGGGATCTTTGCAGAGAGGCAAGGAAGCTTGGAGAGGGGCAACTTTTATTACTTAAAGAACTTTTAAAATAAAAATATTTTGTGAGCAGTAGCTCTGCTGTTTTTTTTTTTTTTTTTTTCCTAGATGGTTGGACCAAAGGATGAAGGAAATGAATAGTTACTGAGCATATATAGGGTTCCATATCTGGTGCTAACAATTTCCACCTGTTTTCTTATTTAATCTTCATACAAGACCTTAAAATAAATATTTTCACTGCCCATATTATAAAGGGAGGTGGAGAATTAGAGAGGTTAAATAATTTGCTCAAAGTCATATAGCTAATGAGTGGTGGAACTAGCATTTCGACCCAGTTCTTTCTGGCTTGTGCTCAATCTGCTCTACCATGAAACTTTCTATGCATAGAGAAGAATATTTAAAATTGAGCTTTGCACGAGAACTTTGCTTATGTCTTTGCTTAGAAGTTCTGATGGCCTTTGCAAGATTCTTTGCCCTTGAGACTAGTCATTTAGCCCTCATATTTGGCCAACATAAGGTGAATATAAAACCTCCATGAGAGGCTCTTCGTCACCCATACCCACACTTATGAAAAACTGGCCTTGCTTACCTCTTACTCTTTTTTTTTAAACTGAGGAGTAGTTTTTGGAACACTTTTCCCTTTTTACTGTTCTTATATTGAACCTTGAGTTACCATTGCGTATCATATTCTCAGAATAAGAATAAGTATCGTTACTGGGCCAACTTAATACCAACAGTTCTTCCATATTCTTCCCAGCATATGATGCTGCTTAGTGAATGCCTGAAAGAGCAAATACTGTTCTTTCCTCTTTCTTTGTTTGGTGTTAGTGTAGAAAGATAAGCTGGATTAATTGTTTGATTTGCTTGATCTAGACTGTAGGTGTTTAAAACATAAATCTAAAATTTTAAAGGAAAGGAAATCAAATGTAAGCTCTGTTTCCTAGCTACTTGAGAATCTGCTTCTTTACCACTGTCAGAATTAGAGGTACAGGATGTGGAGTTGCTTAAATTAAAACAGTCTTGTACTGAGCTATGAGGAATTCATGAAGCAAAACTGCTATAGTTTGAATGTGTCCTGAAAGTTCATGTGTTGGAAACTTAGTCTATTGCAACGGTGTTGGGAAGTGGGGACCTTTAAGAGATGAACATATTAATGCTTTTATCGCAGGCATGTGGTATGTGGGAGTGGGTTCTTTATCTCAGGAGTGGGTTTCTTATCAAAGGATGAGTTGGTCCTCTTCCCCGTCTCTTTCCCTTGCCCATGTGATGCCTTCCATCATGGGACAACCCAGCAAGAAAGCCCTCAATGTCAGTGCCTTGATCTTGGACTTCCAAATCCCACAACAGTGAGGAAGTAAATTTTTAAAATGAATTACTCAGTCTCAGGTAATTCTGTTCTAGAAGCATAAAATGGACTAAGACAAAAATGTTAGGAGATATAGTACCCAACTTTCCCATTGATTGTGGCATAATTGTGCCATGATTGTCAGTGAGTTGCTTCCTAGTAAATACAGTGAGATTCAGAGATTTTAATGAAGGTTTTTGAGAGTAAAGTAAGACTTCTCTTGCAATCTGATGTAAAGGTTTTGAGATCTTCAGTCTGGAATAAGCAAAAGGTGAAAGAAGATAACTGATGAAAGAACTTAATTGTCAGAAATTTTAGAGTAACTTAGTCTGAAATAAATGATATATGGTAAGGTAAAATGGCCTTCTGCTACAAATCTGAGACAACCTTGATACTTGAAAAATATAGATTAATTTCAGATTTGGTAACTCATTTAACAAATATATATTGACACCAACTATGTGCCAGGCACTGTTCTAAACAGTGTGCTTTTATATAGCAAACAGATAATGTAAACAAAAGATATATATAGATGATATAGAGGTAGGTTGTTATATTTATTAAAGTGCTATGGTCGATAAAGTGGTCAGGGAAGATCTCTCTGAAAAGTGACATTTGGGCAAAGACTTGAATGAAGGAGTAAGCCATGGGAGACCCTAGGGATTGAGCCTTCTCAATAGAGAAGAATAGAGGGGATAACAGGTGCAAAGAGCCTGAGAGGGGAGGGTGCTTGGCATGTTTGAGAAGCAGCAAAGAGACCAGCTAGTAGAGAGGGTTGATAGGAGAGTGAAAGAAGTATAAAATGTATCCCAGGGCCAGGTTATGTAGATGTTGTAGAATTGTATTTTGAGAGTAGTAGAAGTCATTGGAGGGTTTTGAGCATGGGAATAGCATGATCTGCATTACATTTTGAAAGGTTTTGCCTGGCTGATTTGAGAGAATGGGATGAAGTGGGTGACAGTGGAAGAAAGGGAAATTAGGACTGTGCTGCAGTAATCTGTGTAAAAGGTGATGGCAAGACTAGAGTTGAATGGTAAGAAGTGGTTGGATTTGGGATTTTATTGATGGATTAGATATGAAATATGGGGAATGGCGATATAAGCAAATGAGATAGGGAATGTTGGGGGAAGAGTAGGTTTGGAAGCAAAATTAAGAGTTCTTTAGGACATTAGAATATTGACCTCCCTGTTAAACATGCAATTAGAGAGGCAGGCTGTGAGATGTATGCTTAGAGATGAGAGTCAATGTAATTACTTATTTGGTCTGAGCCAATTCTCAGCATAAGGAGTTGGTGCTGTTGTAACTTCAGTGAGTTGTGTTTTGTAGGGTGGGGGAATTGGGGTCTTTTTTGTATTGATTATTATGAACTTACAGGTTTTTATATGTTTGTGTTTTAATTGCAATATCTCATCTTTGGCCAGTAGGAACCCTTTTATATTATCTCTTTTGTCCTTTTTGATATGATCCATTGATTTTTGGTAGCTTCCTTGTTTCTGGCAAAATAGGTTGTTATTTTATATATTTCCTGCCCTGAACCTGGAATCAGTTGCTCTGCTTGAATCTCCCCCTTTTTTAATTATTATTATATTTTAAGTTCTGGGATACATGTGCAGAACGTGCAGGTTTATTACATAGGTATACATGTGCCATGGTGGTTTGCTGCACCCATCAACCCAGCATCTACATTAGGTATTTCTCCTAATGCTATCCCTCCCCTTGCTCCCCACCCCCCGACAGGCCCCAGTGTGTGATGTTTCCCTCCTTGTGCGCATATGTTCTCATTGTTCGACTACCACTTATGAGTGCGAACATGCGGTGTTTGGTTTGCTGTTCCTATGTTAGTTTGCTGAGAATGGTGGTTTCCATCTTCATCCATGTCCCTGCAAAGGACATGAACTCATTCTTTCTTGTGGCTGCATAGTATTCTATGGTGTATATATGCCACATTTTCTTTATCCAGTCTGTCATTGACGAGCATTTAGGTTGGTTCCAAGTCTGCTATTGTGAATAGTACTGCCATAAACATACGTGTGCATGTGTTTTTATAGCAGAATGATTTGTAATCCTTTGGGTATATACCCAGTAATGAGATTGCTAGGTCAAATGGTATTTCTAGTTCTAGATTCTTGAGGAATCACCACACTGACTTCCACAATGGTTGAAGTGATTTACACTCCCACCAGCAATGTAAAAGCGTTCCTATTTCTCCACATCCTCTCCAGCATCTGTTGTTTCCTGACTTTTAATAATCTCCATTCTAACTGGCGTGAGATGGTATCTCACTGTGGTGTTGATTTCCATTTCTCTAATGACCAGTGATGATGAGCTTTTTTTCATATGTTTGTTGGATGATAAATGTCTTTTTTTCAGAAGTGTCTGTTCATATCTTTACCCACTTTTTGATGGGGTTGTTTTTATCTTGTAAATATATTTAAGTTCCTTGTAGATTCTGGATGTTAGTCCTTTGTCAGATGGATAAATTGCAAAATTTTTCTCCCATTCTGTAGGTTGCCTGTTCACTCTGATGATAGTTTCTTTCGCTGTGCAGAAGCTCTTTAGTTTAATTAGATCCCATTTGTCAATTTTGGCTTTTGTTGCCATTGCTTTTGGTATTTTAATCATGAAGTCTTTGCATATGCCTATGTCTGAATGGTATTGCCTAGGTTTTCTTCTAGGGTTTTTATGGTTTTATATCTTACATTTAAATCTTTACCATCCTGAGTTAATTTTTGTATACAGTGTAAGGAAGGGATCCAGTTTCAGTTTTCTGCATATGGTTAGCCAGTTTTCCCAACACCATTTATTAAATAGAGAATCCTTTCCCCGTTTCTTGTTTTTGTCAGGTTTGTCAAAGATCAGATGGTTGTAGATGTGTGGTGTTATTTCTGAGGCTTCTATTCTGTCCCATTGGTCTATATATCTGTTTTGGTACTAGTACCATGCTGTTTTGGTTACTGCAGCCTTATAGTGTAGTTTGAAGTCAGGTAGCATGATGCCTCCAGCTTTGTTCTTGTTGCTTAGGATTGTGTTGGCTATACGGGCTCTTTTTTGTTTCCATGTGAAATTTAAAGTAGTTTTTTCTAATTCTGTGAAGGAAGTCAATGGTAGTTTGATGGGAATAGCATTGAATCTATAAATTACTTTGGTCAGTGTGGCCATTTTCACGATATTGATTCTTCCTATCCATGGGCATGGAATGTTTTTCCATTTGTTTGTGTCCTCTCTTATTTTCTTGAGCAGCGGTTTGTAGTTCTCCTTGAAGAGGTCCTTCACATCCCTTGTAAGTTGTATTCCTAGGTATTTTATTCTTTTTGTAGCAATTGTGAATGGGAGTTTGCTCATGATCTGGCTCTCTGTCTTTTATTGGTGTATAGGCATGTTTGTGATTTTTGCACAAGAATTTTGTATCCTGAGACATTGCTGAAGTTGCTTATCAGCTTAAGGAGGTTTTGGGCTGAGACGATGGGGTTTTCTAAATATGCAATCATGTCATGTGCAAACAGAGATCATTTGACTTCCTCTCTTCCATTTAAATACCCTTTATTTCTTTCTCTTGCCTGATTGCCCTGGCCAGAACTTCCAATACTATTTTGAATAGGAGTGGTGAGAGAGGGCATCCTTGTCTTGTGCTGGTTTTCAAAGGGAATGCTTCCAGTTTTTGCCCATTTAGTATGATATTGGCTGTCCGTTTGTCGTAAATAGCTCTTATTCTTTTTGAGATACGTTCCATGAATACCTGGTTTATTGAGTGTTTTTACCATGAAGGGATGTTGAATTTTATCAAAGGCCTTTTCTGCATCTATTGAGCTAATCATGTGGTTTTTGTCATTGGTTCTGTTTATGTGATGAATTACGTTTATTGATTATCACGTATGTTGAACCAGCCTTGCATCCCAGGGATGAAGCCGACTTGATTATAGTAGATAAGCTTTTTAATGTGCAGCTGGATTTGGTTTGCCAGTATTTTATTGAGGATTTTCATATAAATGTTCATCAGGGATATTGGCCTGCAATTTTCTTTTTTTGTTGTGTCTCTGCCAGATTTTGGTATTAGGATGATGCTAGCCTCATAAAATGAGTTAGGGAGGAGTCCCTCTTTTTCTATTGTTTGGAATAGTTTCAGAAGGAATGGTACCAGCTCCTCTTTGTACCTCTGGTAGAATTTGGCTGTGAATCCATCTGGTCCTGGACTTTTTTTGGTTAGTAGGCTATTAATTACTGCCTCAATTTCAGAACTTGTTATTGATCTATTCAGGGATTCAACTTCTTCCTAATTTAGTCTTGGGAGGATGTATGTGTCCAGGAATTTATCCATTTCTTCTAGATTTTCTAGTTTATTTGTGTGGAAGTGTTTATAATATTCTCTGATGGTAGTTTGTATTTCTGTGGGATCAGTGGTGATCTCCCCTTTTTCATTTTTTATTGCATCTATTTGATTCTTCTCTCTTTTCTTCTTTATTAGTCTGGCTAGTGGTCTATCTATTTGGTTAATCTTTTCAAAAAACCAGCTCCTGGATTCATTGATTTTTTTTGAAGGGTATTTTGTGTCTGTGTCTCCTTCAGTTCTGCTCTGATCTTAGTTATTTCTTGTCTTCTGCTAGCTTTCGAATGTGTTTGCTCTTGCTTCTCTAGTTCTTTTAATTGTGATGGAGTGTCAATTTTAGATCTTTCCCGCCTTTTCCTATGGGCATTTAGTGCTATAAATTTCCCTCTAAACACTGCTTTAGCTGTGCCCCAGAGATTCTGGTACGTTGTGTCTTTGTTCTCATTTGTTTCAAAGAACTTATTTATTTCTGCCTTAATTTTGTTATTTACCCAGTAGTCATTCAGGAGCAGGTTGTTCAGTTTCCATGTAGTTGTGTGGTTTTGAGTGAATTTCTTGATCCTGAGTTCTACTTTGATTGCACTGTGGTCTGAGAGACTGTTTTGATTTCCATTCTTTTACATTTGCTGAGGAGTGTTTTACTTCCAATTATGTGGTCGATTTTAGAATAAGTGCTATGTGGTGCTGAGAAGAAGGTATATTCTTTTGATTTGGGGTGGAGAGTTCTATAGCTGTCTATTAGTTCTGCTTGGTACAGAGCTGACTTCAAGTTCTGAATATCCTTGTTAATTTTCTGTCTCTTTGATCTGTCTAATATGGACAGTGGGGTGTTAAAGTCTCCCACTATTATTGTGTGGGAGTCTGAGTCTCTTTGTAGGTCTCTAAGAACTTGCTTTATGAATCTGGGTACTCCTGTATGGGCTCCATATGTATTTAGGATAGCTAGCTCTTCTTGTCGGATTGATCCCTTTATCATTATATAATGCCCTTCTTTGTCTTTTTGGATCTCTGTTGGTTTAAAGTCTGTTTTATCAGAGACTAGGATTGCACCCCCTGCCTTTTTTTTGCTTTCCATTTGCTTGGCAAATATTCCTCCATCCCTTTATTTTGAGCCTGTGTGTCTTTGCATGTGAGATGGGTCACCTGAATATAGCACACCGACGGGTCTTGACTCTTTATCCCATTTGCCAGTCTGTGCCTTTGAATTGGGGCATTTAGCCCGTTTAAGGTTAATATTGTTATGTGTGAATTTGATCCTGTCATTATGATGCTTGCCATTTATTTTGCCCATTAGTTGATGCAGTTTCTTCATAGTGTCGATGGTTTTTACATTTTGGTTTGTTTTTGCAGTGGCTAGTACCAGTTTTTCCTTTCTATATTTAGTGCTTCCTTCAGGAGTTCTTGTAAGGCCGGCCTGGTGGTGACGATATCCCTCAGAATTTGCTTGTCTGTAAAGTATTTTATTTCTCCTTCACTTATGAAGCTTAGTTTGGCTGGATATGAAATTCTGGGTTGAAAATTATTTTCTTTAAGAATGTTGAATATTGGCCCCTACTCTCTTCTGGCTTTTAAGGTTTCTGCAGAGAGATTCACTGTTAGTCTGATGGGCTTCCCTTTGTGGGTAATCCGACCTTTCTTTCTGGAGCCCTTCTTTTTAGTAGGCAGTTGTATTTATAGACCACAATCTGGGGATTAGGTATGTTTCCTTCTTTTGAGTTGTCACTACTTTGAGACCTTTTGTTTTTCTCTTCTCTTTATTTATTATTATTATTTTGAGTTAGGGTTTTGCCCTGTTGTCCAGGCTGAAGTGTAGTGGTACAATCATGGCTCAATGCAGCCTCAACCGCCTGGGCTCAAGTGGTCCTCCTGCCTCAGCCTCCGGAGTTGCTGGGACCACAAGCACACACCACCATGGCTGGCTAAATTTTTAAATTTTTTGTAAAGATGGGGTTTCCCTGTGTTTCCCAGGCTGGTCTTAAACTTCTGGGCTCAAATGATCCCGCCACATTGGCCTCCCAAAGTGCTGGAACTACAAGTGTGAGCTACCGCACCTAGCTGATGCCTTTTCAATTCATTAGAGAAAAAATTTTCCATTCATGCTGATATTTCAAATGTAAAGATAAATTGACACAGTTAAATCCAAAGTAATTTTATTGTTTTGATTTTTCTATCTCCGCTCTTTCATTGAAAATCCTGGTTACCAGCAACATTCACAGTATTACATATTTGCCATGTGTAGGATATATCCAAAATAGTAACACCTTTATTGCTGCCAACAATTAGATACTGAATGAAGTTTAAGATTTCTTTTTAGTTCTGTTGTACTTAGACTGTGTTCCACAAAGTATATATAGTTAAAATACTGTATTCTAAAGTTATTGGAAAGAATTCATTTAATTCTGTGTGGTTTTGCCACCAACTTAATATATATATAGGGAGGTTCATTTTTTCAGTTTATTTTCAATTTTTAGGGATTGTCTTTTTTATTTTCAACTTAATTTAATTTTTGAGTATGTAAAACATATGTTTCCCAAATCAAAACTATACAACAGAAGGAAGGTATGCTCAGGGAAGTCTGTCTTAACATGCCCGTCCTTTTCACCCTGACTCTTCCTTCCTTTTTATAGGTCATTCTTTTTTGTATTAGTTTTTTGGTTTCTCCTCCCACAGGGTATTTTTTCCCCAAATATAAGTAAATTTATATGTGTATTTGTGTTCATCTTTCCTTCCCCATTCGTATCCAAAAGGCAGCTCTATCAACTCTATATACTATATATACGCTCCTTTGAGGGAGTGTGTATGTGTGTGTATATATGTAGTATATGTGCATGTGTACTAGGGTTTGCTCATGAAACAGATCCAATAGGGTATATATACACACACATATGTGGGTATATATGTATATTTATATAAAGAGAGACAAATACACATGTAAATGTACATGTAAATAATAAATGAAGACATTTATTATAAGGACTTGTCTCACATGACTGTGGAGGCTGAGAATTCCCAGTATCAGCTGTCTGCAAGCTGGAGATCTGGGAAAGCCAATGGTGTAATTCAGTTTGAGTCTAAAGACCTGAGAACCAGGGAGCCAATGGTGTACTTCCCAGTCTGAGAGCAGGAGTAGATCCATGTTCCAGCTCTAACACTCAGGTGGAGAAAGCAAGTTATCCCTTTCTCCACCTTTTTGGTTTATTCAGGACCTCAGTGGATTGGATGTTGCCTACCACATTGGGAGGGCAATCTGCTTTACCCAGACTGCCTATTTACATGCAAATCTCATCCAGAAACACCCATACAGACACACTCAGAAATAATGTTTAATCTGACTACCACATGTTGCTATCGAGGTAACACATAAAATTAACCATCACAGCATTTGTATAATGTTTGTCTCCAGGGAAGACAGACAGACAGACAGACATGCGCACACACACATACAGCACACACACACAGTTGCTTTTATCTCTTAGTCGTGTGTTTTGAAGATAATTCTATAAATATGTAAAGAAATCTTCCTCATTCCTTTTTATGGCTGCATAGTGTAAGCATATACATTTATAATTATTTTTCCAGTTTATTCCAATATCTGTTAAAGTTTACAGACCAGTGCTTTTAAGGTTTACATTATTTGGCTCATCAGGATCTTTTCCCAAACCATTTTAGGGCTGTTGTCAAAGAGCAATGGACAAACCCTAATGATGAGATGAACTTTACTCTCAGAATACCGTCTCACTTGCTCCTATGTTCTGCATTCCCTGCACCAAACACTTCCTATGCTGTCTGCTTCCCTGTCCACTCATACAGGAAAGGGCTTCGATGTTATAGAGTCACTCTTATTGCTCCTGCTAACTGCTGTCCTGATAACAATGGGTCTTTTGCATGGGAAAAGCATTATAGAGTGAAAGGATCACTGATAGCAGTCAAAAAAACACATTTTACTATGTCTTTTAAAATCTGTGGGATCTTAGACAAGTGACCTATCCCATGTGAGCCTGTTTTCTCATCTGATTAAATGGGGTTGTTACTTGCTCGGTGAATGCTTGTGTTGTCACCCAGTGAAATAAACTCCAGGGAAGTTTAGTTAGCTTTCCCTTCTCAATTTACCTGCAGATACTGTTTCAACATTCCTCTCTCCTCTCATTCCTTCCCTCTCTTATTCCTTTCCTCACCTCCTACTTTTCTTCCCCAATTCCTGGCATCTTTCCTGGTGGCAAACAGACCTTCCATGTGAAGAAAAACTCCTCATAATTGCACTTTCCTCTTCAGATTCTGCCCCATTTCTCTTCTTTCTGCAACACTCATCAAAAGCACTGTCTGTTCTGGCCCTTACAATTAATTCCTCTGCCCATTGATTCTTTTTTGAGATGGAGCCTTGCTCTGTTAGCCAGGCTGGAGTGCAGTGGCATGATCTCAGCTCACTGCAACCTCCGCCTCCCGGGTTCAAGCGATTCTTCTGCCTCAGCCTCCTGGGTAGCTGGAATAACAGGAGCATGGCACCATGCCCAGATAATTTTTGTATTTTTAGTAGAGACAGGGTTTCACCATGTTGTCCAGGCTGGTCTCAAACTCCTAGCCTCAAGTGATCCACCCACCTCTGCCTCCCAAAGTGCTGGGATTACAGGTGTGACCCACCGTGCCCAGCCTGCCCATTCATTCTTGAATCCACTCTCCCCAAGTTTCCTCTGCTGCTCTACTATGCTCTAATCTGCCCTTGTTACGATCTTCAAAGCAGAATCCAATGATAATATTAGTTCTCAGGTTAACACACTTGCCTCTTACCCCTTTTTGCAATACTCACTTCACGTTCATTATACCATGTTCCCTTGCATCCCTCAGACCTCACTGGTTCTCACATCTCTAGTTTTTCCTAACTACTTTTTGGGTGATCTTGTCCCATCTCATGGTGCTAAATACTTCATAACTTCTACTTTTATGTCTTCAGCCCTCTCCTCCCTGCTGCTTCTGTGAGAGTCCATTTGCGTACCTAATAGGCCCCTCAAATGTCACATGTCCTGACCTAGGCTCCTGAGCCTTCTCTCTCCAAGCATTCTTTCCTATTGCTTGCTCAGTAGATTCTGTCTTGCAGTTGCTCAGGCCCCAAACTCTAGGGACATCCTTGCTTCCTTCTTTTCTTTCACACCTCCCTTCAAATCTTACATCCAGTCTAGTTGGCCTCACTATCAGTATATGTATCGTCAGTACTCCCTCTGCCCAATTTCTTGGAAAGGTGACAGTAGCAGCAACTGCTGTTCAGGCTTCATGATACCAGCAAGGATAATACAAAAAAAGGAAGATGCTGGAAAGTTGACCAAGAAAGAGACCCAGTAAATAAGTCTGGACTCAAGTCCCCAAATAAAAAAAGATTCAAAGGCAAACTCTAAGACAAGCTCTGTTTTTGGTCTTGTTTCATAAAGTCATATAGAAAAAAAATATAAAGACGTTTCCAACTGTAGTTCATAACTGCTGTATTCATCTGTGAAGGATTGATGACTTGAGGCTCTCTGACCAGGGTGTCCAATAAGAAGTGCTTAGTAAAGACTCATCAGGTTGGTTTCCAACACACAGCCCACATTCAGTCTATACCCAAAATAGCAAAGATGGTGCTACACCAACTGCTAGTGAAGATGCTTCAAATGGGCAGTAAGATAGTAAATGTACACACCCCTGCAGGTCTGCTTCACTTTTATTTTCTTTCCAAGTACAGTTTCAAGAACAGTTTATTAAGTAAAGCAAAAAAATAGAAAAGAAAATAGTACGACTCAATCAGTTCACTCCATATCAATGCAAATTCAGATGCAATGCAACTGGTGATTGGTGTGTGGCTTCCAGTTGGCCAGTTCTGTAGAATCATTCCCACTGAGTGATTCAACACCCAATGATGTGACCCTGCATTTTACTTGATTTACTTTTTAAAAATTCTGCTCAGCATTATGGAGGATGTTACTCCATAACCAGACGCAGGCATGACCATCTCTCACCTGGATTATTGTAATAACTTCTCACCAAATCTTCTTGTGCAGCCAGAGTGATTCTGTTAAAATCTGAGTTGGATTATGTCACTCTCTGGCTCACAATCCTTTATGGCTCTCCATTTTCACTCAGAGTAAAAGCCAAAGCCCTTCTCGTGGCCAACAAGGCCTTGTGGTACTCTCTCCTTACGTTACCTCCCCAGCCCCTCACTTCATCTGCTGCTCTTTCCCTTAATTACTTTGTTCTGGTGACATTGGTCTTCTTGCCGCACCTTGAACACACCGTGCTTGCCGTGCTTGGTCCCACCTAGAGGCCTTGTACTTCCTCTTCCTTCTGTAAGGCACTTCCCCTAAGAATCTCACTCACTTCCTTTAGGGCTTTCTCATGGTGGTTATCTTGTATAATACATGTGGGTTTCATTAATTTTTTTTTTGTCTCCTCCTCTTTCCCACACACTTGACTGTAAGCTCCACGAAAGCAGGGATTTTTGTCTGTTTAGTTCACTGCTGAGTCAGCAGATCCTAGAACGTGGCTGGCACATAGTAGCACTCCATAAGTATTTGTCTAATTTGAATGGATTGAACACATAATGTTCCATGCACATGTGAGGTATTATCCAGAAGAGGTGGGATTCTTAGATTTCTCTCTATGGTTCCTTCTTTGAATTTTTACATGTTAAAATCTCTGCTGTCATTTTTCTCCCAGGACCACTGTAATATTTTATGGAGCCTCTTTTTTTTTTTTTGTAACAGGTCTAAAACTTTTAGCAAATCTTTTTTCTTCTCCTGTCTTCACTTTTCTCCTCCCCAAGTAGACTGCTTCCACAGTATTTTGGGGTTGTTCTAGTTTTTGTAAACTTTTTCTGAGGAATTCTTTGTGTTGAAAAAACCACCTATATATAGGATTAGATTCTCATATTTTTGAGAATCCTGCCCCATTCTTCAGCATCCTTACAAGGGACTGGACTCATGTCCCAAAGTGTTGGTGGATTCCAACCATTCGGCATGTCCTCGCTCATTTATGTCTTATGGTCTGGTAAGTTAACTGCCTTCTGCCGTAGAGTTAAGTAAAGACAGCCATGTCGCTGCTCTTTTAGTGAATTTTGGCTGTTCACATTATTCTTCAAGTTATTTAGAATATAACTTTTTAGATTCACTGAGGATATTGCATCTACTTGGGCAAAACCCTGAAAGCCCCTAAGGATTTAGCTGAACATGTAATTCATATTGAAACCCACCTTCTCTTGCCTTATGATTTTCTGATTCAGTACTTTCTTCTAGAGTTTTTTTTCTTTTTTTGAGACAGAGTCTCACTTTATCACCCAGGCTGGAGTGCAGTGGTGTGATCTCAGCTCACTGCAACCTCCGCCTCCTGGGTTCAAACAATTCTCCTGCCTCACTCAGCCTCCTGATTAGCTGGGATCACAGGCGTGTGTCACCACACCTGGCTAATTTTTATATTTTTGGTAGAGATGGGGTTCACCATGTTGGCTAGGTTAGTCTCGAACTCCTGATCTCAGATGATCCGCCCGCCTTAGCCTCCCAAGGTGCTGGGATTACAGGCGTGAGCCACCATGCCTGGCCTAGAGTTTTTTTTTTTTTTTTTGCTAAGTTAAGAAATAAAACAGTAACCAATTTCTGAAGGAAAAAGCATTAAAATATTGATGTTGCTTTTCTGCAATACTTATACCAAGAAAATGCAAGAGAGTCTCAAAAGTTGTGTAGCTTAATTTCCTCTTGCAAAAATATAAAGTACTCCCAACAGTTTCTAATTTTGATGATCTTTTACAATTACTGTTCTGTGTTGTAATGGCCTGCGTTTTAAAAAAGCTTGAAATTGTTAGGAGACCTTTAGACATAGAACTTGGTAAGAAGTGCAGAGATAGGATGGCATAGAATGGGGAAACATGCCAGATCAATTGGGACAGAAAATTTTTCTTAACTGCTTTTCAGCATTTATATAGGTTCTTCCATGAGCAAAATAAAATATGAACCTAAATAGAATGGGCTCAAACAGTCATAATAAACTCCTTTGGTTATTTTCAGAAAATCTATATTCACAGGTGGCCTGTGTTAATAGGTGAATTCATTGTATTTTGGTGTGGCTATTTGTATAACAAAACATGACTAAATATGAAAGATGTGTATGTCTTTTTCTTTACCAGATCTTGCGCCAGTTTTTAAGCAAGCAAATTATGTTCATGTAGTAAAATTTTAATCTGTATTGGGAATAGAGGTGGGAATAGTAGTATTCTGTTTACTGTGGATTTGGAGTAAAATCTAGAAATGCTACTTAATCAGCATATTGTAAGCAGAAATTACTTTTTGTCTTTTTTACAAAAAATGGACATGAGAGCTCACTCCGTTGCCCAGGCTGGTCTCAAACTCCTGGGCTCAAGCGACCCTCCCACGTTAGCCTTCCGAGCAGCTGAGAACAGAGGCACGTGCAATTGTGCCCAGCTTTAGAAATCACTTTTTATTTTAATTCTTATTTGTAACATTTCATAAGGTATTAGGCTACTTTTCCCAGTCACTACCGTTTATACAATTTAGTTTTAATTTCTTAAAATTTTATTTGAAATTGTAGAATGTCTTAATCATTCAGAATGTGAATTGTCATGGAGGTGTCAGAGATGCAATTTAATTTCTCCTGATAGCAGTATATCTTGAAAATATTTTGCTTAAAGATTTATTTATCCTTGCTGTCAATTTGTTTCTTATAATTTGCCTCATAGAAACATTCATTCAAAACAGAGTGCTGAAACCAAAATGGAATATACAATTAAAACCAAATAATTTTTTTCCTGCTAACTACTTCCCAGCCCCCAGACTGAACTCGTGATTGAGGTTCTATTTACTTTTGCAAACAGATGAATATTTTTGGAGCAGTGGAGGTAGGAGCATGGTACCTAAGTCCAAGTTGCACCATTTTGTGTGGCTGTTTCTTTCTTATTTTGCATTAGGAAACAGGTGCAAGAAAAAGAAAAAAAATTCCACTTCATCATCGTAGTAGTATCTGGAATCTCATTCCCCATAACCAAGAAGAACTCATTTATTCTTGGCCACCCTCTCTCTTTTGTTATTCTAAGTTGACTGTGGACAGCTTTGATGCTGCCCCTGAACTTCTATGAGTCCCCCTGCCCTTGCTGCCAGGATTTTAGAATCTACCCTTCTCCTATACTAGGAGTGGTAAGAAAATAAATTCGGGTAGTAGTGCCATTTGATGATTCATTTTCTTTTTATATGTGTCCTTTAAAATTAACATTGACAATTTGGAGCCCCTTTGTAATGTGGATGATAGAGGAAAAGCTGTGATTGCTTATAGGCTGAATTTAGGTTCATCTGAAATTATGATGTATCTCAGAAACATCATAATTCCTTGGTTTGGGAGTGGTAATAGGATTAGGACTGTTGAGACTGTAGAAAAAGCACATTGTTTTTCTTAGATGTGGATGCTTGTTTGGGGTGGTGTAGGCTGATGGAGAGTATTTGAGACAGCGGCTACTCTTTCTTTTTTTTTTTTTTTTCCCAGCTGCTACTCTCAATGCAGACATTGCTCTAGAACACCCTGTATAAACTATATATTGCCACATCTAAACCATATAGTACTTCATTAAATTTTGAACATTTAAAATATTTTAACTATATGAGACAACTATGTGGTGCATGTGTTAATTAGCTTGATTGTGATAATCATTTTTCAATGTATATGTATATAAAAATAACACATTGTACACTTTAAATGTATACAATTTTTGTCAATTATATGTCAATAAAGCTGTAAAAAAATTTTAGATAATGCACAATGGATCCCATACTTTGTATTTATTCCTATATACCTTGATTTTTAAGCACCTTATTCTTTAAGTTCATTTTGTTGCCGAATTTGAGTGCATTCTCCCTAGTCCTTATTAAAGAGGGTACAATAATCTTTCATCTGAGATACAATTGATGGAATTATTTTATAGGATCGAGTACATTTTAAAGCCTAATCTTTCTTTGCTTACATTGAATATTATGACCATAATATTATGAAATGTTATTCTGAAACTTGGTCTGAGTTCTCTTACGTCATCAGAAATTTCTGCAAATTCAATCTGAAATCAACACATGGGCACTTTTTTTTTCTTTTTTATGGTCTTAAATACAGAAAATCATAATCTATTTTAAGCTTAGATAAATGATGGAACACTTGTTTACATGGGTAAAATGACTCTATCTAAGTAGTATATTGAAGTTCATGTTAATGTTTGCTATTTAATGACACCTAATGATATTCAGTGAAGGGTTATGCTAAACCGGAGAGAAAATGTGTTACCCAGGCAACTGCCTCTGGCAGACTAGAGATTCGGGCATATGGCTCTATAGTACACATTATTTCAGCATCTTTAAGCATAAAGAACCACACATGTAATTGACTGTGAAAAATTACTGCTCAGTTACTGTATTGTATGGTCATAATAGAAGTAAATGAATACGTCATTGTTGTTGGAACAAGTCTGTTGGGAATCACTTGTAGACTCTACTATTTAAGAAGCAAAAATACAATAAGAAGAAAATAGCTGGTTTAATTAACATGTAAAAATTGGGTTAATTTGAATTCAGCTGGCACAGCAGATATTAATGTTGGCTTTTTTTTGTGATATTCTGGCTCAAGCCTGGGTATTTTTATTTCTTCTTGCCCACACCATGAATAATTTTATTTCTTAAAATGATAAGGGCTATTTCAGTCATTTAATTTTTGCTTTGCCAGGGACTTTTATTACAGTCACATCAAGAGAGGTTTTGTGTGTATCCAAAATGTAGGAATTACAGTTGAATGAAAGAAAATGCCAAAATGTTCCCGAGTAATTGATAATGTTTCTCAAAGAGGAATCAGTATAATTTTGATTTCATGTATTTTTTAAAAATTTTAGTTTACTGCTGATGTATTTTTATTTTTTTAACAGTGACAAACTAGGAATTGATCAACGGCAGATGCAAGAAAATAGCATGTTCTTGTCACTTTTTGTGTGCCTATGCTTATGTGCCTTTTGTTCGTTTTAGAATATTGTTTTAATCATCATTACCTTGCTTCAGAGATTCAGAAAAACCTATTGAGAAAGGCATTGTGTTCCAATTAAAAAATCGTTTAGCTCAATCAATTTTTGGTATTTTAAAATGTTATTTGAGCTGAGAACAAACATAGGTAATATGGGCATTAACTAAAAGTATGTATGGGAACATTCTGTTCCTTGGGCTGTGCCTTCGGTACCCTGTAGGTACTTTTGTGCTTTTCAGCCCTAAATCAAGGGAATGATCAAACTGGAGACTATGGTTAGAGAAGTGAAGGATTTGGCAGTGTGTGCCCTTGCATGCAGGCCAGTCTTTCTGTCCTTGGGTGCATTCAAAGTACCTGGTTATCCAGTGGTAATGAGAATAAACCAACATGCTGCTTTATATAGTGTAGGCCAGTATACGCTGACAAATTCATATGCCTGCTGGCTTTTCAGTTACTGATTTCTTATTTGTGGTTTCCCCACTATCCTTCTTCATTTGCCATTTTAATAACATTGAGACCTTTTTATCCAGCCTTAATTAGTAGAACAAAGAAAGATTTAGGAAACCTAGGTTTTTAAATCTGCTTTATTTGCCTTAATCAGTTTTCCATCATGGTTTACAATTACTTTTCCCTTTTTTCCTCAATGGTCTTTCTTTACCTCTTTTGATTTCCTCCTGCTTTGAAGGCAATACGTAATTTAAAATGAGGTATTTATGGTGTTTTTTGTTTGTTTAAACTTAGTAGACTTTTCCTTTAAAAAGAAGTCTTTGGTAGATCTCAAAATATCCATGATGTAATTAAAATGCAGACTATTTGTCATGCACATTATTAAATTCTGCTCTCAGTGTTGGTAATTATACAAAATAGGAACAATGTAGTATAATAAGATAGCTTTTCGGGGTTTTTAAATGATGTCTACTAGTATTTAAGAAATAAAGGATATTTATCTAAAGAATTGTGGAGATGGTGAATATGATTTGTCTCTAGTTTTAAAAGCTTGTAGGCTTGTAGTGGTTCTTTTCCTTGATGTAGAATCATCTTTGTAGGGATTGGCCGTGATCGGAGCATTTTTGTGACTTGAAGGTTAAAAGAGAGGTTGAGGGAGGTGGCAAGGACACTGGGGCAGATTCTCCTCATCTCATTGAGTAATGGTTATTTTACAGGGAGGGAAAGAATAAATGGGGTATAGGAAGAGTAAAGACATTTTCTAGTGTTACTTGAATTAACTACGTACTAGCAAGTGAGAACTAGAAAAGGGATGAATCATACCTGTCAAATGTGCTTGATCCATCTTATAAGAAAGAGAATGTTGGAGGTATAAGAATACCCCAGTAAATCCCCCTGGTTGGCACAGTCAGCCTTGGGCAACTTGACTGCTGTTTGGAGTCAGCTGCAAGGCGATGGGCTGCCAAGTAGAGCTGGCAGTATGGACAGATCACTTACTGAGTTAAGCTCACAATTACGAGAGCCTATATATATATATATATACTTTTGCCAATATGGAGGCAGTGATATATGCAGAGGTGATATTTATAGGCCAAATTTGTGATAACGATACAGTAAAATTGCCAATAAAAATCTTTAATAGGTTTTTAAAGCCAGGCAGTAGCCTGCTTGTTTGAACAATATTCAATCTGCCAGATTTCACTGGAGCCAATGAATTTAAATAGGCCCTTGGCAAACACTGCAGCGAGATTTGAACCAGAGTACATAGTAGAGCTGAAGAGCCCTGCTGGCCTCAGAACACATGCACTCCAGGGAATGCCAAGGTCCTTTCTGGAGCCAGGGTGGGCACAGAATGGCTGCCTGTAACCTAAAATGGAAGAAAACAGGATTTTAGAATGAAAGGCATCCGAGAAAAGCACCTTTTATGGAACAAGAAAGGATATCTGTTCCAACTTGTCCAACAAGGTCATTCAGCCAGTTAGGCAAAGGTAAGACCCTATAGGACTCAGCTTCTGTCCACCTTATTCCTGATGGTTTTTAGAAGATTGGGTAATCACTCATTGTCTCTTTTCAGATCAGATTAGAAACAATAGTCATGAATTTGCATAATTGGAGTCGTGAGTCTTCGTTTGTGTGCTTGCTGACCATCAACTAACATATTAAATAAAAATCTTTACTTAGGAGCATCCTCTTCATCTGCCTAACTGGTAGTTTCCATATCCTCAGTGACTTCCAAGCCTCAGAGTCTGTGCCTGTGACTGCCATAGCCCCTGGCCACTGGGCCTCCTCTTGATGGGGAGGGGCTGAGCAGCTCCTGGGCTTTAAAAACTGCTTGCTGTGACTTCCAGGACAGGACCCCCCCAGACCCCACGTAATTAAGCCTTAACAGCTGTTTAGAAAATGTATCCCAGATTTGACTGCTCCTTGGTTCTCTTGCTACGACCCAGGTTTAGCCTACTGTAGCCGCTTCTAACTGGGCTCACTGCTTCACCCGGCGGCCCGTGCTCCACAGTGTCTTGAGTGTTCTTCGTAACCTTTCTAACTCTGAGGCGAGTCACATCACTCCCCTGCATAAAACCCTTCAACAGCAGCTGATTTCCCTAGGAATAAAATCCAGGCATCCTTTTATGCCCGGCACCTCCCTCATCCTCATCCCCTTTCCCTTCCCCTGCCTTCTCTACTCTCCAGCTGCTCGAGGTCTCCCTGCCCTTTGGAACTTAACAAGGGTGGCCTGCTTTGGGCGCTGGCACTGATGTTTCTCCTCACATCCCTGTCCTCCAACTCTTTTCCTGGCCGCTGCTTTTCACCATTCAGATCTCAATACCTCCTCACCAGAGGCTTTTCCTGACCGCTTTAGGCAAAGTAGCCTTATCTCCCAACCCCATTACTCTCCTGAAGTTGATTTTCAAGCCTGGCTATGTAGTACAATCACTTGAGAAGTTTAAAAAAAAACCAAATGAGTGTTTAGGCCCCTCTACAGACCAATGAAATAGAGTATCTGGGGCTGAGAAGCATGATTCCAAGGCGTTGCTCTATTTTACCCTATGCAGTGGTTGTCTAATTCTGGAATTTTTATGTATGCATGTGCTCATCCTCCACCCATCTGCAAATGTGGTTCCTTGAGGACATAGATGTTGTCAATTTTGAGGTATCCTTAGTGCCTGGGGCATGGCTTATCATATAATAGGAACAGGGTACACATTTGCTTTGTTATCAAAAAGAGTCAGACTCTGGGGCCGGTGTGGTTGCTCACACCTGTAATCCCAGCACTTTGGGAGGCTGAGGCGGGTGGATCACCTGAGGTCAGGAGTTTGAGGCCAGCCTGGCCAACATGGTGAAACCCTGTCTCTACTAAAAATACAAAAATTAGCCGGGGATGGTGGCGCACGCCTGTAATCCCCAGCTTCTCAGGAGGCTGAGGCAGGAGAATTGCTTGAACCCGGGAGGCAGAGGTTGCAGTGAGCCGAGATCACGCCATTGCACTCCAGCCTGGGCAACAAGAGTGAGACTCCGTCTCAAAAAAAAAAGAGTCAGACTGTAAAATATTGGAAGAGATTTATTCTGAGCCAGGTATGAGTGACCATGGCCTGTGACACAGCCCTCAGGAGATCCTGAGAACATGTGCCCAAGGTGGTCGGGGTGCAGCTTGGTTTTACACATTTTAGGGAGACATGAGATTTCAATCAATTACATTTAAGAAATACATTGATTCTGTCCAGAAAGGTGGGACAACTCGAAGTGGGGCGAAGGCTTCCAGGTTATAGGTAGAGTTAAACATTTTCTGGTTGACAATTGGTTGGAGTTTACCTAAAGACCTGGGATTATTAGAAAGGAAATGTCTGGGTTCAGATAAGGTATTGTAGAGACCAAAGTGTTCATTGTACAGATGAAGCCCTTAGGTAGCAGGCTTCAGAGGGAATAGATTGTGAATATTTCTTATCAGACTTAAGATATAATGAGACATGTCCAACCCCCACTTCCCGTCATGGCCAGAAACAGTCTTTTAGGTTAAATTTGAAGAGTGCCTTGGCTAAGAAGGAAGTCCATCAAGGGGTCTTAGAATTTTATTTTTGGTTTACAGCTTGGTTGCCTGAATAATGTGTATTTGCAAGGAATATGGGCGGGAAAGAGAAGAGCTATAAAAGCCAAAAGCTATTAAAAGATGTTAAAAATCATGGAGACCAAAGCTTTGGATAAATTTGGATAAACTGGTGATCACAGGAGAGTCCAGTTCCAGATTTTTCTTAACACCCACATATACTTGTGTGGTCTGATGGTTAGAACTGTGTTTTTGGAGTTAGATTTTACTTTCATCTCTGCCATTGACCCTGGACAATTGCTTGGCTTCTGCTGTAACACACAGAAGAGGTATAAGGAGAAGTTATTTTTGTGAAGTACTCTTGTGGTTAGGAACCTTCAGTAAAAGTGGTAATTGGATTTTGATGGTACATTGTCTACAACCAAACTTCCTGAAGTATGAACAGAACAATTCCTATGTGCTGTTGCTTAAACTTTCGTAGCCACAGAGTTGGCCTGGAGATAGGAGCCAGGCAGGAGATGAAAGGGATCACATGGGGTCTAAGCCTCTGCTGAGTGAGAATAAGCGAGGACAGAGAGGAGGAGAAGAACTGGAGGTTGTCCGTTAGTGTGATTCTTTCAGATCCTTTGTTTCTTTTTTCAATTTGTCTTCCTCTCCCCAAATCTCTTATATAGTCCTCCTGCCACTATCTAAGTTGAGGACTTTGCTATTTTGTTTCATATGAATTTTTATTTTTTTCTTACTGTAAGAACAGTGCAGTATGTATATTATTGAAAGGATTAGAAAATATGGACAAGCAGAAAAAAATCTTAAATTTCTAACAATTTAACCACCTAGAGATGATATCCACTGCCAACACTTTGGTGTGCCTTCTTCAGACTTTGTGTGTATGCAAAATATTATTGTCCATTTTTAAGAAACAAATAATTTTCTACACATCATTGTGTAAATGACTTTTTACTTACTACCATGGATTTGTTTATAACACTTTTTAGTGGTTGGATAGTATCCTGCATATCAATGTTCTGTATTCAGTCCATCACATATTGTTGTATATTGAGGTTGTTTGTACTTTTTTCACCATTACCAGCAGTGCTGGGTAAATATCCTTGTAGATTAAAGTTTGCACGCATTTATGAATTATTTTTTAGGATAAACTCCTAGAAGTGCAATTGTGGTGGCTGAGGAGTAAAGAGGTGTTTTTTTGTTTTTGTTTTTTTCTAACTGCTTCTTGTGGGGCAGGGCTAACCCATAGGCTACCCAGAGTGGCCATAAAGACATCTTTGAGACTCTTGCTGTGTTGTCAAATTGTTCTCCGGAGATGCTGCACTCCCAGCCCTTGGTATAAAGTGCCTTTCTTTCTTTCTTTCTTTCTTTCTTTCTTTCTTTCTTTCTTTCTTTCTTTCTTTCTTTCTTTCTTTCCTTTCTTTCTTTTCTTTTCTTTTCTTTCCCTCCCCTCCCCTCCCCTCCCCTCCCCTCTCCTCTCCTTTCGGCTTTCGTAGCTCTTCCCTGGATTCTGCCATCGCATCTCCTCAACTCTGGTCTCTTCCCCTTAAGTTCATTTAACACTCCTCTGTCAGATTAAATGTTCTGATGCACAAATTGATCACATCACTAAAATTATCAGATCTTGGTCTACCATCACAGGACCTCATAATCAGGATGTGAGCAACTTTGTAGGGTTTTTTTCTTTCTTTTCTTTTTTTTTTTTTCTAGTAGATGGTGTCTCACTCTGTAGCCCAGGCTGGAGTGCAGTGGTGCAGTCATAGCTCACTGCAGTCTTGAACTCCTGGACTCAAGTGATCCTTCTGCCTTGGCCTCCCAAAGTGCTGGAATTATAGACATGAGCTGCCACACCCAACCCCGGCACTGTATTTTCTGTTCTAGTTTTCCTCCAGCAAATATGGATTTCTTGTGATTCTTCATCTCTGGTCTTCCTTCCTTGGTACCTGGCTTACCTTCTGCCCCTCTGGACCACCATTTCTGGGGAGCAGAGATTGCGTCCCTAGAACTGCCCTCTGCCAAACATGTAGAATAGGCATTGAAGTCAAACTGCAGCTGGTGGACTCTCCTCCCGCATCTCCCATCTTTACTTGATCACATTTCACTTTTATTGCAAGACTGAGTTCATGTTCACCAAACACATCTTCCTTCTGGTGTCATGTGTTCGCAATTTCAGTAAGGCTTTCTCCATCTCCTTTCACTCAACATGACAGTAATCTTTCCCTCCTCTGAATTCATTGAGTCATTTATTTCCAGTTCTCTTATGTTACTTAACCTACTTTTTCCATAATATCACAATTTTTAGTCTGTATTCTCTATTATATTTCAGATATCTCCAGGCTAAGTGCTATCCCTTGCAAAGCTGGGGGGAGGAGGGACCTAAAGTTACGCTACAGTGAAGAAGCACCATCATCATTTTGGTATATATCTTGTAGTACCTTTCCACATATGTGATAAATGATTAATATTTACATTGTGTAAGCATAGCATACAGATGCAATTCACTTTTCAACTCTTTCTTCTTTGGCCCAGTATTTTATAGTACTACGCAGTGCTTTGGCTATTTTATTATTACTTGGACTATAAAGGAGTTACAAAGTCGCTACTGTTATAAATGGCTTCCAGAAGGAGAACAGCAGCTCTAATGCTTTGTAAAACAAAAATGACTTGCTTACAGAAAATATCTAGTAGCATCAGAACCATGAAATAGAGTAGTTAGAAACCTACCCTCCCCTAATCTCTGAGTGGTATAGGCCTGTGGAAATGTGACTTGTACATTTGCTTTCATGTTAGCTGACCCATGTTCTACTATTAGTTCCTGCAGATAAGTGTGGTGGCAAATACTGTTCCTTAGATTCTAGTCATAGAGTTAATCAGAGCTGCATGATTCATTTTAAAGGGAATCTAACATTGTCAAAGAAGTTCTGGGAGTTGCGGGTGGAAAAGGAACTAAGTGAGTTCACCAGCCAGGTCTGAACTTGATTAAGCTTGAATTCTTTGTTGTAACTTACGTTAATGCTCATTAAATCTGTAAAGCAAGACGGAAGCACTGTTTGTCTATATATATATATGTATATACATATATATATATAAACATTTTTAGGTATCATGCTGTAAAGTAATATAGTACTACATAATTATTCTCATGGCCTTCTAGTCAGATTACCTTGAAAATCCAAAATGATCTTGGTGAACAATAATACATTATGATTTTATGGTTCATCTATATACCTCCTGCATAGATGTATAATACTCATATCTAACAGGATTACCAAATTACATACCTTTTGGTATCAGTAACATGCCTGAAATACCAGAGTATTTATTGGCTATTCTCAGTTATGAAACATTAACATTGCCAGACAAGGCTTTGTATATACATACATACATATATATATATATATATATATATATATATAAAATATATAGTCATATATATAATATATATTATATATATGTCTTTATATATTATAAGCTTTGCATATGTATATGGTCTCCTATATATGCTTTTTTTATATAAGCCTTTTATATATATTAAGCCTTTCTTTATTCAGACCATGAAACCAAAAACATCCCTTTTCTAGATAACGCATAGTGTGATTCTATTTAATGAACCTAATGTCTGTGAAGGGGTAATTAAGCAAATATGATTGTTTTCGGCCTCAACAAACTGCCAGCAAGTTCCCCTGGAGAGCAGCACTGTGTGGCTGCGTGGCTGTGGGTGCCTGCTCAGCAGGGTTGGGGGATGTGAGGAGGCGTGGCGACTGGGAAGCAAAGGGCCAGAAACACATTTGTCTTCTGTCCGGCTTCAGAAGTCTATAGTGTGGCGGGCCTGTCGGTGAATTCCTCAAGGTCTTCTTTTATTACAGCATGTCTTAAAAGGAAAAGGAAAAGGAAACATCTCTAAATGAAATGCTTGTGGGCACTTTTATTCACAGCTTTAAGTAACCTTTCTTTAAAAACTGCCAGATCTGTGTTTCCAATCTTGGCCTCTATATTAGTTTCCTCAGGCTGCTGTAACAAAGTACTCTACCGCAAACTGGGAAGCTTTAAAAAAAAAAACAAATTAGTTGTCCTAAGTTCTGGAGGCTAGACATCCAAGGTGGAGGTTCAGCAGGGTTGGTTTCTTCTGAGGGCTGTAAGGGAGAATCTGTTCCGTGCTTCTTTCCTGTCTTCTGGTGGTGGGCGGGCAACCTTTGGTGTTCCTTGGCTTGAAGAAGCGTCACCCTGATCTCTATGTTCATCTTTACTTGGTTTTCTCCTTGTGTGCATGTCTGTTTTTAAATTTCCCTGTTTTATAAAAAAGACTCCAGTCATATTGGATTAGGTGCCTGCCCTACTCCACTATGATCTCATCTTAACTAGTTCCATTTGCAGCTACCCTATTTCCAAATAAAGTCACATTCTGAGGTTCTAGGGGTTGGGATTTTTGGGGACGGGGGACACAGTTCTGCCCATACCAGCATCTCTCTTGAGTCCATTGGGTCTCTTTTGGCTTCTGGCTGGACACTGTACTACATGTCCCACTGTTACCTCAAACACAGTCACAGTTGGTTACATTCTCCCACAGGTCCCTTCTTTCCAATTTTTACCTTTTTTTCTTTTTTCTTGTTTATCTTTGGTGGTGGTATCATCATCCCACTCAGTTATCCAAGTTGGAAATGTTGGGAACATCCTGGCCTGTTTCCTTGGCCTTGGCCTCCAACATCCAGTCCTAACCACATTTTATAATTTCTGCCTCTGCTGTGTTTCTCTAGCCTTTCTTCTGCTTCCATTCCTAGGGCCCCCACTCAGGTTTAGAACCCTGTGATCCCTGGCTGCCAGGCTGTCTCCCACATCTCATCTCTCCTTTAAATTCATCTTCCACACCAGTTCTTTTTCTAAAACAAAGTTTTGAATGTGACATTTCTTAATCCAGAAACTGAGTGATTTTTAACTGTCTGAAAAAAAAGTCAAGATTCTGTTGCTTGGCCCTTAAGGTCCACCCTAGGTGGCTGGCATCTCGCTCTTGCCAGTCTTTTGCTCCTCATGACCTGCTAGATGGAGAATTGGTAACTCCTACATGCTTCTCCAAATACAGCACATCCATTTGTTTTCATCTCTGTACTTTGCTTCCCCAGTGTAGAATGTCCTCTCTCTACCCTTCCCTCCTCTCTCCATTGTCACCAAACCAAAGTCGGTCCATTTGCCTGCACAAAATGGAAAGCCAAACACAAAGCACCAGTTTTTTGCAGCAAGAAAGTTTATTGCCAGGCAACTGAGTAAGGGGAGAGGAGTCACACTCAAGTTTGACTTTCTCTACCAGCCTTACAGCCATAGATTTAAGGGAGGGCTTCTGAGTGTGGAGTTTAGGTGGTGAACAGTGATTAGTGATTGGCTGAAAGGAAAGGGGGTTTGGAAAGTGTCTTGGGCATGCTGTTGCCCTTCCATGCTGCTTCATGGGTTGCACCTTTGGACAGTGGTGGCATTAGCTTGAACTGAGGGTGAGTTTTTGGCCCTCTAACGTCAAAAGGTTACTCAACAGGAGAAGAAGTCTATTCTGCCCAGACTCCAGTCAGCTATGTTGGTTCCAACCAGCCTCAGTCTGTCAGCCAATTTTGTGGCAAACAGAGAGAACTGTAACAAATGGTTTTCTTCTCTGCTGTCCTGCAAGACAAGCTTAATAAATTTTTGTTAGTTACCAAATTCTTTAATCCTGTGGGGCATGGTTTCACCATCTTCCCACAGCAGTTGGAATTCTACCCAGGTTAAATGGAAGCCAGGAGACCTGGTTTTCAGGCCAAAATGTCAGAAGCCAGTTGTTTTGCCTAACCCAGGTCATTAACTTTTTCCAGTTTCCGTTTCCTCACAAGTAAAATGAGGAGGTTGAAGTAGATAATCCCTAAGATCTTCTCAGCTTTAAAATTTGTTCTTCAAATACCATGCCGCCATGAAGCAGTCCCCAACTCTTCCAGGCAGAATAATTCACCCCTTTTATGCCCCTTAGTGCTTTACTTTTTCTTTTACAGTTAACTCTTAATTTCTAGTGGTTATGTGTGCTCATGACTATCTCCCCTTCCTCCAAACAGCTGGTGGTAAGCTCCTGGAGTTCAGCCAGGAATGCTTGACTCATATTTGCCCCCCTTCTTGCCTCCTACGCAGAGTCTCGGTGAGAGAGACCTTAGTAGAGGATAAAATGTCCTTGGGAAGTACTCCCCTGTAACACATGCTCTTCCTGAGTGTTCCCAGGCATTGAGAAGCATGTGTTTTGGATGGTTAATGATACAGAGATGCTATATTGAACACACTGCGTTTTTCCTTTCTTTGTAGCATTATTGTAATTGGGTGACATTCTGGGAAACAGCTAAGTTCACTTTGTAACAGTTTTTATAAAAATGTGTTCTCTCTATAGGATGTTTAGAAGTAACTAAGTTTTCTGTAAAATATATGAAAACCATTCCTATTTTCTTCCTCCTTCCATATCCTCCGGAAACTTGGAGTATCTCAATGTATCATTAAAGTATTTGGATACTTAAAATAGCAGTTGTTAAAAAATAAAATCTAGGAAAGCTTTTATGGACCCATTTCCTCTTTGGAAGTCAAAACGTCCTTGGCCTCTCATGTTCTTCCTAAAGCTTAGATTTGACCCACATTTTGACCTTCGGAAAGTTAAAGTCACTCCTTTTTCCTAGAGAAGAATGACCAGGCCCTTTTCTTTCTTCAAGGCCACCTCTGGTCCTATATTTCTAATCTTATTTTACATTGTTCTTTTATGCACTCCACTGTCCAGACAAAATCTGTCACTCATCAGTTTCCCTGTACACTCCTTAGCTTTCTTGCATTAGCCTTCTGCCTGAAGTGCCCTCTAGTCTACACCCATTACCGCATATCCAAGTTGTACTCATTTTTTAAGGCCTAGCTCAAATGCCATTTCTGCCACAAAGACTTTTATTACCATACTAGTTCTTGTGTTATGATTTGTCCTTCCTCTATACACTAGTCTGTTTCTAGACCAGTGCTGTCTGCCTCACTAGACTAGAAGTCCCTTGGGGTCATGTTTCATGTATCATTTATCTGTATTCCCCTTGTACTAGCCCTAGGTCAATTCACAGGTGGTCAGTAAATACCAGTAGTGAATCAATATCTGTGAACCGTTTTTTGCATGGTGTATAAGGATACTAATGCATAACAAAGTTGCTCTATTTTGCTGTTAGGCAGTCACATCTTAGTCTAAAGTATCTGCACTTTTATTATAGAACCCAAAAACATGCCTGAAGGAAGACTGAAACATATATGATGCTGGATAAAACAGTTATATTTGAAATTATAATGTATTTAGTGTGTAACTTCATGGTCAATGCTGTCATGTCTTTTAGATTCTGTGCATTATTATTTCAGTCCACTATATGTAAAAGTAAATGCTAAATGTTTATAAATGTTTTCAGTTTGAATTTTATGTTTTGGCAGTGATATCTTATTTTTTCCCTCAGTGTATGTTTGTATATGCTTCTGTTTTCCACAAGCTACTGACTTTTGCTTTATGTTTGTTTTATGTTGCAGATTAATATCTTTTCAAGAATTTGTTGCCTTTGAATCTGTCCTGTGTGCCCCTGATGCTTTGTTTATGGTAGCCTTTCAGCTGTTTGACAAAGCTGGCAAAGGAGAAGTAACTTTTGGTAAGAAGCATGCTTCTGTGCACGTCTGTGTAAGTGTGGACTTGTGTGAGCATTTTCTTTTTTTTTTTTCTAGGAACAAAATAAAGTGTATGGAAATTCTTTATAGAAGATAGTATATCCCTTTTAGTAAAGATACTTCAATGTTTTGGAGCTCCAGTTCAAACATCTTCCTATTCGAAAAAAACAAGTTTCTGGCTTAGTAGTTTTGATACTCTGATTTAGTTTTAAGGTGAGGGAGATGTGGCATGACTGTTTTCATAGAGTCATAGCATGTGAGAGCCAGACAGGACTTCTGTTTCTTCCCTGCATCATCAGTAGTGCTTTCCACTGATAGAACGAAGAAGTGAATAATCTGCCTACACACAGAAGTTACTTATGCACCCTATACTTCTTGTCTTCACGTTGTTCCCATGGAGTAGTTTGCGGCCAGAGCTGCTGCACAAGATGGTGGTTCAGAATGGTACATGAAGGACCTTGTTCTAAACAACCCCCGCTCCCCCGACCTGACTGCTGTGCTGGCAGTGTCTGCTCTCCTGTGGCCTTCTTTATTTTGCAAGGCACAAACATCATCATGGGAATTAGCTACAAAGCTGCAGAAAACCCTGATGTTTTTCAAATTCTTAGAAGAAAGGGAAGGCTTGGAAGTGGTGGGACAGTGGTAAGTTATTTTTTAAAAAACTGGCTACTAAGGACAGATTTAACGGAAAGTACCATGTTTCCCTTGGACTCTGTGGTGTCCAGCATATGTTGTCTCTGCATGCAAATCTGCAGTAGCATTGCTCATGAAGAATTTTGGAGCCCTTTAGGCATGTGGATTGTGCTTTCATGAGAGATGGCTTTAAAGATTAGGGAGAATGTGGCATGACTGTTTTCATAGCGTCATAGAACGTGAGACCCAGACAGGACTTCTGCCTGTCTTGTGCTTGGCATGTGCCCATTTTAAGTGTCTCTATTCATAGTTTCTAATTCATTCAGACCTTTGGGACTTGTCTTATTTGATGTATTGTGGAAAACATACAGATATGGGAAAAATACAGATGGTGTAACAGTGTTGCTTCCAGAATCAGATAAGCTTAGCCCCTTCCAGCTCTGCTGCTGTTGTCTCTGAGCCAAATTAGTGATCCTCTCCAGTCCTCATTTATCTTATCAAGAAGTGAATATAATAATTAGATAAAGTATTGGTAAGATAGTATAATAGATTTATTGTGCCAACCCCCTTCGCCATTCCGTCATACTCATTTGGCATGACAGAATTAAAGGTTAAATCATCTTGAGCAAAGACAAAAAATTATATACTTGCCCGGTTTCTAGAAGATCAGATGCTTTCCATTAATACTTCATGAGGATTATTTAATATTTACAGATCCTCAGAAGAAATTTATTTCCATCACCCAGTTCCTCTTAGCACCACTGCAACCACAACTTTTCAATGGAATACCAATTTTTAGAAAGTCCCCATTTAAATCTTCAAGTAATGAGTAAGCAGCTAGCTCATGGTGTTATTGATTTACTCAATGGAAGCGAGTTTGGTGACATTGTTATAATAGCGTTTCCTGGGGATGAACAGAGGAAAGCCTGTGAGTGTAAGCATGTTCAGCATAGGTGTGTTCTGTCTTGTCCTCCTACTTTCCCCAGCAAGTCTGGATGTGAGGAATGGAAGAGAGTTCGATTTGATATTAGAGGACTGAGAAATGGGCTTCAGGTAGTTCCTTGATATAGATCCATCTTCCCTTCATGCGTGTGAAGTGGCAAGGGATATTGGTGACACCAGCTTTACCACTGGTCCTAGAAAGACGTAGGAGACTTCCACCATTGCAGGGCAAAGTGTGTGTGTTAGTGTGATTAGAAGAAAATGATAGTGAAGAAGCAGGATGTAGGAAACAAGAGCTGTCTTTGAATTGTAGAAGGCATAGTTGCATAAGGATTTTGTTTCTGCTTCTTACTAGCTGAAGGACAAGTCATTTCAACCCTCTGAGCTTTATTTTCCTCATCTCTAAAATCGGGGTAATAACTACTTTACAGGACTATGTAAGGATTAAAAGATTCACTGCATAAAAGGCACTGTCTGAAAAACAAAGGCCTTTATACAAATAGTGATACTAAAAGAAATAGCCTAAAAGAGGAAAAGATTTTCTGTTTTTTTTTTTTTTTTTCATTTTTCTTTGGGAAGCCCTTTTTTTTAAAATTTTTTTAAATTTTTTTTTTTTAACGTAAGTTCAGGGGTACATGTGCAGGTTTACTATATAGGTAAATTTGTGTCACAGGGGTTTGTTGTACAAATTATTTCATTACTCAGATATTAAACCTAGTACCCATTAGTTATTTTTCCTGATTCTCTCCCTCCTCCCACCTTCTACCCTCCACCCTCTGGTAGGCCGTAATGTCTATTATTCCTCTCTGTGTCCTTGTGTTCTTATCACTTAGCTCCCACATATACATGAGAATGTTTGGTTTTTGGTTTTCTGTTCCCACATTAGTTTGCTAAGGATAATGGCCTCCAGCTCCATCCAAGTTCCTGTAGAGGACATGATCTCGTTGTTTTTTTTAATGACTGCATAGTATTCCATGGTGTATATGTACCACATTTTCTTTATCCAGTCTATCATTAATGGGCATTTAGGTTGATGCCATGTCTTTGCTATTGTGAATAGTGCTACGGTGAACATATGTGTGCATGTGTTTTTATGACAGAATGTTTATATTTCTTTGGGTATATACCCAGTAATGGGATTGTGGGTTGAAGGATAATTCTGTTTTTAGGTCTTTGAGGAATCACCACACTGTTTTCCACAGTGGTTGAACTAATTTACACTCCTACCAGCATTTACACTCCTACCAGCAGTGTATAAATGTTCCTTTTTCTCTGCAACCTTGCTAGCACCAGCTATTTTTTGACTTTTTAATAGTAACCATTCTGATTAGTGTGAGATGGTATCTAGTTGTAGTTTTGATTTGCATTTCTCTAATTACCAGTGATGTTGAGCCTTTTTCCATATGCTTCTTGGCCGCGTATATGTGTTCTTTTGAAAATATCTGTTCATGTTGTTTGCCTACTTTTTTCTTTTCTTTTTTTTTTTTGAGACAGAGTCTCACTCTGTCACCCAGGTTGGAATGCAGTGGCACAATCTCGGCTCAGTGCAACCTCCACCTCCTGGGTTCAAGCAGTTCTCCTGCCTGAGTTTCTCGAGTGCCTGGGACTACAGGCGCGCACCACCACGTCTGGCTAATTTTGTATTTTTAGTAGAGACGTGGTTTTACCATATTGGTCAGGATGGTCTCAAACTCCTGACCTCAGGTGATTCACCCGCCTCAGCCTCCCAAACTGCTGGGATTACAGGCATGAGACACCACGCCTGGCCTTTCCCCCACTTTTTAATGGGGTTGTTTTTTCCTGGTAAATTTAAGTTCCTTATAGTTAGTTGCTGGATATTAGACCTTTGTCAGATGCATAGTTTGCAAAAATTTTCTCCCATTCTGTAGGGTGTCTGTTTACTCTCTTGATAGTTGCTTTTGCTGTGCAGAATGCCCTTTAGTTAATTAGGTCCCATTTGTCAATTTTTGTTTTTATTGCAATTGCTTTTGGTGTCTTTGTCATGAAATCTTTGCCCATTCCACTCTCCAGAGTGGTATTGCCTAGGTTGTCTTCCAAGAATATAGCTTTGAGTTTTACACTTAAGTGTTGTTTGTTTTTCAGATGAACTCTTGCTCTATTGCCCAGGCTGGAGTGCAGTGGTATGATCTCGGCTCACTGCAACCTCTGCTTACCAGGCTCAAGTAATTATTGTGCCTCAGCCTCCCAAGTAGCTGGGAGTATAGGCATGCACCACCATGCCTGGCTGATTTTTTGTATTTTTCAGTAGAGACAGGGTTTCACCATGTTGGCGAAGCTGGTCTCGAACTCTTGACCTCAAGTGATCCACCCACCTTGGCCTCCCAAAGTGTTGGGATTACAGGTGTGAACCGTCATGTCTGGCCACATTTAAGTCTTTAATCCATTTCAAGTTTATTTTTGTATATGGCGTAAGGAAGGGGTCCAGTTTCAGTCTTCTGCATATGGCTAGCCAATTAACCCAGCATCGTTTATTGAATACAGAATCCTTTCCCCATTGCTTGTTTTTGTCAGTTTTCTTGAAGATCAGATAGTTGTAGGTGTACAGCCTTACTTCTGTTTATAAGTATCTTGAGATATCAACAGGTATATGACAGGGTGTTGGTATGACTGGTAAATTCTAGTTAATTTGTGATTCTGTATGTGAGGAGAAAAAATTAAATGTTTCCATTTGTATTTTTAGCCTATTGTATGTGACAGTGATTTTTTAAAGTACACTTTGTTGAATGACAGCATACATGCAGAAGAATATACAAATGGTGTTAAGTGTACATCTTTCTGAACTTTTACATCTGGATCTGCTTACCACGAGCCAGATCAGAAAGAGGATGGTACCAGCAGTTTAGAGGTCTCATCCCAGTCACTGTTCCCCAATCCCAATGGTAACAACTGACATTTATCACTATCAATTGGTTTTGCCTGTTTTTAAACTTAATTTAATTGGAACTATATAGAATGTACTCTTTTGGTCTGGCTTCCTTTGTTCATTTTATTTGTGAGATTAATCCATGTCGCATGTATTTTTTGTTTTTCTTCACTGTATTGAATTCCATTATGTGACTCTATCCTAATTTATTTATCCATTCTATTGTTGATAAACATTTTGGAACATTTTCATTTTTGGCTGCTGCAAGCAATATGCTTTTGACATTGCTTTACATATTTTTTGGTGTGTATAGACATTTCTAGGAATAGACTTGCTCGGTCACAGAAAATATGTATATTTAGCTTCAGTAGAGCTTGCTAAAATGTTTTCCAAAGTAATGGTGTGTCTGGAATTGGTGGGTTCTTGGTCTCACTGACTTCAAGGATGAAGCTGCGGACCCTCGTGGTGAGTGTTACAGTTCTTAAAGATGGTGTGTCCAGAGTTTGTTCCTTCTTATGTTTGGATGTGTTCGGAGTTTCTTCCTTCTGGTGGGTTCGTGGTCTCGCTGGCTTCAGGAGTGAAGCTGCAGACTTTCGCTGTGAGTGTTACAGCTCTTTAGGTGGCGCTTCTGGAGTTGTTCATTCCTCCCGTCCAGAGTTGTTCATACCTCCCGGTGGGTTCGTGGTGTCGCTGGCCTCAGGAGTAAAGCTGCAGACCTTCATGGTGAGTGTTATAGCTCATAAAGGCAATGCGGACCCAAAGAGTGAGCAGCAGCAAGATTTATTGTGAAGAGCAAAAGAACAAAAGCTTCCACAGCGTGGAAGGGGACCAGAGCAGGTTGCCACTGCTGGTTCGGGCAGCCTGCTTTTATTCCCTTATCTGCCCCACCCACATCCTGCTGATTGGTCCATTTTACAGAGAGCTGATTGGTCTGTTTTACAGAGAGCTGATTGGTCCATTTTGACAGAGTGCTGATTGGTGCATTTACAATCCCTGAGCTAGACACAGAGTGCTGATTGGTGCATTTACAATCCTCTAGCTAGACATAAAAGTTCTCCAAGTGCCCATCAGATTAGCTAGATACAGAGTGCTGATTGGAGCATATACAATCCTCCTGCTAGACATAAAAGTTCTCCGAGTCCCCACCCGACTCAGGAGCCCAGCTGGCTTCACCTAGTAGATCCCGCACTGGGGCTGCGGGCGGAGCTGCCCATCAGTCCCACGCCATGCGCCTGCACTCCTCAGCCCTTGGGTGGTCGGTGGGACCTGGGCGCTGCGGAGCAGGGGGCGGCACCCGTTGGGGAGGCTCAGGCTGCATGGGAGCCCACGGGGTTGGGGGGACTTGGGCATGGCGGGCTCCAGCTCCTGACAGCCCTGCCCCGCCGGGAGTCAGCTGAGGCCCGGTGAGAATTCGAGTGCAGCGTGGGTGGGCCAGGAGTGCTGGGGGACCCAGCACACCCTCCACAGCTGCTGGCATAGGTGCTAAGCCCCTCAGTGCCCAGGGCTGGCGGTGCTGGCCATCCACTCCGAGTGCAGGGCCCGCGGAGCCCACGCCCACCCAGAACTCACGCTGGCCCACGAGCACTGTGGGCAGCCACGGTTCCTGCCCACACGGTCTATCTCCACACCTCCCTGCAAGCAGAGGGAGCTGGCTCTGGCCTCGGCCCAGAGAGGGGCTCCCACAGTGCAGTGGCAGGCTGAAGGGCTCCTCAAGTGTGGCCAGAGTGGGCGCCGAGGCCGAGGAGGCGCCTAGAGCGAGCGAGGACTGCCAGCACATTGTCACCTCTCAGTGGTACCAGTTAACACTCATGCCATCATTGCATGATGGTTTTATTTTAGATCTTTGCCAGTTGGTATCAGCCATTTTTATTTTAGTGATATCTCACTGTGTGGCTTCAATGAGCATTTATTTCCCTGATTCCTAATGGGTTATATGACATTTTTCCATATTTATTGGCCATTTGGCTATCTTCTTCAGTCATGTGCGTATTTTCTGGATACAAGACCTCTGAGGGTTATATGTTTCACAGATTCTTTACTCTGTGACTTGCACTGTAACTCATTTGAGTCTTGAGGAACATAAGTTTCTAATTTTAATGTAGTACAAATTATCAGCATTTTCTTTTGTGGATAGCTCTTTTTGTGTCCTGTTTAAAAAATCTAGGCCAGGCACAGTGATTCCCACCTGTAATCCCAGCACTTTGGGAGGCCAAGGCGGGTGGATCACCTGAGGTCAGGAGTTTGAAACCAGCCTGTCCAACACAGTGAAACCCTGTCTTTAGTAAAAATACAAAAATGAGCTGGGTGTGGTGGCAGCACCTGTAATCCCAGCTACTCAGGAGGCTGAGGCAGGAGAATCGCTTGAACCCAGGAGGCAAAGGTTACAGTGAGCCGACATCATGCCATTGCACTCCAGCCTGGGTGACAAGAGCGAAACTCTGGCTCAAAACAGAAAAAAAAAATTCTTTGTTTTCCTCCGGGTCAGGAAGATATTCTCCTATGTTATCTTCCAGAAGTTTGCTTTCCTTTCAGATTTACATTTTAATCTTTCTAGAATTTGTTATATTTTTGCATGGTACTAAAGGTAAAGGTCAAGATTCTTCCCTGGCCCTCTTCCCCAAGGATATGTCGATTGCCTGGCACCATTTATTAAAAAGATGGTTCTTTTCTTTATTGCACTGCAGTGGTACTACTATCATAAATCCAGTATGGGACTGTATCTGAATGCTCCATTCTTTTTACATTATTGTATATTCTCCGCTAATACTATACTATCTTAATTACTACAGCTTTATAAGTCATATCTGGTTAGGTTTTCAACTTTATTCTTTAAGATTATCTCGGCTATTCTTGGCCCTATTCACTATCAAAACAATTTTAGAGTAAGTCATTAATTTCCACAAACATCCTGCTGGGATTTCACATGCTATTGCCTTGAATATGTATAATATCTATATGTATATGTATAAATAAATGTTTTATTCCTTTAAGAATTTTTAAAGTTTTTAAATAAAAGTTTATTTAATAACAAGTGTTAGTCTGTCTATATCTCACTACTCTGGAAATTTTGAGTTGATGAACACTACAAATTTTGAAAGAGAAAGGAACACATCTATGTTATTTGTTATCTAAAGATGCTGGTGCATGTGTACAATTTTGCAGATAGGACTACTGCCAAGGATGAATCAGTGCTAAGTACCTCAGAAGGAAGGTAGTAGAAACGTGAGCTGAATTTTATATTTGAGATAACAAATAAGTATTACCTTCTTAAAAGTTCATAAATATTTCAATAGATATATTTTACTACATATTGAATATAATACATTTAAAGAAACTTCAGAATTATGTGAGTTGGAATGTTACCAATACTGTCAAATTTTGGTTACCATAGTGGATGGGAGGGGTATTCAAAGGGAGTAAATCATGGTGGAAGACAAGCAGGGTAAGAAGAGGAAAGAAAAAATGATATTAATTGCCTAGTCATTTGTAACCAAAGCAGAGAAATAATAAATAAGGGAATAAGCTGTCATTATATTAATTATAAATCTGTGCTATTATGTGAGGAGACATTTACACAAATTTGTTTTTGAAATTTAAGGTCTTTTCTCTTTAAACTTAGTGTTTCGAATGTCAACATAGTTTTCTTTTTCTTTCTTTTCTTTTTTATGGTGTTATTTTTTATACTAGATCACGGGTGGCAAACATTTTCTATAAGGGTAAGATAGTAAATGTGTTGGTGCAGTCCCTGTGGAAAATAGTTATGGAGATTCTGACAAAAATTTACAAATAGAAGTACCATATGATCCACCAATCTCACTTCTGGATATTTATCCAAAAATCAGGATCTCAAAGAGGTATCAGAACTCTCATGTTCATCGCAGCACTGTTCGCAACAGCCAAATGTGGAAATGACCTAAATGCCCATCCACAGCTGAATGGGTAAAGAAAATTTATATACATAGAATATTATTCAGCCATAAAGTCCTGCCATACATGACAACATGAATGAACCTTGAGGACACTACGAGTGAAATAAGCCAGCCACAGAAGACAAATATTACATGATTCTACTTATATGAGACACCTGAAATAGGCAGATTCATAGAATCAAAGAGTGGTGGCTACCAGGGGCTGTGAGGAGGGGGAATGGGGATTTACTAATCAGCCGGCATAAAGTTTTGGTTAAGCAAGATGAGTAAGTTCTAGAAATCTCCTGCACAACATTGTGCTGATAGTTAACGATATTATTTTGTACACTTAAAAATCTATTAAGGGTAGATCTCATGTTAAGTGTTTTTTTCCACCAAAAAAAAAAGATTTTATTTTCATTTTTTGAAAGAGGTGAGGTAATTGGTCGTGTAGATATGGGGATGGAGGAGGGGAGACTGTCGCAGGCAGAAAATAATAGCCATTTCCCGGGTTCTAAGCGCGGAGTCTGTTTGATACATTTGAGGAACGTTTTAGGGAGAGAGACTATAAACAAATACAAAAAATATGATGTCAGAATATCCTGTTTGTATGTAAAGCAGGCTAAGTGGGTAGAAAGCATGGAAGCTATCTGAGCAGATCTAGAGGAGTGACCAAAGATGCATTAATACTGAACTGGCATGATATGGGCTTTGTATTCCATGAAGGGTTGGAGCTGTGGGGGTCTGGAAGTGATGGCCACTTTGGAAGTGCCACAAACAGTGGAGGCTGGGAATAACAGAGGCCTGGACTGGAGTCATATCTCGGGACCCCACCTGGGCCATTCCTTTTTTTTTTCTTTCTTGGTTTCTTTCTTTTTTTTTTTTCTTTTGAAACAAGGTCTGTCACCCAGGCTGGAGTGATCTGGGTTCACTGCAGCCTCAACATGCCTGACTCAAGTGATCCTTCCACCTTAGCGTCCTGAGTAGCTGGGACTACAGGTGGCGCTACCATGTCCAGCTAACTTTATTTTTATTTTCGTAAAGGTGAGTTTAACTATGTTGCCCAGACTAATCTCAAACTCCTAGGCTCAAGCAATCCTCCCGCCTTGGCTTCCCAAGATGCTAGGATTACAGGCATGAGCCACTGCACACTGGGCTGTTCCTGAGAGCTAATCTGTATGACTTGGCTCCCGATTGGCCATGGGTGAGAGGAAGGGGGCCAAAGGAAAGGAAGAAGAACCAGGTGGTAGCTACTGGTCTTGTTCTGTTCCCAAGATATGTGGTTTTACATAATCTCATGAGAGAAGTAAGGTAACCATCATTTTTATTTTAAAATACATGCCAACCTCTGGGCTAAGTATTTTTGGTATAATTTATTATTTAATTATTGTAGCCTAGAAGGTCTATACTATTATAATTCTCATTTTCTGTAGAGGAAATAGACATGGGGAAGTTGAGTAAGTGGCCACAGTCATAGTGTTGCCTGTGATGGAGCTGGGAGAGCAGCCTGATCCTGGCTGACTGTTCTTCACTGTGCCACACTGCCTCCCTCTGGTGTTGATACTCATGCTTTTGGAGCAAGCCCACTGTAATCCAGATAGGTGTCAGTTAGCCCATTGTGGTCTCAGTCTGTATCAGACATTAGAAGGATTTAATATTTTTCATGAAGTAAAGAACAATAGGCAAATGCATTAGTTACGATTTTTTTTCACTATGGTGGAAAGTAATAAGGAAGAGAACGTACCTGGCTTAGAGTTACCAGTGTACATAGAAAGTTGCCTTGGTTCCAGCTATCTGGATAACTTGTTGAGATGCACACGATGTGAGTTTTACCCAGAAAAGCTTTATCTTTTGATATGAACAGAATTCTGACTGAAGGGGAGAATCACAGGACGATAGGGAAGGGTGAGGAGATGGTCTGTGTCCAGGTTGAGGATAGAGGGGAACCATAGTAGAGGAGGCCCTTGATTGAGGGGTGCAGCTTAAGAGACCTGAGTACTTGGGAGGGTGGTTGTCAGGGCACCAACGACAGGGCCGGGCCCTTAAGCAAGAGTAATTATTTCATATGAGAAGCAATTAGGAGTCACTACAAGGTCTTTGGAGGACAGGGATAGGATCAGAATGATGCTTGGAAGAGATGATTTTTGCTGAGTTGACTAGAGTGGGGCAAAGCCAGGGGTACCATGCCAGTGATCATTATTTAGGCTTCACAGTATCTATGTGAAGCCAGCGTATAGTCACCCCACTTTGTGAGTGGAAGAGCTGAAAGTCAGGGTTTGGAAGGACTTACCTGGTGTGTGAGCAGGTTGGTACAGACATGTTGTGAGTGATAGTTTCTCAGACACTTTCCTGTTACTGTATTTCTTATTTAATGTTGCGGGGGGTGCAAAACATTTCCATTGTGGGTTTTAAGAAAGAGTACCTGTGTGGATGTGTGGGTGTGTTTAATGAAACTGTCGATCTGAACTATTTGGCATATATACCAGTGATGTATCTTATAATGCTAATTTAAGACATTACCTATTCCTACTTACTGATATTTCTTAAGTTGTTGTACCACATTAATAGCCTAGCTCCACAGTAGCAGAGAGATTGAATACTACTTTTTTTTTTTTTTTTTTTTTTTTTTCAGAGATGGAGTCTCGCTCTGTTGCCCCGGCTGGAGTGCAGTGGCACAATCTCGGCTCACTGCAAGCTCTGCTTCCCGGGTTCAAGCAATTCTCCTGCCTCAGCCTCCCGGGTAGCCGGGACTACAGGCGCACATCGCCACGCCCAGCTAATTTTTGTATTTTAGTAGAGATGGGGTTTCACCGTTGTTGCCCAGGCTGGTCTGGAACTCCTGAGCTGAGGCAATCCACCCGCCTCGGCCTCCCAAAGTACTAGGATTACAGGCGTGAGCCACCGTGCCTAGCCGAGAGCTTGAATACCTGCTTTTATCTGAGGAAAGTCACAAGTAGACCCCCTGAAAATTCAAAGTATGATCTATACAATACCAGTTTCTTAGGTTAAACTCCCAAATGTTTTCTTGCATTATGCTATTACATGTTTCTCTCTTCCTTTGACTTTTTAAATTTATTTTTCAGTACACTGAACAAGATTTCATGAAATATGTTTTACGTGCAATTTTAAAGTTATCCTTAATACCTGAATGTAACCCAATTTCATTACAAGTGTTGGTGGTAATGATGGTGTGTGCATGTTTATGTTCTGCAGTTTTTAATTAAACTTTAAAGTCAAGGGTTCTCAACTCTTTGCCTGGATAAGTATCAGGGAGTCTGTGAATGGCTATGGTTGTTTGTAATATTTCGTCTAAATGAGCTTTTTTTTTTTCCTGGGGAAAAATTGTGTAGGTTTTAGCAAATCTCACAGAGGTCAGTGAGCTGCCCTTTAAAGATAAAAGCTGCTTTTTATAGAGGGGCAGTTGAACTAGTAGACATATATCTTATTTAACACTTTTCCAGCATTGCTGTTAAAGACATTGATTGTAGAATAGTTTATGTATGACTTCAAAATGTAATGATAATCAGTTTTTGGATGCCTTTTGGTTTTGGATATATGAAGAAACAAAATGTATCAGACAACCTATATATAATACAAGAGACAGATTGGAAAATACATTTTTCTGTAACTGAAGTAAATGTAGAGTAACTAACGAATTATTAAAAATACAAAAAGAGCCGGGCGCAGTGGCTCACACCTGTAATCCCAGCACTTTGGGAGGCTGAGGCGGGCGGATCACAAGGTCAAGAGATCGAGACCATCCTGGCCAACACGGTGAAACCCCGTCGCTACTAAAAATACAAAAATTAGCTGGGCATGGTGGCATGTGCCTGTAGTCCCAGCTACTCAGGAGGCTGAGGCAGGAGAATAACTTGAACCCAGGAGGTGGAGGTTGCAGTGAGCCGAGATCGTGCCACCACACTCCAGCCTGGTGACAGAGCAATATTCTGTCTCAAAAATAAATAAACAAAATAAAATACAGAAAGAACTGTTTGGTTGGCTGGCTAGTGAGACCTCTGAAAGGGAATTGGTTCTGATTCTCATGAAGACCAAAATGGAAGAAACTAGTCTACACCCTGTGCCACACTGGGAGGCCTGGGCTGGCTCGCCACTGCAGCTCTGCCAGTTAGCATGGAGTCTGAAAGAAACTGGTCCAGTTTTGCCCTTTATTGGAAACTACAGTGACCTTTTGTCCTTTAATCTTCACTATTGAAATATATTGTAAGTTTAGTAACTATAGAGAAGCGTTTCTTGTTTATGTTAATAAGTGGCATGTGGAAAAGGGCTCTCCTAAGAGAGAATCATAAAGCCTGGAACTTTTAATTTATTAAGGCTCTGAGAAGTCCTGCGGAAAAAATAAATCTATTTAACTTTGTTTAAATTGTAGTTTAGCAAACTTATTATATTTGCACCAACTTTTCTCTTGTGTCTCTCCCACTAAACAAAACCCACAGAACCGGGGCGATTTCTAAGCTAGTTAATTCTTAATTCTAAGCGAGTCCTCAGTTAGTTAATTCTCTGATGTGGATGTAATTGTTTGGAGGGACCCTTTCTGAGTTCAACTTAGATTGTGTCCAGGAACACCTGCTATGATGAAATTGGTGTGCTTTGGGAAAATGGGTAGGCTAGATGACATTAGGAAATGTGTGGAAACACCCACTCAGTCACTTCGATTCAGGTTGCAGAAAATGATGGGAGTTAAAAGTATGGAAATGAGAAGTTTCGAAGTTAAGCACTCAAATTTAATATTAAATATATAAAGCTAGAGGAATGCTGGTATTGGATTGGAAGAAGGCAGACTTTACCCATCATTTTTAAGCTTGCTGGAAAGGAAGGTCATTTGTTACTGTCTTTGTAAAGACACTTCGAAAATGAAATATTCGAAAAGATAGCTGAGGGAGAAGGTGGTGAAGAATCAGAAGAAACGTTACTTGGGGAAAGTTCTTCATTAATATTGGTTCTGATTTTGGTGTTTCACAAAAATAATGTGTCATTTTGATGAAAGAAAAATATTGCCCTGCAGTAGATTTGATTTTATTTTATGAGAGGTAAAGAGGGGGCTGAGTATATTCTCTTATACATGCTTACATCCCAAATAGAGAGTAAGAATTTCGAATAAGAACAGTATGAGTTTTGAAAGTAAATAGTCTCTATGTTGATAAGAATTGTGGCATGCCTGGGTACTGAGTATCTTTTCAGAGATCCTAGAGACTGTCCAGAAACTGTTCCAGTTCATTGGGTCAAAAATCCACTATTTACGAAAAGCTAAATACGGATTTGCACGATTGACCATAATGGCTTCAATTTTGAAAGATAGTAGTATCAGAGAGCACTTCCAGTTGGTGGGATAATTTAAGAATCGCCCGTGCTCAAATGGCTAAAATATTGTACTTTTTGCTACTTCATCACTCCATTTTAAAAATAGAGAGGGGGAGAAAAGAAGGCAGACCTGTTGAGAAGGTGGAAGAATGTCAGTTGGAGAGCAAATCAAAATAACCATGTGAAGCCACTCCTTAGTTAACTACTGCCTGAAGGTTAACTGTTCCTTAGAAGCCTGTCAGGGAGTGGAGAGACTGGACTGGGGGCTGCTGTCCCTGTGTGTGCATGTGCACCTGTGTGTTTGTGTGTGCATGTGTGTGTGTGTATGTGCATGTTCATGTGCATGCATGATGAAGGGTGAAGAGAACTTGTGAGTAGGAAAGAAGGTGTAGAGAACAGAAAGCTAACATAAAATCCTGAAACTTAGAGTCCTAGGAAAATTTGACTATTTTAAACTAACTGTACTGCTTATTTAAAGATAGGAAAATTATACCATTCTTCTTCTGGTATAAGAGAGAGATAAAAATACAGTTTTTCTAAATTGGAAAATTTGCTGTAATCTTGCTGCTAATGACTGATTTCTTCCAACAGTTGCAAGGCAGTTTTTGCTCTGATAGGTTGATAAAGGAAACAAAATCAAGAACATATTGGAAATTCTCAGAGAAAATTACAGTTTAGGTATATGTTGGGGGTGGATACTTAGACATTTTAATTGAAATAAAACAGTTTTATACTAATATGGGATCACTGTGGGTGTACATTTGTAGTACATCTGCTCTTGAAGCATTTAAGTAGGGTTAAATGTATGTTAATGCTTTTGCAAGAAAATTTTCGATAATATCCGTCTAAGGAAACTAGCTTAGGAAATAGGTTTTTGAAAACAATATAGATATTATATTTGCATTTAGAGAGTGAATTAGGACTCTGTAATGCTTTAAGAATTTTAAAACATTAGTTGTATTCTCTAGTGGTAATGAAAGTTAACAATAATTAACACACAGCAGATGATTAAAGCAAGCTTACACATCTGGAGAGTGGCCACAGTCTGCTATATGCCTCTAAACACCATTTTAATTGACCTACTTTTGATATTATGAAAGGCTAATAATGATTTATTCTACCCAGTTGAAAATACTTTTTCTAGCAGATAATTGGAAACATCTCAGTTGGCCCCTCTGTTGATTTAGTTAGTGTGTGTGACAGATGGTTAATATCTTACGCTAAATATCTGCCAGCCTTGAGCCATTTTGTTGTTGTTGTTGACTCACAGTCACTATGATGACTTAAATAGTGTATGAATCTTGAGAATTGATAGATCTGTCAGATTATAGAGGAGGAGGGAGTCTTATCAATGAGGTAGACCATGGGTTCTCATTGTAATAGTGTAGAATGTTGGTTAACTGTGGACTCCCTGGCTCTGTCTCAAATCTACTGATTCATAATTTTTGGGTGTGGGGCTTGGGAATGTGTTTTAAACAAGCTCTCCAAGGGAATGTAGTTCCTACTTCAAATGAACAATGGCTGAGTATAGTTTATGGCTTTCTTTCATGGATGAGGAAACAGGCCCAGAGGGGAAAAGGTGACTAGTTTCATAAGAATCACAACTTTGACTTCTGGCACTAGAAGGATAGGGTTCTTTCCTGAATGCCACATGACCTTAACTCAGGCTAGTTCCATCCCTAAGTACAGAACTGGAAGAGTTTTAAATTAGCCCTAATTTTTACATACACCAATACCACATATGACTTTAGTATAATATTTGGCTCAGCTTGGCTGTGTGTGTGCTTATTTTTTGAAAGATACCTATCACCACTGTACCTACATGTTCAGAATAATAATAATAAAAAGTTTACAGGGGATTATAGAGAACTCAATTTTAATGTGAAGTACTTATGCTCTACTTACTATGTTTTAATGGCAACCATTTTCCCCCTAGAAGTTTCTTGAGCGACTCTGAATTGTAGCCAGAATACGTCTTTCCTCTTCAGACCCTTAGCTGTGATTAATGTAAAAAGGCACTTGTCAAAAGGGTTTGAAATGGCAACCTTGATATTGGAGCATATGGCAGTAGAGATAGGTCTGCATCCACTTACTCCATTATGTTATTTAATGTACGAATTCAACAATTTGTCTTTTGCTCCCTGCTTAAAAGATGATGGCCGTAGAAGCTGGTTGTTAACCATATCAGCAGGGTGGAATATTACTTCCCTTAGAGAAAAACCACAACTTTCTTTGAGGATTTAGCATGCATTAGAAAAAGCATGAAACTGTTCAGAGATAAAATGCTGGGCCTTCAGCAGTCCTCTCTTTGCCTCCAAGAGGGGTTACTTTTATGTTTAACACAAACATCCCTTTTGTGTTTATTGTATTAATGGAATTTTTAAAATCCATGAGAAAGAGAGAGAGATTATGGTTTAGTGTTTGAAATAATATAGCTTGATGAATCTTTTTTATTTTAATGAGAAACTCTTTTTCATAGATATGCTGCTTCAAAAAGTGAATCTTTTAGAAATTAAAATGCATTAATTTAGTTATTCTGTATGGAAACAAAAACATGGAAAGTTAAAATTTGCATAAGTGAAGACCTTGATGATTTCAGATTATAGTGTGGTGGAGGTTAAGGAATAAGAGTCCATAGAATTTGTAAAAACAAATTCAGTCTAACCACTTAATGGCATGTGCAAGTAATTTGCCAATTAAATATCTCTAGTGTCTGAAAGATCTTCAGAGAAAAGAGTGGAGGTTCTTAATCTTTCTTAATTTTATACTTTAAGAAACATAATAGAAAATTACTTAGTTTTTGATCACTTTTCATTCAAAATTTTAGCATATGAGCTCAAGAAAGGATGGATTTTAAATATTTGAGGAAAATTATTGCTTTTTGAGAAATTAAAAACTATGATACTTCCAAATCACACTGTGCTCATTTAAAAAATAGTATTTGTAAATATTTGGTGCCCAGATAATAATTTTCATTATAATTAAGACTTTATACTTTGGAGTTTTATGATTTTGATGGTCACCTACTATGTTTAGAACATTGTACTAGTCATGCTTAACTCCAGAAAAACTGTCTAAGATAGATATTCCCATTTTAAAGATTGAGCGAATTGAGTCAGAGTAAGTAATTTGCCCAGGGTTACTCATTAGTAAGAGGCAGATCTCTGACAGTTCTAGGTGTTTTTTGTTTTTTTTTTTCAGAGAAAGCTTTGTTGAGATATAATTTACCCATTTAAAGTATATAATTCAATGGTTTTTAATATATTCACAGATTTGTACAATTATCACCACATTCAATTGTAGAACATTTTCATCACCCCAACAAGAAACCTCGTACCACACCTTAGCAATCACCACTCCCTTCCATCCAGTCCCTCCATCCCCTGGCAGTTGTTAATCTACTTTTTGTGTATATGGATTTGTCTATTCTAGACATTTCATATAAATGGAATCATAAAATGTGGGCTTTCATGATTGGTTTCTTTTACTTAGCATAATGTTTCCAAGGCTCATCCATGATGTAGCACATATGTTATTCCTTTTTATTGATAAATAATATTTCACTGTGTAGATATAGATAGGTCACATTTTGTTTATTAATCAGTTAACAGGCATAAGAGCTGTTCCCAGTGCTTGGCTATTATGAATAACGTTGCTGTGAACATTCATGTATGTGAGTTTGTATGGGCATATGTTTTCATTTCTCTTGAGTATATACCTGAGAGTGGAATTGCTGAGTCATATTATAATTCTATGTTGAACTTTTTGAGGAACTGCCAGACTGTTTTCCAAAGTGGCCACACCATTTTCTTAAATATATTCCCACCAGCAGTGTTTGAGGGTTGCAGTTCCTTCACATCCTCACCAACACTTCTTATTATCTCTTTTTGATTATAACCATTGTAGCAGGGTGAAGTGGTTATCTCATCATGGTTTTGATTTTCATCTCCCTGATGGCTAATGATGTTTAACATCTTTTCATGTGCCTCTTGGCAATTTTATGCTGTCTCTGGAGCAATGTCTGTTCAGATCCTTTGCCCATTTTTAAATAGGATTATTTGTCCTTTTATTGTATTGTGAGAGTTCTGTGTGTATACTAGGGTTCCTTATCAGATATGTGACTTGCAAAGTTTTTCTCCTAGTCTATAGGCTATTTTATCTTTTTCTTTTCTTTTTTTCTCTCTTTTTTTTAAACTTTTTTATTTTAAGTTCAGGGGTACATGTGCAGGTTCATTATATAGGTAAACTTGTGTCATAGGGGTTTGTCGTACAAATTATTTCATCACTCAGATATTAAGCCTAGTACCCATTAGTTATTTTTCCTGATCCTCTCCCTCCTCCCACCCTTTACCCTCTGGTAGGCCCCACTGTCTCTTGTTCTCCTCTGTGTCCGTGTGTTCTCACCATTTAGCTCCCACTTAAAGTCAGAGCGTACAGTATTTGGTTTTCTGTTCCTGCATTAGTTTGCTAATGATAACGGCCTCCAGCTCCGTCGACGTTCCTGCAAGGGACATGATCTCATTCTTTTTTATGGCTGCATAGTACTCCATGGTGTATATATACCACATTTTTTTTATCCACTCTATCGTTGATAGGCATTTAGGTTGATTCCACCTCTTTGCTATTGTGAATAGTGCTGCAGTGAATGTACACATGCATGTGTCTTTATAATAGAATGATGTATATGCCTTTGGATATATACCCAGTAATGAGATTACTGGGTTGAATGGTATTTCTGTTTTTAGGTCTTTGAGGAATTGCCACACTGTATTCCACAGTGGTTAAACTAATTTACACTCCCACCAACAGTACATAAGTGTTCCTTTTTCTCTGCAACCTCACCAGCATCTGTTATTTTTTGACTTTTTAATAACCATTCTGAGTGGTGTGAGATCGTATCTCATTGTGTTTTAACACTTTCTTTTTTTCTTTTTTTTTTTTCTTTTGAGACAGTCTCTCTCTGTCGCCCAGGCTGGAATGGAATGGCATGATCTCGGCTCACTGCAACCTCCGCCTCAGGGGTTCAAGCAATTCTTCCTGCCTCAGCCTCCTGAGTAGCTGGGATTACAGGCACGTGCCACCATGCCTGGATAATTTTTGTATTTTTAGTAGAGATGGGGTTTTGCCATGTTGCCCAGGCTGGTATCAAACTCCTGACCTCAGGTGATCCGCCCATCTCGGCCTCCCAAAGTGCTGGGATTACAGGCGTGAGCCACCGTGCCTGGCCATTTTAATACTTTCTTAATGGTATCCTTGGAGTATAAAGTTTTAAATTTTGATGAAGTATAATTTATTTTTTTTTCTGTTGCTTGTAGTTTTGGTGTCAACTAAACCATTTCCTAATCCAACATCACAAAAATTATGTCTATATTTTTTTCTAAAATTTTCTTGAAAATATGCCTATATTTTCTTCTAAAACTATTCACGGTTTTAAGTCTTGTAGTTAGGTCTTTGATCCATTATGAGTTAATTTTTGTATACAGGGTGAGATAGGAGCCCAACTTCATTATTTTGCATATGGATATTGTCCCTGCACCAGTTTTTTCTTATTGTCTGTTACCTTTGTTGGAAATCAATTGACTATAAATGTGAGGGTTAATTTTTTTACTCTCAATTTCATTCTGTTGTTCTCTGTGTCTATCTTATACCAGTACTACATAGTCTTGATTACTCTAGCTTTGTAGTAAGCTTGAAATCCAAATTCGTGCCAGGCGTGGTGGATCAAGCCTATAATCCCAGCACTTTGGGAGGCCGAGGTGGGTGGATCACGAGGTCAGGAGTTCGAGACCAGCCTGACCAACATGGTGAAACCCTGTCTCCACTAAAAATACAAAAATTAGCTGGGTGTATCAAAGCGCCTGTAATCCCAGGTACTCAGGAGGCTGAGGCAGGAGAATTGCTTGAACCTGGGAGGCAGAGGTTGCAGTGAGCCAAGATCATGCCACTGTACTCCAGCCTGGGCAACAGAGCAAGACTCCATCTGTTCTTCTTTTTCAAGATTGTTTTGGCTCTTCTGAATTGCTTGAATTTTCATAATGGATTGTTGGATCAGTTTGCCAATTTTTGCAAACAAGCCAACCAGGATTTTGATAGGGATTACATTGAATCTATAGATCATTTTAGGGAGTATTGCCATTTTAAAATTAACTTTGGAGAGTTTTGCCATCTTAACAATATCAAGTCTTTTAATCCGTGAACATGGGATGTGTTTCTATTTATTTAGATTTTCTTTAGTTTCTTTCAATGCTGTTTTGTAGTGTTTAGAGAATCAGTTTTGCACTTATTTTGTTAAATTTATTTCTAAGTATTTTATTGTTTTTGAGGCTACTGTAAATTGAGTTTTTTTAAAATTAATTAATTAATTAATTAATTTTTTTGCAACGGAGTCTCGCCCTGTCACCCAGGCTGGAGTGCAGTGGCACTCCACTCACTGCAAGCTCCGCCTTCCGGGTTCACGCCATTCTCCTGCCTCAGCCTCCTGAGTAGCTGGGATTACAGGTGCCCACCACCATGCCTGGCTAATTTTTGTATTTTTAGTAGAGATGGGGTTTCACCCTGTTGGCCAGGCTGGTCTCGAACTCCTGACCTGAAATGATCCGCCTGCCTGGGCCTCCCAAATGCTGGGATTACAGGCGTGGGCCACTGCGCCTGACCGAGTTGTTTTTTAAATTTCATTTTTGGATTGCTTATTTCAAATATATAGCAATACAGTTGATATTTGTATATTGATTTTTCTGTCTTCCAACCTTGCTAGACTTATTTATTAGTTCTAATAATTTTTTAGTGATTTCTTAGGACTTTTCTGTATATAAGATCTGTGACCCAACTTTTAAAGGTCTCAACTCTTTTCACTATAACCATACCCTGTAGCCTGGGAAACTTACTAACTTGGGAGAAATAGGTTGACTTTTTGAGGTTATCTTTAGGAAGTAAACAACTGCCACTTTGTAATTGTCTTCTCATGATATAAACAAATGCGGCAGACTTTTAAGATGGAAACTTTTGTGGAGAAAGCAAGGTTCCACAAGTAAAAGGAACCTTGAGCTTATTTGGTGAGGTCTTACTTTAAATAATATCACTATTATTTGGTGATATTATGGGAACTACAGGCCTTCCAAACATAGCTTGTTTGGCACAGACTGAAATAACAACAATTATACTTTACTTTAAAAAATAAGCATTCTAATTTGGCTTTACTTTTAGGAGGAGTGGCTGAACTAAGAAAAATATGACTTTATATATCCAAAATATATACTAGTGCTACATGCACATTTTAATGCTAATTAGTTTTGTTTCTTTGCCTATATGACCTCAACATGGGGAAAAGAGTATAAGCCTTGTATTTTAGACCAGAAGAGACCTAATTCTAATTATTTTTACATTTGAGATAGATCTAGCAGGTGGTTCTTACCTGAAAGTCTTCCACGACTGAGTTACGAGTTATTCTGAACCAAGTAAGCAACCAAAAAAGCTAAAACATGTTGGGTTTCTTCTTTCCTCTCCAGGACTGCAAGTTAGGTTTGGAATGGTCAGGGAATGGTACGGGTTTGGTGAGAGGGCAACTCTAAGTTTGACTCCTGGAGTCTTTCATAGTAAGGCTCATGGAATTGCCCATGTGGGAGCCAGAGTATAGAGTAGAACTGGGCTTGAAAATCGCTTTGGATTTTCATTTCTGATTTTTCAGCTATAAAATGAGAGCTGGGACTTGTTCCTCTTACCTCTGAGAGCCTTACAAGACATAGAGGAATCTTAAACAATCAAATGTTAAGTGAGAAAGCTATTTGTGCCTCCTAAAAGGAGAAAAGAATATTAACCTGACGTGGTATTATAATGTCTCCCAGAGTGAGGGAGAAATGCAAGGAACCCATAGTGATTATTGAGTTTATAGATGTTTCTATTCATGAGCCTGCAGGAAAACGTAGAGACCAAACATTTCAGAAAATGAATGCCCTAGGATGATTCATTAGAGCAGAATGAAATATTCAGAAACTTATGAGTCTATAAAATATTTTTGGAGAAAATGTGTGAGTTTTCCAGAGGAACAAGATTTAATATTTTGTTTTAAAAGACTTTATTAGTTGTGAGATGAATAGAAATATTGGTAGGTTTCCTTTAATCTTTTGCATATCATTTGGCTTCTCCAATTAGAATGGCTTGGCAATCTTATGATATTTGAGTACATAATCCTGCTAGGTAGGTCAAGAGAGTAAAAAGTAAATTTCGTAGAAATTATGCCAAGTGGTAAACAACTTCAGGCCTTTTTTTCCCTGCAGAGTCCCATGGCCAACTGTTCTTTCCATAGCAAACTTTTCTTCACCATAAACATAGCATCATGCCCCGGGGGCTTTAAAATAATGTTTGCTGCTGGCAGGTGATGCCAATGTCTGTGGCTACCTGGAGCAGGATCTATCATGTCTCAGTGATCCCAGGTGGCTTTGGTCCAAAGCACTGTAACTGGACCTTTGATTCACTTCAAAAGAAATGAACCTTTCTTCATGCCATTGATCGCCATTGAAAAGCTCCCTCAAAGGTCCCTCTTAGTAAATCCTTGACACCTTTCAGGTCCCAGATCATGGTTTATCTGCTCCAGTAAGCTTTTCTCTCTTACTTCTCTCCTTAAATCTCCATTTCCTTACCATGAGGCCACCCTGTGGTTTAGTGCTGATACAGTGTACTGTTTGAATCTGCTGTTGAATTATTTCTCAAGTATTAGACTTGGATGTAGCCTCATACCTTTTACTACCCTTCCTCTTCCCACAGGACCTAGTACAGTGCTCCCAAGCTGTGCTACTTAGAAGGTTGCTAGCTAGCTAGCTAAGCCCTGACATTCCTACAATAGCCAGTATATTGGAACAGCCACAAAGCTAATAATGGGCCTACATCCTCAGGGTCATGTGTTTGATACACTCCCCAACTCCAGGAGGCACCAGTCACATGGACCATGAAGTGAATGCCATCCACTAGAGTTGTGCAGCATGGGAGCCCTGAATGACCTAGGTCACACATGATCTGTGTTTACACATTCCTGCATTACACTGCTTGGTCTGGAGAGTCTTCTCTACCTCCTTCCTTTTAAATTTTTATCCATTTCAATGAGAAGTTAAAAATTAGGAGTGAATCTAACCCTTCCATACTCCCTGATAATGCTTTCAGAATGAGGTCCTGGACCCTTGCATCAGGAAAACCTGGAGTGCTGGCTAAAATGCAGTTTTTTCAGCCCCTCAACATGTTTAAATCAGTTTAGGACCGGGCCTGGGGATTTTGATAAACGATGTTGACTGATGATTTGTATGCAGTGCACTGAAGTGGTGAGAAATGACTGTTGAATAGTTTCTCAGCAAGGGAAACTGTAGTGCCCCAAAGGGTTAATACCGCTGTCCTTAACCTGTTGCATTATCTGTTGTAAACCTTTTCTGGCTCATTTAAATTCAGCAACTACTTAGTGAGCAGTTGCTCTCTGCCTACCACTGTGCCAGCCATAGTGGTAGAATCAGATGCGAAGAATGGGGTCTTTGCTGTGAAGGGGCTAATAATCAATTAGGAAATAAAAGACGTGCAATAAATATGCACAAACACATTAATATGTGCATACATATGCATACTATGTAATGATTTATATTACATCATATAGAGATCTTTTATATACATCTAGTATAGTATACTCTAGAAGATTTATAGAGAGATCTTTTTTCAAACAAATCATTATTGGTAGTACAGGCCTATAGGATTGTCAGATTTTAGATCTGAGAGATATCTTAGGGATAATGTATAGCTCTATCCTGCAGAGGAGATTTCAGTACATCAGCCAGGCATTTCATAGAGGCACACACACAGTCTATGGTGTAGTCCAAAAAACTATAGCGTTTAGAGTTTCGGATTCAAATGTGAGCTCTAGTAAGAAGTAAATGGTAGTTACTTTAATTATAGATAAATAAGATTGTTGTTTATGGTGAGACACATTTTACATGCATTCACTAATTTTAGAAAAACTTAAACCTACTTTCATGTATATTTATAATTTTAGACCATATAAATATAAAAATGGATAATAAGTGCCTTAGCTTTACATACCAGCTATTTAGTAAAAACCTTCTGTTACTTTCTATGGGAAACAGAGATTGAAGGAGAGATCAAGAAGGGGAAAAATCTTATTTTTGACAATTATCCTATGATTATTACGTTAAAACTTTATTTCACTGGAATGCTTGGCAGAAAGGAATTTTTAAGTTAACTGAGGATAAACCAGAAAACCATTTTTTCTTGCATATTATTTCTCTAAAATTTTATTCTAGTATAAAATTTTATTTACAGTGTGAATTTTTTTTCTTTTGGTCACATCTTTATCATTTGAGCATTATTTTCATTAGATAATTTATTCATCTAGATTAGAAGGTTATGGGAGCCTTTATTAAAACTTTATTGGGCCTGCTTCCTACAGAGATACAGACACTTACACCTGGAAAGGAGTCACAGATTATCTCGGTTAATATGTTTTGCACTGAAGAAAGTCATGTTTTAAGATATTAAGGGACTTACAGCCATTAGAACAATACTTGGCACATGGTGAGTGCCCAAGAAATTTTAGCTGCTGTTAGTAGAATTTGAATCCAAGTCATTTGAATTTCAGTTTGGTGATTTCTTCTCAGAAATCTTCTACTTAATTCCTTTTATTGACCCCTGGTCAGACTCACTGAGAATCTTTTTTGTTTGTTTGTTTTTCCTTTAAATCCTAATTCTGGATTCACTTCATTTTCCTTATATCTTATCTCTTTTTTCCCTAAAAGTAAAGAAGACAGAATAAATTCAGTACTTGTACTTTAAAACTTTTATTGTCCTCATCAGGGCCAGTCTGAGGATTTCTGCCATGTTTTATAAAATTTATGCCCAGCATAATCCTGATTTTTTACTGCCTTCTCTGTGCAAATACACACCTAACCTTATGCTAATGGTGGCACTACTGTTTCTTCATGACAAGGCTTTAAAAATTTCTGGAAACTTTAAAAACGTGGAATAAAAACTGTGGGTATAATGGGGGTGGGAGCAGGAAATTTGAGGGGAAACCATAGACACATTATGCCAAAGGTTTTGGCACTTTTCAGAGGACTAAATAACTTTCTTCTTCTTTTTTTGTTTTAAATAGAAGCAAAAGAGAAAAAAAGGTATCAAGCACAGTTTGCTCATAGAAATGAGCAGGTTTGGTAGATATATTTAAAGATGTGAAAGCCAGGAAAAATTATTAATATGCTAATAATTTGTATTTCCTCCATTCTCCAAACACATACTTTTATCAAGAGGAGGAGGCTAAAAATAAAAATAGAAGCTTTAGAAAAGTAAGGTTTTTCATGTTTTTTTCTTGTTTGTTTGTTTTTTCTCTGTCAGTCCTCTTACAGTTTTTCTGTAGAGGCTAAAAAGAGATCCTAAGCCAGGACCAGCACATTCAGTGGCCCATCTTAAATGGGATTATTTGAACAATTTGAGAACTCTTGGGTCAAGCCAAAAGAGTGCAGTAGAAAATCAAAGACTTGGGCTGCTGCTGGCTTTTCTCCTCATTTTCTTTGTCTTCACGTGCAGCTCGATAAAGTGTTGGACTTTTTCAAACACAGAAACAGCCTTAGGGGTGTTAAATATGTGTGTCAAATTTTTTCCTAATGGATTTCTAAATCTTCCAAAAACTTTTAAATAACTTGTTAAAGGCTATATGTAACGCTTGTATCGTGTGTGTGTGTGTGTGTGTGTGTGTGTGTGTATGTGTTTTCCTGCCACTAAGATTGAATTCTGTCCTCTGTACCTAGAAAATAATCATTATTTCTTGAAACAAAAACAAATGAGATGATAATAGTTTTAGCTTTCTACTTGGGTTTCCTACAGCCTTTAGGTTGTGTGTGTGTGAGAGACTTCTTGATTTTCCCCCCCTTTATTTTATTTGGTGGGATTCTTGACCTTGATTTCTTAACTGATTCCTTGAGGGTTCTTTTATTTCTGCCATAGTTTGTAATCTGTATGTCTATTTAAAATTGAATTACTTTTTTTAATAAGAAAAAGCGATATCCATTCAATAACAGATTTTATCAGAAAGAACTTCATTTACTTTGTTTTAATCAACCTGTCTTTTCTCTTTTCAGAGGATGTTAAGCAAGTTTTTGGACAGACCACAATTCATCAACATATTCCATTTAACTGGGATTCAGAATTTGTGCAACTACATTTTGGAAAAGAAAGAAAAAGACACCTGACATATGCGGAATTTACTCAGTTTTTATTGGTGGGTCTAGCTCTTAAAAAGTTAAAAGGGTATGGCCGGGCACGGTGGCTCACACCTATAATCCTAGCACTTTGGGAGGCCGAGGTGGGCGGATGACGAGGTCAGGAGATCGAGACCATCCTGGCCAACATGGTGAAACCCCGTCTCTACTAAAAATACAAAAAATTAGCCAGGCGTGGTGGCCGGCGCCTGTGGTCCCAGCTACTTGGGAGGCTGAGGCAGGAGAATGGTGTGAACTTGGGAGGTGGAGCTTGCAGTGAGCTGAGATCGCACCACTGCAGTCCGGCCTGGGTGAAAGAGCGAGACTCCGTCTCAAAAAAAAAAAAAAAAAAGTTAAAAGGGTAAATAAGTAAACCTGGAATCAAATTGTGTGTAAAAGTCCTGATTGGAGTCTTGAACTGTGATTTACTTACTACATACTGTGATTTACTTACTACATACTTACTACAGTTTAGCCTGGCAAAACTGTCCCATTGAGAAGTATTTCTTTATTAATATGTTGAAATCATAGAATTAAATGGGATTTCCACAGATTTATGTAGAACTCCTCCATGTTTAGAAGGAATACACATTGAGGCCCCGGGAAATCAAGTGATTTTCTCAAGGTCACTTAGATCAGGAGGGGCAAAATTACAACTTAAAATTTTGGCTTGTGACTCGCTGTGTTACTACTTACCAATATTTTGTTTTCCCCTGGAAATGGACAGATTTGTCTTCAGCTTCAGAATCATTTCATCTGACACCTTTTATAGATAAGACACTAGTCTCAAACTTGGCTGCATGTTGGAATCACCTGGAAGCTTTAAAAACTAATGTTGCCTCAGTCCCACCTCTAGAGATTAGATTTAATGGGGGCAGGGGGGAAGCCTGGGTATTTGAGGGCTATTTAAAGCTTCTTGGGTGGCCCTCATGGAGAACCAGTGTGCTAAGGGCACTTGCGCACTTTCTTATGTGGGTTAACCGCTGTAGCAGTTGTCTACATTTCTGGGGTGCACTTTCCCTAACCCAGTCCCTGCTGCCCTTCTCTCGTGACCCCCTTCCCCCACCCATATGATCATATCATTGGGCCACTGATGATGCAAGGAGAAGAGTATTCACAAAATATGATTATAACTTAGTTTTCCTTCAGCAGCATTATTTAAAAATACTTTAAATACAACATTATCATGTAGTCACTAGAGGTCAATATCTATAGGCTATATAGATGTTTATGCATTTGCTTTGTTTCTAACAGTTACATTTTATTTATACTTTATTAAATATGTTTAAAAAGACTCATGTAAGGGGACTCATTTGGTATGTTTACATTTTGGGTCTTGAGGAAAATTTTCAATTCTTTGTTACTAGAAATGTCCTTAGTGGGTATCCTGGTGCCCCTGGCTTTTTCGTGTGTTCCAGACCTTGCCAGAGCCCTCTGGGGAGTGGTTGGAATCCTGTTCTGGGTAGAGGTGGAGGGTGCACGGGTTGTGGTGCTCACTTGGTAAAGATTTTGTGGTGTCCATTCTTAGCAACTAGCATTTGTGATAGGTTAACTTCAATAGGTACTTCTCTTTTTGAATTTTCATGGTATTATTATGATTCATATAATTTGTCCTGCTGTCTAGTTTGCTTTTATTTTCCAGGCCTTTGGAAACATAAACAAGATGCCCTAAACCTGCCTTTGTATTTTTTAAAAACAAAGCGTTAATGTCTGTGAATCCCTGTTTTCAGTTCTCTGTAAACATAAACCTACTTACGTAACTCAGATGGAGAATGTAATGTGAGTTGCCGGATTTTTGCTGCTGTTTCCACAGGACATTGTTGTGCTGTAGGAGGCGGTATTCATTTTGATGAGGAATAATGACAATAATGTTATTGAGACAAATGCCTCAAATTGACTTTATGGAACACAGCCTAATTAACTTTTAGTTTTAATGGGATGTTAGCAGTAGTAAGGATGATCGTGTTTCCTCCTCTAAGCAAGTGTCAATTATACTGAATTGAGTAGATTTTCAACTGCTCACAGCAGCCTCTGGGCCTTCCTCCAGATATGGGGAAGCCAGAGTCCAGGATTAAATAACTCAGGGACTATGGTTATGTTTCCAAACAATTTGTAAGGCATTCACTTAAATTTGACTTATAATGGTAAATGGAAACATCCCACAGTGTCCTATGTGGGATGATTTTGCCTCTGTAGCCAGAATAGAAGTACTGAACTTTTACTAGATTACAATGGTTATAGTGGTGAATGATCTCAGTCAGGGCCTTGCTTTTGTGTCCTAGTCCAGATCCGGACTTATAGGAATTAATGGATGGACCATGATAGGCTTTACCTGAATGCCAGTTTTAATGTCTACCATTGGGTTTCTTCCTTCCTTCCATTTCATGTTTTGTTTGCTTCATTTGAACTCTTTTCTGAATGTAGGTAGAGCTTCAGACCTCTACTTCAGATGCTTTGTTTGCTTCCTTTGGGCTCTTTCTGGATACAGGTAACTTCTTAAAGATATTAGTGAATTTAATCTGCTGTGTTTCAGGCTCTTGCTTTGTCAGGCAGGTATCCGCCTTTCTGTTCTTGGGCAGGACTCAGAAATAGGCACCAACTCCCTGGCTGATGCCAAAGCTGTGAAGGCAGATGCTTGGTTGCTTGAAATGTGAACAAGCTGCCACTGTGCATGCTGCTACCTGTCACATGATGAGGAAGGGGAGCAGCCGTAGGGACAGCCAAAAAGTGCTTGTGATTTCAGGGAACTTGTATGGCATGTAGAGACAGCACTCCTCTATTCCACTGAGGGTCCCTAGAAGATAGCTCAGGTTGGTTCCGGCCAGCACATTACCTGTGCTTATTATGTATGTATATACATGTGTGTGATTGGTGGGGCAGTGCAGTTCTCTGCAGTTCCTTTTTTTTTTTTTGTCACTTAATAAATGTTTTACTATATCTAAGCAAGTGTGAGCTTCTTAGAAACCACCATGTGGCTGTGAGGATCTTACTTGGGTCATGTGTTTATCTGTGTAGAGTCTGGACAGGTCCCCACCCACTAAGGTGTTGGCAGTCCTGGGCATTGCTTACATGGTGAGTTGCTATGTCCTTTTCTGTGCTTTGGTTGTAAAAGTCATAAAGTGGTGAATCAATTTGATATTATTTGAGCTAAACTTGACTGATTTGTACTTTGCAAGTGGTAAATCAATTCGATATTATTTGAGCTAAACTTGACTGATTTGAACTTTGCATCTAGTAACATTGAAGCAAGTGGCAGGGATACAAAGCCTCCTTCCTGTAGTCTTCTTCCTCATTGGAATGGAAAGATTTCAGCAGGGAGTGGGGTCACATTTCTCTTACCCCATTATTTATACTGTTACATCTGTTGCTGCTATTTTTTAATGCCCAGTTAACTTCATCTCCATATAACTTCATGAATGATGGTATGTGTGAATGTGAATACAGTTGTATATGTGGGTAGGTATGTGTATTTTAAAATATTCTGTAAACCTCTCCACGTATGTCTACTCCCAGCTCCTAGAGCAAAGCCTCTAATTTTATAGCCGCTAGTTTTAAAATAGATTTTAATATTCTTTGTATTTTAGAAAATAATTTGGAGAAATTTTTCTATTCTAATCTGATGGAACTGTAATTGATAAATAGTATTAATGGGCTGGGCGTGGTGGCTCACGCCTGTAATCCCAGTACTTTGGGAGGCCGAGGCGGGTGGATCATGAGGTCAGGAGTTCGAGACCATCCTGGCCAACATGGTGAAACCCCATCTCTACCAAAAATACAAAAAAATTAGCTGGACATAGTGGCGTGCACCTGTAATCCCAGCTACTCGGGAGGCTGAGGCAGGAGAATCGCTGAACCCAGGAGGCAGAGGTTGCAGTGAGCTGAGATCAGGCCACTGCATTCCAGCCTGAGCAACAGAGCAAGACCCTGTCTCAAAAAAATAAATAAATAAATAGTATTAACCTAAAACTCGGTATTTTTTGTGTGTCATGATGATTACTCATGTCGGGCAAACCATCCAATTCAGCAAATATTTGCTGAGCATGTCGGGTTTGTCAATAGGATTTTGCAAAGGTTTGAAAGGTGCAGAGACTATAATCTTGAGACACTCATAATGTAAAAATCTAGGACTTGTATCTGGGTATATCCACCTGACAGTGCAAAAGGAGCAACTACAAGTAAGTATAAAATGTTTGCCCTATGAGTTTGTTGTTTTGTAGCAAAAACCCTTAAAGGTTTGTGGCATAAACCCTAATGGCAGGTATTCACATCCTTTGCCAAATTTTTTTTTCCTTTTTCTTTTCTTTCTTTTTTTTGTTTTTGAGACAGGGTCTCACTCTGTTACCCAGGCTAGAGTGCAGTGGTGCATTAGCGCTCGCTACAACTTTGAATGCCAGGGCTCAAGTGATCCACCCGCCTTGGCCTCTCAAAGTGCTGGGATTACAGGCATGAGCCACCGTGCCCAGCCTGCTTTGCCAATTTTTTTATTGGGTGACTGTCGTAGGCACTTGGGGGCACAGAATGAAAGGTTTCTAAAACTTTTCTACCAAATTATTGTGTAGTCAGTACTGAGTCACTTTCAAAAAAGTTACAATAACTAATATCTGTATAATGTTTATAATTTACAAAGTGCTTTTAAATATTATTTCTGATAATAGCATCCTCCCAATAACCTAAAAGGTGATTATCATTATCACATATTGTATGCAAAAGAATAAACCTACTCTATGGTAAAATTTTGCATTTACCAGTAATTTTCCAGGGAAATGGCCCATAGCTTTCATTATGTTTCCAAAGAAGTATCCCAAAAGGGTGGTAAAGAGCAGCTGTTCTAGAGCTTAGCTTCTGCAGTCAGATGACAGGTGTGTGACAAATTCAAGAATACGATGCCGTTCCCACTCTGTTGCACTTTCTCCAGATCTAAGGCTATAGACAGCTATTTTCTGTTCCTAGAAGTTACCATGCATCTGAATGGCAGTGCCCAGTCATGCATTGCTAAACATCTAGCATTCCTGACCCCTACCCATTAATTGCCAGATGCGATCATCAACAAGTTCTTAGGGGTGCATTGTACTGTCATTTCCAGGTTTTTTTGTTTGATACTGTTTTATAATCTTGGGTATCTATTTTACATGTAATTACTTTAATTTGAAAACAGTCTACACATAGGAGTTTCCACTGGTTCCAATCTCAGGATAGAAAAGTCTAGGATTACTACAAAATTCAATATTTCTGTTAACTAGAACAACATTGTTATTAGCTACCTCTCATATAGCATTTTCTAGCTAAGAAAGTTCTTGTATTAATATTTGTCCTTACAGTCACCTTAGGTTGTTGGTGTTGTTTCCCTATGAAAGCTGAGTGAACAGAAGCCTAAAGAAGTTTTCTGGATTTGTTCAAGATTAGACAGGTGGATTTGAAGTTGAAATTAATTTTTCTAAATCTCTGGCAGTTTTTACCCCCCAAATTTTAGTGTAAAAATTATCTGAGATGCGTATTTAGAAATGCAGAGTCCCAGGCCTCTCCACCGACCTCCCCTCCCAAGACTCAAATTTAGTAGTTCTGAATAGGGCCTAAGAAGCTGCCTTTCCAATAAGCATCCTAAATTGCGATGCTCTGGATGGTTCAGGAACCACATTTTGGCAAACTTTGGTCTGGACTAGGCAACCCTGAATGTGTAAAGGTAAACGGCTCTTTATCCTAAGACTAATGGGAAGTCTGTCGAGGCAAACCTCATAAGATTTGTGCTTCAGAAGGATCACTCTACTATTGTGTGGTAAATCTAATGGAGAGGAACGTGACCAAGGAGAGGGAGACCGGTTGGTTGCTTTTTAAGCCAAGAGTCAAACAACTGTGGTCTCAGTTGGATGGTAACAGTGATGGGCCAGAGTAAATGGAGTCAAGAGAACTTACAGGGATAGGCCAGACAAAGCTTCATGATTTAATGGGAAGGGGACAGTCATAGATTTGCAGAACTCAAGGTTGACTCTTGGGTTTTAGCCTTGGGCTAGTGGGAGGATGGTGGTGTTTCATTGAAATAGGGAGTACAAGAAGAAGAGGAGGTTTTAAGGAGGGGCTACAGAGTAGTGCTTTATATGTAAGAGCTGTTCACGTGTGTTGGTGTATTGGCTCTGCTGCCTCTTTTCAATTCTTTGGTGTTGAGATGATTTACTGTAGGACCCTACCTACGGCCCCTGTATAGTTGGGTTTTTTGAAGGAATTTTGTTCTGCACTTTATGTCGCCAGGAAATTTCTTCTGTTTCCAGGGGTCATCCAGCTATTGCTCTAAAAGCATCATCCAGAAATTGCAATGCTCTGAATTGTGGAGAGGCCTGATTTTGAGGTTGTGGATTCCATTCCACTGGCTAGCTAAGAGACAGGATAGCTGACCTGAGAGGGAATGAGGCTAAAAATCCTATCTAATGGCTTCTCATCAAATAGAGTTTAAGAATGAGGTCACCTGACCCAACAGAGAGCTCTAATCACAAGGGCTTGAGTATTTTATCATAGTTTTACTCTGGTCCTCATTTTGTCAGAAGAGGATGATGAAACCCAAAGACATGAATTGTAGTAAATAGAGCTAGGAATAGAACCTGGGGATCAAAGCTGTGTCTGGCATCCCAGACTGGTCATTCATATTAGTAAGGATCCTTGTCCTCAGATCACGAGTCCCGTGATAACCTGGTTGGATGCCAAAGCATACCCATGCTAGTAATGCAACTGAACAATTTTGGTTCTTTTTAAGAAAGCAGATTGACCATTATTTTGGCTTCTTGGTCAGCACAGTGTAGAGGTCAGCCTACTTCTTTTCTGTGTAACATGAACATTTTGGTTATTTAGATCCTGAGCCCTAGAGAGTAGAACTCTAGAAGTCTGCTGCTCCCGGGTGACGGTAGTTGCCAATGTCCCTCTACAAGCCAGAGATTCACTGCTGCTGGTCAGATGTGGTCCTGGCTTTTTCTCACCATCAGTTACGGTTTGCGACTCTATTTGTCATAGCATCCTGGTGTAAGGCAACAATTTCAACACAAGAGGCTATAGGTGTTAAAAACAAAATTGCTACTACCCCCGCCCAACCACCACCAAACAAAACATACCTTCATCCATGGCAACCCCAAATTTTCTAGCTTTAGAATTAATAAGCGATTTCATGTGTTCATAAAAAATAATCGCTTGTAGTAGAACTGGCTGAAGCCGTAATTCTTTACAGATGAGTGGACAATTAACAAGGTCCTTGCTTAGGTTTAGGTTTGAGTAATCTGAGCCATTTGCCTCTCCCTTTTGTCCCCCAACTTGTCTTGTTTGTATTAGTGAAAGTATCTAGACCATGAATTTTTTTTTTTTTTTTTGAGACAGAGTCTCACTCTGTCACCCAGGCTGGAGTGCAATGGCGTGCTCTTGGCTCACTACAACCTCCACCTCCCAGGTTCAAGTGATTCTCCTGCCTCAGCCTCTGGAGTAGGTGGGATTACAGGCTGCCCAACCCCATGCCCAGCTAATTTTTTGTATTTTTAGTAGAGATGGGGTTTCACCATGTTGGTCAGACTGGTCTTGAACTCCTGACCTCAAGCAATCCACTCGCCTCACCCTCCCAAAGTGCTGAGATTACAGGCATGAGCCACCGTGCCCAGCCCGACCATGAATTTTTAGTGGCCCAAGAACCCAGTTGTATTTTCATTTTCACTATGTGAATGCCTTTTATGTTGATTCTAAGTTGTATCAGGTGGGGTCTGTGATGTAGCTTTGGTATTGTTTCATAAACAGCATCATTTGGTGTTCTCAAATGAACTAGTGAGTAGAGCACATTAGTGTTGTTTGCCTTCAACTCTTCCACTAGATGAGATTCTGTTTTGTGTCCAAATGGAAGCCATTGCTAGTTTGGTGATGAGTAACTAGAGATGTGATCACTTGGACAGTAAGATGCAGGACACGTTCCAGCCACAGCACACACTTTCTACTCTCTGGGCAAAGAAAATCAGGATTCATTGTGCTGTTGTGTTTGTGGTGTTAGCTTGCTGTTTTGTTGAGCAGCCTGTTGTGCAGGGTTTTTACAGTAGCATCCTGGTAAAAATGAACACTCTATACAGCATCTCCCCAGCTGTTACCCACTGTGAAGTTTAACGTTAAATTAGAAGAGCAAGGAAATTGAGATGGAAAAGCTCTGTATTTGGTTTCTGCCAAGGTGTTGCAGTGCATGCTGAGCCACATGTGACACTGCTTCCAAAGACCCTTTTAATTAAAGGCCTCACCCAGTGAATTGGGGATGGAATTTCACCCTCAACTCTGACACTGACTGCATGGCCAAATGGGGGGTGGGGGGAGGTACACATAGAACAAAATTAAGAATGGTAACTACTTATCTCTCTACCTATTTTATTGCTATGTTTCATTTTTACTTTGTTAAAAAATATGTGGATCTTCATTTTAATTAGAATGTTTTTCTTCAAATTAGCATAGATTATGAAAATAAAGTGGATATTTATATGCAAACCAGTATACAGGTACTGATATGTGATGTAATATAGAAATTGTTTGGGCTAAATGTGATATGGTATTTTTTAGGCAAATCGTCTTTCTACATTTTTGTTTCCTGTTTCGATAAACAATTAGCTGCATTTTGCCCAGAATTCTTCTATTACCATGTCTAAAAAGGAATTATTTTGAATCATTTCCTTATTAACTCTTTGCTTTTATTAATATTTTAGATTTTGTTAAAATTTCAAAACACAAAAATGCAAATTAACCAGGGTTCAAAAAATATATATATTTATTTTTTGGCATTTTTGGCTTTATAATATAAATCACCTGGCTCTCCTGCTTGTTTTGAGGGACTGGGTTTTTTGGGTTTTTGTTGTCATTGTTGTTGTTGTTCCTGATAAATTGTTCTCAGGCTAAAGCACAAACTTGCATGTCTGAATAGAGATGGAGAGAATATTTTATATTCAAAATATACCTACCTGAAAATTGGAGATTATTAAGGAAATGACAGGCCTGGAACTATTAGAAGCACGAATGTTAGACCTAAAGTAGTGTAACCCCTATATATGTTTATTCTGTACAACTAGCAATTTTGAAGAGTTTGATTTTTTTTTTCTACAGCAGTCTGAATGGGTGTGTTGAAGTAGTTGGAAACTGCTGCAATAAAAGCCTGTTGCATTAATCATCATGCACCAGAATAGAGGGAACAGAAAATAGTTCACTGGCACATATTAAAGAGAAATTGGGCCTCCTTTCATGTACTTGAGTGGAACTGCCTTAGAGATAGCTGCAGAACTCCTGCTCTTGGACCTTCTGGCCTTAGGTGATAGGAAGGGCCATTTGTCTTCAGTTGGTAACTGTCTTCGGCAGCAGCATTTAGTAAGCACCCATTGCCTGGTACTGTTAAGAGCTCTCTTTAGAGAGACACTTCATTTTCTCAGCTCTCTGGATTTGCTACAAGGTTTCAGGCCCTGTGTCTTATTTTCTTTATTCACTTATTTAGGTATCAGTTTGATTTTTGTTGTCTGCCTGCTCTTTGTATGCACTGTGGGATGATCTCACCCATTTCTACAATCATCTTTTTCTTCATCTGGTTTTTGGTAGGTCCCCTCTAAAAGGAACAGGCAGTCTGTGTAGGCTAACATCATGGCTCCAGAAGCCGACTGCCTGGATGCATATTCAGTTTCATCCTTGCCCGTGTCACCCTTGGCTCATTCTTACCTCATTTTTCCATCTTCAGAACAGAGGTGATGGTAGGACCACCTCGGTTGTGGAGAGGATTCAAAGAGATGAAGCAGGGAAAACACAACAGTCCCTGGGACATAGCATGCACTTAATAACTTAGTAAACGTTCTCCTTGTGATGTTTTCTCTAAAATCCTGTTATCTGAATTTCCCAGATCTGTATTTCTACCTGTACCTTCAGCTTTCTTTTGTGTGCCTCTTAACTTTTTGTTTATAACTGAAACTCACTTCATTCCAGGTTTTTCATCATGGTCAACCACCTCATCTCTTTCCCCTTAAGTATTTTCCTTTGTGGTAGAGTATCTTCCCCATCATTCAAAATGTGGATTTTTGAGATATATCTTACTTCATTTATATATTCAAATCATCATCAAAATTTTCTTAAAGTCTCTTTTCCTACCTGTCCAAATCTAGTTATGACCCCCTTATTTATGATTTTGCCTGAGGCAGCATAAGTTAGTAGTTAAGAATCTCAGTTTTAAAAGCTGACATCCCTTGCTTTGGATCTTAACTCTTCCACTTTTTAGTTGTGTGACTTTAGGCTAGTTACCTGACCTCTCTGAACTTCAGGTGCCTCTGTGTAAAATGAAGATAATAATCATTACTTCACAGAAGTATTGTGAGGCTTAAGTGAAATGCTGTCTTTGAAGTTCTTGGCATAGCCCCTGGTCTGTAGTGAGTGTTGAAGCATTCAGCTTTTGTTATCCTCCATCCTGGCTGATGTTCATTTTTCCGTTCCTGTGGCTAGTTCAGAATGATTGAGCAGAACCACTGTTTCATATTGCAAGAGACTTTAGAGGTTTTTAAACCTTTCACCTGGACAAAAATCAAAGCCACTGTTTTTTAAATGCCTGTCATTCATGACCTCTGGTTTTTACAACCCTGCACAGTAGGTGGTGTTGTGCCTATTCTGTAGAAGAAAATCTGAGGCTCTAAGATGCAAACAATCACCTGAGCTCTCCCGGGTGGCAGTGTCATGACTTCTGTTTACGCTCTACCCATGCCTGTTCCAGATTTCTTATTGTCATCATAATGTATGGCTTCCATAACTCCCTCTATTAAAGATAAGGTTAAATTCTTGACATGTGTTCCTCAGCCTATGGTTGAACACGTATTTCTGGTGTCAGGGAACCTGCTACTTTTCAAGGTAGCCCATTTTACTGCTGAATAGTTCTATAGGTTAAAGACTTCTTCTGTGTACTGTGCTAAACTCTGACCCCTATAGCATCTCTCCATTTTTTCAAAAGAAATAGAGGGGCAGCCTAATATTTTTTTTACTTGATAGTCTTTTAACTTTTAAATATGTGAATGTAATGATTACTGCCCATATTGTTCTCCCCTCCTCTGCACAGATGACTCGTTTACTTCTGATCCCCTTCATTTTAGAAATAAATACTATTTTGTATATGCTATATTTCATGCATACTAAAAGCTCTCTGTCTCTGTTTTATCCCTTCTGAGTTGAGATCTAGGAGCTGTCAGTCTCTTGACAACCCATAGTATACATTCAGATTTTCATTAAATAGCTTTTGAGGTGCAAACCAGGAGCTTTGATTTTAAGTCATTCTGCCATGAGTAGTGAGCCTAGTCATTTATTTCAAAGACCACACATTTCTTTCATATTTACGGAGTAACCTATGTGTTAGCTCCCACTGGCCTCCTGATTTAATTTTTTCCTCCTTTGTCTCTTGGGGCTATGGGAAAGAGAGCAAAAAGGGAGTGAGGCCAGGAGAAGGCCTTTTAGATTTGGTTTCTCTCCTCCTTGGTCTCTGCTACTATTGGTAAAACAATCCTGATGCTCTGGGTGTACAGAAGCCCTTTGCCTTAATGGAAAACTTTAGGGAATTTTATTATTTTTCCACAAAAATAGGCAACAGTAAAATCTAGAGCATTAAATGCAAATTGAGTTTTTATCTTTCCACAGCTGTTAAGATTTCTTAGTGTCAAATTTATTTTTTAATCAAATTCCTGACAGTAGCTTTGTCTGAGGTTCCCCATGCAGTTGAGTGAAGTATTAGGAGCATGGGTAGATAGAGGGCTGGGGAGTAGAAATGCTGAGGCTTGAATTCCAGCTTTACTGCTTCCTGTCAGTGAGACTTTAGTTTGCTCAACTGCTATAGTGAGGTTAATAATAGTACCTACCTTATAGGCTTGCAGTAAGCATTCCATGAATTAATTCCTGTAAAATGCTTTACAGCAGTGCCTGCTGCATAATACATGCTTGCTAAGTGCTATTGCATGGTTGTCATACTGGTTGAGGTCATGGTTTCATTTCTTCACCCGGAAGGAGAAACAGTCACGACATAAACAGATGATCTTCAGAAGGCAACCCACGTCTTCAGAATGCTGCTTTTAAAGTTGGAGAGCCACCTAACTGCGTGTTTTCACTCTGTCCTGCTATTTAGAGAACTACATAGATCTAGCATTTTGTCTTCTGTGGAACTTATAATGCCCCCAATCTTTAAGAGCTGTTGGAAATGTATTCTCAGGTTGTTCATCATCAGACTTAAAATAACTTTCTTACTCCAACTTGAGGGGTCCCTGCTCATAGATGTTTAATCATGGAAGCGTGGGCACAGGATGTGTTGTAACACTGTCCTAATCACAGGTATGTCCCCTGTCCTGCTATGTGAGCACCAGCCCCCACCTTGGCATCCATTCCCAATCTGGAATTCTGGACAGGCTGGTCTTAGCATTGTGGCTTCCTGCTTTCTGAGGAGATGGGGTTGCCAGAGAAAGCGGTGCCATTTTTGGTATAATTGTCTGAGGATCTCTAAGATGTTGAGTTATAAACTAGGGAAAATGGTAAATCGCTGAACATACCTTCTACTATTGTTGAGAGTAGTCTTGGCTTAGCTAGCTTTAGCAATGGGTCTGGTAATTCAAAGGAGACTGTTCATTTACTTTCAATTGAATACGCACTGTGGTCATTTTTCACTACAGGGTGTTTAACAGTTGATTTCTTCTTCCTTAATTGGAAGCACTCATATAGAGAACCTCCCATTGTTCAATAGCTCACGATTTGTTCATTCAGTTGGTTTTACAGAATACTTTTCACTGATGAGAATGCCTGTCATTTATTGAGCACCTACTATACATCTAAAGCATTCTGCTGAGCTGCATGTATAAATGTAAGTAGATGCTTACAGGACTTCAAAAGGTTATACTGTCTTTTCCTTGGTAAGGTAGGTGTAAAGGCAGGAATGTGAATAACTGATTATGATGTAAGATCAAATAAGACAAGTTTTATAATTGATATTCAGACAGGGGGCCACCGGAAGGGACATCAGTTATTTCCAGTTATAAGGCCTGGTTATATTTGCCTAAGTGGTACCATTTGAGCTAAGCTTAAAGGAAGTGGCAGGATTTCAGGAGCTGGAGAAAGGGGCAGCAGTCTACACTAGGTGGAAGTAACGATGTGGGCAAAAGCCCAGGTGTGTGGCAGGTCTGGCAGGGGTGGGCATGGGTGATAGGAGATGAGGCTAAGACTAGTTCCTCTGGGGGCTTGTATGCCTTGCTTCAGAGACGGGTCTGTATGATGAAGGGTCATTGGAGATTTCCATGGAGGGGGAGGGAGTCAGGTTTTTAATTCTGAAAAGCAACTTTTTATGTGTGCATGGTAGACCACAGAGGTCCAGACTGCAAGCCCAAGCTCCAGACTGACAGTCAGAACCACTGACTCTCAGTGATAATTTAGATGAGGTCTGAGGAAAGTCTGAACCAGTAGCATCAGGAACAAAAAGGAAAAGGTGCATTTGGGCAAACTTTCAAAGGCCTAAGGGACAGAATTTGGTAACTGGTTTACTCTGGGAGAAAGGAAGCTTGAACAATTCAGAATGACAGCTTTCTAGGTGAGGTGGCCAATAAAACTACATGCCTAATAATTAAGCTGTGAACATAGAAGAGAGACCAGGTTTGAGCACTGGGTTGGGGGATCTACAATATGGGGTTAGCGATGTGTCATTTTATGGCCTTTACACGATACCCACGTGGATATATTCTCTAAACAGAAATTCTGGTCCAGCAGAAAGGAATGAGACTTGAATATGGGAGTTAAGCCTTAGCTTTTAAGAAATCCTTGAGGGCTTAAGAGAGAGAGCACTCTGTCTAGGAGAGTAGAGTGAGAAGATGTGAGGACAGAGGGCCAACAGATGCTTCCCATTTAAGGAGCCAGTGGTGGAGGCTCCAGAAAGACTGGGATCCCAGAAGAGAGTTTCAGCTGAGGCAGGCTGGTTCGAAACTGGCAGATGGCTACAAATGAGGAGATTCTTTTAAATAGGATAAGAACTCTGATTCTTACTATTAAATGTCTTATCTTTAAAATATTTTAAATGTAGACATTTTCAAACTGCAAAAGTAGAAGACTATAATGACCCATCATGCAACTGCTATTTGGCTTCCGTTATTGCAAATACTGTATTTCTTCTTTCATCTCCCTGCCTTTCTGGGGAAGGAAAGGAAGATCGAGTACTTTAAAGCAGTATCAGACTCATGTCATTTCCCTTACACTTTAGTTTGCACAAATTCATAAGGACAATTATTTTTTACATAACTTGAATAAATACGATGTCATTATCTCACTAAAATTAAAAATTAATTTCTTAATATCGTCTAAAAAAACTCCATTATATTCAAATAATTTGAAGTTTTTGAGAGCCCTGTTGGTGTTCCTTTTTTTTTTTTTTTTTTTTTTTTTGAGACAAGGTTTCACTCTGTCACCCAGGCTGGAGTGTGGCGGCATGATCTCAGCTCACTGCAACCTCCTCCTCCCCAGGCTCAGGTGATCCTCTCACCCCAGTCTCCCAAGTAGCTGGGACTACAGGCATGCACCTCCATGCCTGGCAAATTTCTTTTTTTTTTTTTTTTTGTAGAGATGGGGTTTTGCCATGTGGCCCAGGCTGGCCTGGAACTACTGGGCTCAAGGGATCCATCCACCTCAGCCTCCTCAAGTGTTGGGATTACAGGCATGAGCTACTGTGTCTGGCTGGTGTTACTTTTTAATTGCATAGAAGTTAGCTGTCACTGCAAGGGCCCTGTTTGGGAAATGAGCAGAGTGTTGTGAGGAAGATAATAAAATGCTCTCTGCAGGAGGAATGTTCCTTCCATATAGTGCACAGTGAGTTTTGATGGGAGGCTGTTTTCTTTTGTGTACACACTTATCCCCTGGGAATAGCAACAGAGCTCTGTGATTGGACTTTCTGTCTTCAGATCATTTTAATTAAACATATGCAATGATACCATGACAGGTTTACCTCCCCTGATCCACATACCATGCAACTACTTAGAGCAGTAGTCCTTAATCAAGACATATGGCTCTATGCAGAGACATTTTTGATTGTTATGACCTTAGAGGGAAGGGGCTACTTGTATCTAGTGGGAAGAGAATAGGGGTACACACGACAGCCCTCCCGTAATAAAGACTTACCCTGTCCAAAATGCCAATAATGGCAAGGCTGAGAAACCCTGTGTTGGAGAAATAGCAGAGAAGAACCACCACTCTTTTCTATCTATTGTTACATCATGTGTTTGGGTACCAGGTTGCAGTTAAGAATTTTTCTCTTTTCTTTGGAGAGAAGTTAAAGTCCCTGGCAGTGTTTTTCCTCAGATCATCTGCATCACCTAAGCTGGGGTTGGCCAGATCTTTGAACCTACAACACTTCATTCCGGTTTTCATTTTCTTTGTGTTCATGGACTCTAGAGAGCACGGAAGTAATTGGGTTTCATTGGGTAGCAGAGTAAGGTAGAGTGCACTTTCTCAAGACATGTTCATTGGTCTGAGCAAAGTTCTGTCTCTTGGAAGGAGACAGTAGCTTGGTGGTGCTATTAGGCAGATGAGGGCTTGTTAGATCAAGATGTAAACTCTCTTTCTTCAGTCTGATTTTAAAATGAACTGTCATTTGTAGTAATTATTAAATGAGAAGCATAAATTAAGTATTTTACTTTCTTTATTTGTAGGAAATACAACTGGAGCACGCAAAGCAAGCCTTTGTGCAACGGGACAATGCTAGGACTGGGAGAGTCACAGCCATCGACTTCCGAGACATCATGGTCACCATCCGCCCCCATGTCTTGACTCCTTTTGTAGAAGAATGTCTAGTAGCTGTAAGTTGTAACTTGCCCTAATGAAGTGGTTTAACTCAGTAAATAAGGAATTATAAAAACAATTCTTATAAGTTATGTAGTGTTTTTTTTCTGTTGCAAACACTAACATTTTAATGTGATCACATACATTACTAAACTCAAACAAAGAGTGTGTTTTGGCTAGTTTTAGTGGGTAGGTTAATTTGTTGTCTGGGTAATACGGAATATCTTCGAGAAATACATTAGCTTTTTAAAGATAAAAGGAAAAACAGATTTGTGATCTCATGTTAATTTTGTTTTAGATTTTGAAGTATATCAAGGGCTGATTTTTGCTAATCTTCTTAGATGCTCTAAGGCAAAAAAAAAAAAAAAATAGTGCACATGTATATCATTTGTTAGAGTAGTTAGCACAACAGAAACTCCAAACCTTAGATTCCCTTTCACCGTGTATGTGTCGAGGCCACAGAGTTACATGTGACAGCAGAGCCCTGCAGTTGTGTTTCATGGAGCCTCCCTCCTCCAGGTGTCAGCTGCTGTCCTTCCCTCATGGGCCCTGGGGATGTCCTGCAACATTCTGTGGTGGTGGTTCTTAAGACCTGCTCGTGGAGCACCAGAATCACCACTAAAAACTATTAAAACTACAGATTCTGAGATCTCTTCTAGGCCTATCATACACCATCTATAGGCGATGAGGTCTTAGAATCTAATTTTGTAAAGCTTCTGGGTGATTTTGGTAATAACTCAGTTTTAGGACCAATAGCCCGTGGTAACTCTCCTTTTGTTAATCCCAGGGAGAATACTGTTTTCACCATCATCTGGGTTTCCCACAGTGCTTACCATAGGCAGGAACTCAGAGTAGCCTTTCAGTTTCCTTTCTTCCCCCAAGTCCTTAGTTCTAGAGACATGGTATTCCAACGAGGCCTCTTCCATTCTGGCACTGTGTTAATCTAACTCCTTTTCTTGGGCGCCCCCTTCTCTACTCCATACTAAACTTTCATGTCAGCTATTTTAAATGATTACTAAGTGAAGATTTATGTGGTTGTTACCTTGTAAAGAAGTGCTTTCCTAATAAAAATATTTTGCCTTGCTAGGGAAGGATAGAATTTGAAACTCCAAACTGAAGTCTCATTCATAATGGACATTCTGTCTGTTTCCCTTGTCCCCTGTGAAGAAATATGGTTTCTTAAAAATTCTGATTATCAGAATTTTTACTAGTCTTAACCCCCCATGAAAGTATATGGCATCTCATAATTTTACCATAATATGCTTGTTTGCTAGAAATCCCACCAATGTAAAGTCTGTACCTAAATGATTATTTATTACTGGTTATAAGTAACTTGACAAGTCTTGATATTAATGTTACATTGACTACTTTTCATAGTATGTTTGCATTGATACAATACAGTTTTTCATGCATAAGCACACACATGTGTGCATATGTACTTATAGTTTTTGCATGTTTAAGCCTTTAAGATTTGCTCATTAGATGAAATAAACCAACTTATAAAACATTTCCAATTGAAATTTGAACTCTAAATTACTACTAGTCCTGTTATAATCCTACACATGTATTTATTTAGTTTTCTAGGAGTTGTGTATGGAGAGTACAAGTTCTGGTCATGATTAGTTGCAGTTGCTTCTAAAAATCATTTATAGCTTTTTTTTAATGCAAAAGAAAAATACTTATAGTCATTTCTTCTTGTACATGCATTTTTGATTACTTTCAAACTAGTTTTAGATGTATGTACTTCTGAATCATCTATAAATCTTTTGTATATTTTTCTTCTCTCTTGTTTTCAATTTATTTGAGGCTGCTGGAGGTACCACATCCCATCAAGTTAGTTTCTCCTATTTTAATGGATTTAATTCGCTCCTTAACAACATGGAACTCATTAGAAAGATCTATAGCACTCTGGCTGGCACCAGGAAAGATGTTGAAGTGACTAAGGGTGAGTGAGAATATATCTGAATTCTAGCCTGCAAGTATTGTGGTGTATTATTATTAGGGTGAAGAAGGCAACTAGTACTTTATTATTTTTCTATCCCATTGACACATATTAACTATATGATAACGTGTGTTTTTCATCCTTTGATCAGACAAACAAAAGCAAACAAAACAATCTTCACCAAGTTTTAAACAAACTGGGCCCAGCTTGGTGACTCACACCTGAAATCCCAGCAGTTTGGGAGGCCGAGGTGGGTGGATCACCTGAGATCAGGAGTTCGAGACCAGCCTGGCCAAGAGGGTGAAACCCTGTCTCTACTAAAAATACAAACATTAGTCGGGTGTGGTGGTGGGCACCTGTAATCCCAGCTACTTGGGAGGCTGAGGCAGAAGAATCGCTTGAACCTGGGAGGCGAAGGTTGCAGTGAGCCGAGATCACGCCACTGCACTCCAGCCTGGGCAACAAGAGCAAAATGCCATCTCAAAAATAAATAAATAAATAAATAAATAAACTGAAGACACCCTTTGAATAAGGAAAACATGTAAAGTTTCTTAAATATTTTCAAATCTTGCTACAGCTTGAGCTAAATTGGCAACCTCTAAGGAAGCCTTCAGGTGTATATGAGGAATTCCATAAAGTTGCATTGGTGACAGTGTAAGTTGGTCTGTAGGCTTGGGACAGGATATTATCAGCATTGTAATGGGATTAAGAAAAAAAATCAGAGCCGGTGCGGTGGCTCATGCCTGTAATCCCAGCACTTTGGGAGGCCGAGGCGGGCAGATCATGAGGTCAGGAGATTGAGACGATCCTGGCTAACACGGTGAAACCCCGTCTCTACTAAAAATGTATATATAAAAAAATTAGCAGGGCATGGTGGCACACACCTGTAGTTCCAGCTCCTTGGGAGGCTGAGGCAGGGGAATCGCTTGAACCCAAGAGTCGGAGGTTGTAGTGAACCGAGATTGCACCACTGCACTCCAGCCTGGGCAACAGAGCAAGACTCTGTCTCAAAAAAAAAAAAAAAAAAAATCAGAATTCCCTTAGGAATTCCACACCTTCATTAATATAACCACCTAAATTAATATAATTAATAATCCTAATTTAACCAGTTAATTAGATTAATATAACTTCCCCTCCTGGGACCTATGCATATGAAGTTTCATATATGATTCCTTATTTTCTCTGATTGGCAATTTGAATAACATCAGATGACCCCAAGCTTTTAAACTGTATATTCAAGAACATATTCTGCACACGCTTTCCAAATGGATGCAAGAACTGCAAAAATTCTTACCTTATTTGGATTGACTTGAATTCTACAACTGATGATAATAATAAAGTTTTGTGATGTTCACTCATTCCAGTGCCTTGAGTTAATGCTGAATTTAGTGGCTATTTCTTCTTGAATCTTTCCCTTTTAACTTTTCTTCCATACAGAGGAGTTTGTTCTGGCAGCTCAGAAATTTGGTCAGGTTACACCCATGGAAGTTGACATCTTGTTTCAGTTAGCAGATTTATATGAGCCAAGGGGGTAAGTTGGCTTTTTTTTTTTTTTTTTTGGAATTAGCTTAATAAAAGGAGGTTAGGAGGAGGGCAGCAATCAGGAGAAAAAGAAGCCAAACTGAAGGCTATACTGAAATATGAGAAATGAAAAAAGGGATGTTTTTAAATTTTATAATGTAAATTGTAATAAATTGGTATATTTGTTGCTTGTGTTTGTTTTTCCCCTACAGACGTATGACCTTAGCAGACATTGAACGGATTGCTCCTCTGGAAGAGGGAACTCTGCCCTTTAACTTGGCTGAGGCCCAGAGGCAGGTGAGCAAAGAGGAGCAAACTTGCATTCTGGGGTTTCCTTAGCAGGATACCCCAACCCTGTTCCACTTGCAGTTGCCTTTGCGGCATTGGTATCTGACTTAACCATTTTTCTGTTTTGCACCAAAACTCTCGATAAATTTTAAAGGCTGTAAAGAGAAATTGCTTAGAAATGGTGTGATAAACAGGTATTTGGCATTTGCTCATTTCTTGCTAAGGTGGAGTGATTTCCTAACTGCACCAGAAGCCTAATGCTCCGAAAACATGAAGGAGGTCTTTTCTCCTTTCTTGAAGTCTCATGTTGAGAGATGTAGCGAAAGAATCCCGTGTTGGTGTCACTGTGCCTGTCGGCAGCTGCACGTTGCTAAATGAAAGCCGTCTTTGCTCTGTGGAGCAGCCCTTCATCAGCGCATCGTCTAACTGCCATGCCTTCCGTTTTTCTGAATATCAAAATGAGATAATTTTGTTTAGTCTGGAGTTACAGTTTAAAGGCTTTCAGACCTATTTTCTCTGTGAAAGGATTCATAAGTTATATGGAAACAATTTTAGGAATGCTAAATTTTATTTTATGGTTAACAGAAACCAATCTCTTGAAGTTGTGGGAGTCAGAAACTTAAGACATGGAACTTTCTCCTTTAACTCTTACCCAGCTTTCTGTAGATCAGGATTAGAGAAGAAAAGCCTTCATAGCATGTGTTAGTAAAATAAATGGTGTTTGTAAAATAAATCCACTCACAGGCGAGTGTCGTTTTTAGAAAAATTTCTCCTTTTAGGCAGAGCCATCTCTGAATCCTGTGAGACTTCGCAGTTTCTGGCATGGAGCTCTGGGTTTGTACAGAGACGCCAGTGTGACCACAATGGGTTGCTGCAGGCTACACTTTTAGGACTGTCAGACCTTGAGCCAGGGCCCCCTTCTTTTAGCTCTTTCCCACCCAAATGCAGCGGTGAGTTTTGTGTGCAGCATGCAAGTCAAAGTAGTGGGTGTGTGCTCAGTAAATTCTAACGAGCACCTCTGGAAAACCAGCTGGCCTTGCTTAAAAGAGGAAGCCGATTTCTCTGAGTGCAGGAGAAATAACTATAATCACGTGTAGAGGTGGAAGCAACACTGCTCTCCCTTCCCTTTGATTTTTAACACTGCTTAGGAGATGATTATCTCTTCGTCTGTATGCCACCAGCTATTGTAGAAATTTGGGGATTAAGAGAAGCAGAGAAGTTTTTTTTAGATCCCTCCTACTCTTCAGCTGGCAGCGGCTTCCCACAATTTTTCCTTTAAGCTCTTTGCAGCTTTTGAGAGTTTATGATGGGTGCTTGTTGATACTGGCCATGAAAGGGTTAGACCAGATTGATGAGATTTATAGCAGGAAATGATTCGCTGCCGCTTAGAGGTTTAGAGCAATTCACAATGGCCTTACCTGGAATAGGCTTTTTACTGCATGAACCCTAGTGGGCCCGACAAATTCAAGCAAGGGAGGTCGTCCACCTGTGGGCACAGCGCTGCCTGTCCAGCACTGTGCAGCACTTGTAGCATTTATCCTGGACAGAGGAGTGAAGGAGCAGAGTTTTGTCTCATTTCAAGAACATGCTACAGTTCTGGCTTTGGAAAAGTTAAATAAAAGTCTAGGATTTCATTTGTCTTTTAGGAGAGGAATTAATGGTGGTGGTAGGTCCCTCCTCCCCCCACCCTCTATAATTTTCAGAGTATTTTCACTCATTATTTTGATGCCAGAACATTTCTAAGTATTGCATATTTATATCCCTGTAAATAAAATATTGCTTCTCTTTTGGATGCATCTGTCAAAATGAAGGTACTATTGATTTCCATCTATATAGGGCTACAGTTGGAAACAACTCATAGAATTTGCAAAAGAAATGTTTTGTATCTTAAAGAGGCATATTTCTATGTAAAGCTATTTTCAGTTAAGTGACTTTGAAGGAGATTCCAAATGATCTCATTGTATTAGAATTGTGTTACATTGACAGCAACTAAAATTCAGTGGGTTGATAGCTGGGGTTGCTGATTATTTTCATTGTTCACTGATTTTAATTATCATGGATTCTGAAAAACAAATTTTATTGAATGTATGTATTCATTCAACAGGTATTTATTAAGCACTGACTATATGTCACCCTCATTTGACAACTCTCTGTGACATAAAATTACTGTTTTATTTATGCAGACAGAGAAGTGCAGCACTCTGAAATGTTCTGGCATCAAAAACACTGTGAGGATAATAGGTCAAAAGAACCAGAAAACAATGACTGACTGACCTGAAGTATGAATTTAGAAAAGATGGACAAAAAAAGAGAAAAAGTAACGATCAACTGTAATACAGCCACCTAGTTTTAGCTACTGTAAATGTTTTGAGTATCTCTGGGTGGTAGGGAGGCAAAATATTAGTATTAATTTTATATGCATATATATGTAAACCTCTTACAAGCATTTTTAATAAAAAGTGACATCATTTTGTATATAGTCTTAAAAATTGTTTTTAAAAAAATTACCAGGAAATAGGTCAAACATTTAAATAGGTACAAAGAATCATATGACAAATACCTATCTACTTACCATGCTCTTTTTAGCCTATGTTTTCTTTTATAATTCCTTGTGAACATTTAATATCAAATATTCTTTTACAGTATCATTTTGAATGATAGGGTTTTGTTTTAAAGTTATTATTTTTAAAGGCTATAGTCCTCCGTTATTGGACATTTAGAATATTTCCCAAATTTTTGTTCTTTTTGTTTAAAGAGCAAAAATTTGGGAAATAATCGAAATTTCCAATAAGTACTACAAATGTTTTTTAAGTGCTACATTCTTGTAGCTTGTTACATGCATGATTATCTTCTATCCTAACTTTTTTCTTTTTGAGACGGAGTTTCACTCTTCTTGCCCAGGCTGGAGTGCAGTGGCGCGATCTTGGCTCACTGCAGCCTCCGCCTCCCAGGTTCAAGTGATTCTCCTGCCTCAGCCTCCCAAGTAGCTGAGATTACAGGCATGCGCCACCACGTCCGGCTAATTTTTTATTTTTAGAAGAGACGGGGTTTCTCCATGGTGGTCAGGCTGGTCTCGAACTCCTGACCTCAAGTGATCCACCCACCTCGGCCTCCCAAAGTGCTGGGATTACAGGTGTGAGCCACTGCACCCAGCCTATTCTAACTTCAGAGGTTATGTACATTTTAAGGGTTTGGGTGTATATTACTAAACATCTCTCTATTTATGCTTGCTTTAATGGCAAATTTCAGAAGGCTTGTTATCAACTTTTGCCAGGCTGGGTATTGCCACTTAAAACAAAAACAAAAATACATACAAACCAAAAACCTGCCAATTTGATTGATGAAAAATGATGTCTCATTGATGTTTTTATTTGCTTTATTTACTTTATTTTATTTTATTTTTTTGATACAGTCTCACTCTGTTGCCCAGGCTGGAGTGCAGTGGCGCGATCTCGGCTCACTGCAAGCTTCACCTCACGGGTTCACGCCATTCTCCTGCCTCAGCTTCCCAAGTAGCTGGGACTACAGGCGCCTGCCACCACACCCAGCTAATTTTTTTCTTTTTTTTGTATTTTTAGTAGAGACGGGGTTTCACCATGTTAGCCAGGATGGTCTCAATCTCCTGACCTCATGATCCACCCACCTCGGCCTCCTGAAGTGCTGGGATTACAGGCATGAGCCACCGTACCCGACCTATTTTTATTTTTGAGATAGAGTCTTGCTCTGTTGCCGAGGCTGAAGTGCAGTGGCGTGATCTCAGCTCACTGCAACCTCTGCCCCCTGGGCTCAAGTGATTCTCCCTCCTCAGCCTGAGTAGCTGAGACTACAGGCACATGCCACCATGCTGGTCTAATTTTTGTGTTATATTATAGAGATGGGCTTTCACCATGTTATCCAGGCTGGTCTTGAACTCCTGTGCTCAGGTAATCCGCCCGCCTCAGCCTCCCAAAGTGCTGGGATTACAGGCGTGAGCCACCGTGCCTGGCCTCAGTGATGTTTTTAACTGTGCATTTTTTTTAATGAGAATTTGAAAATAGGCTTATAACATCATTTTTGTCAAAGGATGGTTTTGATTATATTGAAATTTGGTTTTAAACATTAATAGCACTAAAATCTTTTTATTAATAAGAACTTATGAAATCCATTCCTACTTTTTTCCTTGACATTTTAGTTGTATCATGGATTTAGAACCCAATGAGTAATGTTTAAAGTTAATGTATGGTCATTTTTGTTTTATCTTCTTTTCTGTCACCTGTTTTCCTGCTCTCTGATTCCTGTGCATGCAAAGCAGAAGGCCTCAGGTGATTCAGCTCGACCAGTTCTTCTACAAGTTGCAGAGTCGGCCTACAGGTTTGGTCTGGGTTCTGTTGCTGGAGGTTAGTCATGGATGAGAGAAAAATTTTCACTTTTGTTATTCCTATTCTCTTTTCTCTGATTTTCCATCTTGAAATGTTAAAGGACAAAGTCTTCTCTAGTCTTTCCCAATGCCAGTTATCAGTTTCTACCTGTGAGGTAGGGCAAGAGTAAAGGGAACTCTTTTCCCATACCTGCATGTGATCAGGGACTTACAAGTGGCATTTTCCTCTATCTACAGATCAGGCCTTCCAAAGACAGGTTACTAATGAGGTTGGGCTGTAGCAATGTGCCTTAATTTAAAATATCTATGACATCCTTTTATTAGGGGATACTTGAATGAAAACCCTCAATTGTTTATTAAAGATATAAGAAAGGTAGTACTGTTTTAAAATCTGTATTTAAAATTCAAAACACATTTCTTTTCTCAGTCTTGTCCTTGACTTTAACTACCTTCTTCTTTCTTCTGACCTATCTTACTTTCTTCTGAGATAATGATATTGTTTAATTTTAGCTGTTGGAGCCACTGCTGTGTATCCTATCGATCTTGTAAAAACTCGAATGCAGAACCAACGATCAACTGGCTCTTTTGTGGGAGAACTCATGTATAAAAACAGCTTTGACTGTTTTAAGAAAGTGCTACGCTATGAAGGCTTCTTTGGACTGTATAGAGGTTAGTGCCACATGCTCAATACCTGTTAGGTGAAATAACACTCAAAGGTTTGGTTTCTCATCTTAGTGCCTGACATGAATTAGCAAGACTGCGTTAAAATGGAAATACAGCAGATTTTCAATTATCCATGCTAATGGGAGTAGGCTGGAGGCATCTAGGGCTTGGCTAATCAAAACAGCCCATAATCTGAAAATTATTTATAGTGCTCTGTTGTATGTTTTATTTCTTAAAATAATAAATTATTTTTATAAGCATCTTCCGTGAATTTTTGAAAGGCTCACATTGTTTGCATCCTTGAAGTACTCTATTCTCCAGCTAACAGGGAAAGGTATTCTGCCACCAGGACAAAGCCTACTCAGGATTCATGATTTTCCTGGAATACACCACAAAAAAGATAACGAAGGGTTCAGTAGAGCTCTCTTTTGCTGCTTCATCCTGAATTAAAGTTGCCCCTTTTCTTCATCTGACTCTCAACCCAATGGAGTTGATTCACACACCCCTCTAGCCAAGGTTTCCCCCCACTGAGACAGCCTGAAACAGGTAATCCTTCTTTCTCCACCTTTTCCTTTAACCATCTAAGGTTCATTAAGCAATGGAAGTAGTAGCAGAGAGTATGTCATCACTGATGGAAAGGATCCCACAGACCCTGACTGCTTTTCCACTGGCATTGGCCGAAGGAGACTTCTCAACTGTTCTTTCGGGGATTGCCTTCTACGAGAAGGAAACAGTGTTTCTGCATCAGTTAAAATACAGTATCACAAGGCAGTTCAAACTCAGCTGCTTTATAATTTGGCAGCGGCAAAGCTGGCAGAGTTTTCCCTCCTCTCCCCTACTAATGCTCTCTCTAGATGAAGAAAACAGTATTTAGTACTCTGCTGAGGTGGACGGTGAAACTGGCAGACATGGAAACCTGTGCCTCTGGGCCTCTTCTGCCATCTGCTGACTCTAGTCTTCAAATTAATTACCCCAGTTAAAAAAAACAAAAAGGATAAACCTTTCTTGAAACCTCTCACCTTAGAAGCCAGAAAGTCTCAAACTCCAGAGAAGTTCCATTTTGCAGGTCCTATTGTGTAGGTAGGTAGCCCCCATCAAAGGCCTTTTGATCTTTGCTCTGCCCTCTTTTCCTTATCCCCTGCCTCTTCTTACAATTTGGAAGGTCTTTGACCTCAGGTGATTGATGATGACCCTTTCAGGGTCACTGCCTTCCATTTGAAATGCTTTTCTTCCCTGATGGCAACAACTTTGCAAATGAAATGGCTTCCAAGTAGTACAAGGTTAATGTCACAGTTCCTATTCTGCAGTGAGTCAGGCAAAATTGGCCGCCTTACCTGTCCATATGGGTGGTTTTTGGAAGGGAAATCTCGAGTCTCAAGTCTGGGCAGACATCTGAGCATTGCTTCATAAACTACTTTTTGGGCTTTTCTTGGTATTAGATTAAATGTCAAGGATGCCTTTAGAATTGTAAGAATGCTTCCCAACACTGCTCAGTGTCTTTAATTTGCTTAAGTTGATTTTTTATTTTGAGTCCTTTTTTCTCGATCTTTGACCATACCTGGCAGGTCTGATTTTTGGTTACGTCTATATTTCCCTTTTGCAACCTGTACTGTTGGCAACTAGAAGTGTGCCTGAGTACTGAGTGCTGAGCTAATGTGGGCTATGCAAAGAGGCTTCCACTCTTGCCGTTTCAGTTCTTTTATCTGTAAGATGAGAGTGACTGCTTTTAACTTCTCAGAGGAGTAGTAAGTCAATATATTAGGTACAGACAGAGGCTCACTGTAAACACCCAAGTGGCAGCTCTTCACCCTTTTCCTGGTTTAGAAATGGCCATTTATCTTTGGGTGCCCCAACCTTAAGGGCAAGAGACAGAGCTGTCTGTCAGGATGATGAGTAGAGTGTGAATATAAGATTAGTTCTAGGAGTCACCTGTGTTCATTTCTTCCTGATATCTTTTCTGGTAAACCATTTTAAAACAAAAAATTTACTGTAAAATTTTTGTTTAGTCCCATTCTGTAATTTGGATCATCTTGAGAGCAAAATGATGACTGACAGTTCAGGTTAAAATAATAATGATACATAACTTTGCCATGAAAATGACTTGTTCCTATTCTTGATTGGTCAGGGATCAGTTCTCTTTAGTTTCTTGTACATCATCAATAATTAATAATTGTATATAACTGCATATTTGTAAGTGCTTATTGGGTAAGAGAGATCAGATGAAAATGTAGGTAACTCATGGTTATTGTTGTTAATTTAAAAAATTACAATATAAGTAAAAAAGACCTGACATATTTCTGAGACTCAGTATTATCACCTTTATGTACAAAGTCACATTATGAAATACCTATATGTGATTCTTTGTACATTTCTCATAAAATGTAACTTTATTTTAAAATTATATTATTCCAGAGGAAAACTGTTACGTTTAAATTAGGAAAATATAGTATTGCTGCTATTAATGCTTTCACCTAGCAATATTTGAGAAGGTATCAGAGTACATCTTTAATTCATACATGTTTTTAAATATTGAGCATAGTTTTTAGTATTACAGAATTTTGCTCAACATGTAATTTTTCTCTATCAAGGCCTATGTAATTGCTCATATTTCCTGAATGAGATAATTTGGGAATGTTGCAGTTGTAAGATCTTTCTCCTACTTTAAAATTACCTTTGTGTATACTTTGAAAAAAGTTGGCATCTGGCCTCAAAGAAGGTGTTTTTGTAGCATGCGATCTTATTATGAGGTTAATAAATATCTCTTTTTCTTATAACAAGAATATCAGAAGCTGTTTTTGCATTTAAAAGCCTTTCCCTGTGGCATTAGAATGAAGGTTATTTTAAAAGAACTCTTGTAGTGCTCCACCACAAGTTTTGTTCTTTGCCTCCCCCGCAGCTGGCTGCATCAGAATAGTTGTGGAAGTTGCTTGGTAGTCATGAGAGAGTGCCTAGCAGTGCTCTTCAATAGAAATATACCTCAGAGAGTCATGAGAGGTGTTGTGAGTTGGTTAATTCCTGCTCTCCATGTATTGGTATAACTCCGTTTTCTTTATTTCCAGGAGCCTCTCTCCTATTTTTGTGTAAGTTTTAGTTGCTGGAAAAGAGCTCCTTAAAAATCCCATGAGTCTGGCTCTGCAAACCTTCTCTACAGTGCAAACTACTTTTTTCCTAACAAGAAAATGGCAAATTTTCCTAGTTTGTTGTTGTTGTTGTTGTTGTTATTTCTGAAAATCCAACCCCCAGGCCAAGCCTGTCTGTATTAAGGGAAATCACACCTGAGATAATCCAGGTCTTCCTGAAGTCACTTTTAAAATTCTTTCTCTGTTTCCTCCCCAGTCTTCAGAGTGATTTAATGTGCTCAGGTATTTGAAATCCTTAATGAATTACCTGACAACTTGTTTGGTTTGAATGACTGGCATAACCAAATGAATCAGTCATTGGCCTGCTATAGATCTGGCGTATTAAAGAACAACAATTGATTGGGTAATCATCCATAATTAAATGCTCTTAATGTTCCAGGAATAAATAATTTCTGCTTTTAAACTTTGTTGCAGTCTTCTCTCTCAGATCTTTCAGGTGATGAGATGAGCAGCCTTAGACACTGGAAAATGTTTTGGGAGAATCTTGGGGAAAAAGATGTATTAAGAGAAATATGGCCGGGTACGGTGGCTTATGCCTGTAATCCCAGCACTTTGGGAGACCGAGGCGGGTGGATCACCTGAGGTCAGGAGTTCAAGACCAGCCTGGCCAACATGGCCAAACTCTGTCTCTACTAAAAATACAAAAATTGGCTGGGCATAATGGCGGGCCTGTAATCGCAGCTACAGGCTGAGGCAGGAGAATCGCTTGAACCCAGGAGGATGCAGTGATCTGAGATTGTGCCGCTGCATTCCTGCCTGGGAGACAAGAGTGAAACTCTGTCTCAATTTAGAAAAAAAAAGAGATAGAAATCAGGGTCTATCAGAAATACTTCTTAGACGAAAATTTTTGTTTCTATTGATGGGAGAAGCCCTAAAGAAAATCTCCCAGAAAGAGTAATTAGATCATTTTATGAATTAAACTTAATTTAAGCAGTGCTTAACCTTTGAGGAAATTGGCAAAAAAAAAACCACATTTTTTAATCAGCCCATTGATCCAAGCTTGCAGAGTTGTAAATATTTCTATTTCAAGTTGTCTGTGTAGTGCAAAGCAGTCATCTTCCATCCTGGAATGTTCTCAAGGTGACATCTAGAGGATGTTGTGGTGATATCTCAGGGAGTTATTGATACTTTTATATTGCAGAGGGAAGTTTTGGCAGGCAGCTAGTTTAAGCCAGGTCCCTTATCATTGATGGTACTATAAAAGGGAGTATCCAGATTCTTTAGAATCACAGTGAGATTCTTCATTCTTGCATAATTCATGGGGATAAAATAAACTTTAAAATTCTGGCACCAAAATAAAATGATTGAAATTTCCATGACTGTTTTGCATTACTTAAGAACACATGCATCTTGAAACAAACCATAGTTAATCTGTGAACTGCACTCATGTCCATCCATGTCCACCAAAACTTTTAATGATTGCAAAATGGATAGGTTTGAGTCTTTATTTTCTTGGCCAATTTCTGCACGTTTTCATTTAGAGCATTAAGCTATAAAAATATCAGAAGACATGTATTTGGTTATAGGAAGCCACATAAGAATGAGCAGAAGATTTCAACAGATCATTTGTTGGGTTAGCCAATCTCCAGAAATCTACAGTGAGCTAACTTTAGTGAGCACAGGGCATTGTAATCTGAGACTGAGGCGACACACACTGGATCTAAGGTGGGTGAGAGAATTGTTAGAGACTTGAGAGTGCTACAGTAACAACTGATGACCTTAGAAAATTGGAAAAATATGACAAAAAGATAGACGTGTAGGTATCCTAGAGAAGAGGTTAATGAATGAATTAGTTCCACACCTCAAAAATGATAATTTATAACCAGCTACTGTTGCTGAGACTAAAACAAGGGAGATAGATTAAACCTCAGTAGGAGGGAAATAGTTTAGATAGAAGAAAAGATAACCAGGATCCTGAACGTTCTCATGTACTATGGTGAAAAACTGCAGGAGTATCTGATCGTTTTCCCCAATTCTCTTTACTTCTAGAAAGCCCCAGAATAGAGGAGTTGAGGAACTGATTTTTTTCCAGACCATAATCATAATCACTTATTTTATGTTTTAACACTTTGTCTCCCAAAGGCATCCTGAGCCATAGCTAAGATAACAGACAGTGCTTGAAATTTTGAGTGTAAATAATTTAACCTAGATAAACTGGCATTTAAATCTTCATTTCTGCATTTGTCCCTGGCTATTTCCCCAGCTCCACTGTACAGCCACCTTGGGGTAGCAGCCCAAAGAGCCTGTCAGAACTGGGTTGTAATGAAGGCTTTGAAAGGCGATAGTGTAGTTGGGAAGGTGGAAATGCCTCATGCCTAGGGGCAATCTGAGTCAAAAGCAGACAGACAAATGGGAGGAGGAGGAGGGAGGAAAGAATGCTTGAGCAAGTGAAGAGAGAAGGGCATGGCAACAGGAGCAGGAATAAAAAGCTCTAAGGCAGGGCACACAAAGTGCTGATAGCTGCAGAATGAAGGTTAATCTGATGTTGAAAGCAAAGGGGTTTCTCGGGGAAGATAGGGACAAGTGTTCTGGTTTCAATAGTGAGGTCAGAAGGGTAAGAATTTGACATCGGAGGGGTTGCTACCAGGTGGAAACTAGATAACACAACAGTGTGCTGGCTGTGGCTTCAGCTACAGGAATAGGGGTGTCTTCTGGATTAATTTTTCCTTCCAAAGTTTACTGCTCGTCTCTGCCCTGAATACCTTCTGCCCTCTATTAGATGCTCTCAGCTGTCTTTCTCTGGTTTGGGCTGGCCCCTGTCTCAGTTCTATGCTGAGATAGAACTGGTAACTACTGCCTTAGTTACCAAGTTTCTTCCTTGGTAGTAGCCCCTCCACCTCTGTGGTCCTGCTAGCGTTGCCCAGCGTGGTCCTTTGGCACCCTGGCCACTCTGGGTTACAGTAGCCGCTCAGCGTGGCTTCAACCCACTCCTGACCCTGCGCCTTCTTCCCAGTATATTCCTGCTCTCACTGGTTCACCAGGTTATAACCTACAGCTTGGCTCTGACATTCAGTGCCTTCGAGGTTTTAAGGAGTCTAATATTCACCATCTGTAGAGACGGGGGAAGCATGATGTGGATGCCTGCTACATGGGCACCATCCCTTTGTTGTGTACAAGGGTCAGGCAGGGCAGGGTGCTGACCCAGCCTGAGCTGAGGCCTAGAGAAAAGTTTCAGAACAGTCTAGTTGGGAAGAAATGCCTTTCCAGGGCAGAGGAGGAACTTGGAGCAGTAAGTCTGTTAGAGAAAACTGGTACCGCAGAGAATTAAGGAGCACAGAGCCCTGATTTGAGAGTACTGGCAGGCCTGAATTCAACTTTGAGTGCTACTACATAGTCGCTCAGAAGTTAGTGACTTGAAACAAGCTGCTTAGCCTGTCTGGATTCCAGTTTCCATGAAGGAGGAGGAGGAAGAATAAGTGATAGTGATGATGAAGATCAACAACAACAACAAAAATCCATTTCTGTAGTCTTTACTGTCTGTACTTGGTACTGGTCTGAGGATTTTGTGAGTGTTAACTCATTTCATCTTCACGACTACCCCGTGAAAATGGCATCATGATTATTCCCATTCTACAGATGTGGAAACTAAGATACAAAGAGATTAGGTAACTTGTCCACAATTACACAGCTAACAAATAGCAAAGTCAGAATTGAAGCTCAGCAGCCTGGCTCCAGACCTCGTGTTCCTAATCACTTGGCTCTTTTGTCACCTGGTAGAAATTACATTGTGAAAAGTTGCTTGTCAGCAGAGGTTAAGGATCATTTAAGTTTTTAACTATAATATTTTATTTCAGCTTAATAACATAGTTGAAATGTGTTGTTTTGTCTGTGCCACTACTTTACCTTGCCCAAAGTATACAGGGCCCCTGGACACTTCCAGACCACATGTGCTCTCACTGCTTGGGGACAGCTGTTCTAAGATAGGCATAATGTCATGGGCACAGCATGATACTCCTTAGCTAATGGTGGACTGTGAACATGATTCAGGCTGAATTGCCTCTTGCAAACAAAAGAAATCAAGGCTATGTATTGAAAAGATAGGTAGAAAGAAGCATTATGTCTTTTGGAATACATAACATATGAGGTAAATAGTGTCTGGTTCTTTGTACACTTATTCATATAATTATCAAAATAAACCAATAGATAGTAAGTAGCACCCTTGTTTTGCCAAGAGGGAACCTAGAATTCAAAGAATTACTACCCAAGATCACTCAGTGTGAAAGATGCACAGACCTAGCATTCTAGCCCAGGTCTGTCCACCTCCAAAGCCCATGCCCTAGATTGTTCATTTTGCTGCCAGCCCGTTGGAAATAGCCTAAAATTAGTTTAAATTAGGCCAGCAATATTGAGTTTCTTTCATAATCCCTTCCAACCCTGAAATTCCAGTTATATTTCTAACAGGTTCTTAAGAATAGCATGCTAGCCCTCTAGTTGAACACAGTGGGCCCAGGAACCTCTTTTGGGGATGTCCTGTGAAGCTTGAGTTGGAGACCCCTGATCTGGGCTTGGTCCCCACACCTTCAGCTCCTTGGTTTGCGCAAGGGACTGAATTCAGAGGGGATAGTGTGATTTATATCTCCAACCCATGAAATGTGAAGACAAAATACTACATTAATACTGTACCCTGTAAATCTTTTCTCGCATTAGCAGCCTTCTGGTAGAGTCGAGTTGCCAAGGAAGCATTGCCATATGTGCTGATGGAGCTGAACTAAAAGGAGAAGATTGGAAAACTAACCACACTAATAAATTTCTTTTGAGGCAGTTGGAAAATGGACTGCTGTTTTGACAAGTTAGAAACAACACACACATCCATTCTCTGTTTCAAATGGTTAAAGTGAATTTCCAGGACCCAACAGAAACATCTTATATTAGAAACCTGATTTTTCTGCTGAATTACCCAGATGTCAGATATATATGCACTTTAGACTTAATTGTGGTTGTGATGAAGTGCCTCACCTAGACTCTCTGCTTTAGGCATTACTGGGCTGTGCTACCTCTCCTCCCTCTGAGGTCAAGGTACAAGGAGGGAGTTTGGAATTCCCACCTCTTTGACTTTTCATTGTTTCACAGATCATGACCTTCTTACAAAGACCATTTACCCAAGACTCATGTTTTCAAGGCCCACATCTGTAGTGGGCCTCAGATTATAATCCAGTCACCTTCATTTTCCTGTTTAACCAGACAAGGTAGTCACTACAAGAATGGTTCTTATCAACAACTTCCGTGAGTGGCAGCATCTGGCCTAGGTCTTAGGAATGGATTTGTGCTTTGGTTTTATTCTAAGTTGAAGTTAATCATTTAATATAAGGAAGCTCGGGGCCTCTAATATATTACCTTAAACTCCTAGTTTCTCTAGCTTCCTCAGGTCTCTGCTCTTGCAAACTATCCTTCACCTGCCTCTAGAACTTTTTACTTTTTGAACTTTACTTTTTACCCTAAAAGCCACCCCATGCATCTACAGAATTTGGTGCATGCTCCTTAGTGGGCCTGGGAGAGAAGTTGTGCAGCGTACCAGGTAAGAGCACAGGCTGGAGTCGGACAGCCTGGGTGGAACCCCGTTCCCCCATCAAACAGCTGAGCCACCATGGGCAGCTCCCTTAAAGTCGGCCTCAGTTTCTTCTTCAGTTGCTGTGGATAAAACAAAAGCCACTGTTTAAGTAAGGTATTGTGTGGATTAAATGTGTTCATTCACATAAAACACACAGTACTGTAGTATGTGGATATAGCGAGTGCTCCCCAAATATTGGCTGTTGTCATTATCACTACTATTAATAATATTGTTATTTATTATCTGGTCTTCTGTGATCCAAGCACAGCCTCCAGTGCCCTGACTCCATGCCATAGCCTTAAGATGTTGGTGCCTTTGCACACCAACTGTTTCCTCTGCCTGGGTCACCTTGCCCTCCATTCTGCTCATTGTCTCATCTTTCCGGGGAACCTCTGCTCACCCTTGAAGTCCCAGGGCAAATATCTCCTCTTCTTTGATGTTTTTTCCCCTCCTGCAGGCAGAAGAACTGGTTCTCTCCACTGGGTTCTCATAGTCCTGTGATGCCCCTGGGGTCTGGTATGCAGCACCTGCTGTTGTTAGGTGGTTTGTCCCCCATCTGGCAGGTGGAGACAACTAGCGTTCCCTTTCCCTCTAAACTCTGAGCTTCTTAGCGGGGAGGCACCAGTCTCACTGTGTTCATCCCAGTTCCTCTCAGTACCAGGCAGACAGAGAAGGCATTTGGTAAATGTTTGCTGAACAAATAGCTACTTGTTGCCTTCTTTGTAGTCTTAAATACGGGGTTTTCCCTTCTGTTTTTTGCCGTTCACAATGCATTACTAAATTTATGGTGAGAAGGATAAATTTCAGTAGTTTGAAAGGCTGGCTGAAGTGATTGTATCTAACACAGTAGTCATTAGGCTCTGTGGCCTGTTTTTTTATTAGTCATTTAAAAAGACTGTCACAGGATAGTTATGGAGACAAGAGTTCATCATTTAAATCACAGTGCTTTCAACCCATCCACAATTTTGGTCTACAATTTAATGATGAGAAAAATACATCTAGCAAGTAAATGTTTAACTAAGCATTTTGTTACTTGATGTGAATACAGGGAGAAAGATGAAAATTTCAATTGTGAAGAGGTAGTTTAAACAGGCGTATGCCCACATATTACTAGTAGAAATTAATGTTGTACTTTTATTAGGTAATAACCAAGCCTTCTCCTATTATAGATATCTTACTGAAAGATCAGTGAGTGAGTGTCATGAGTATAGTTTAGGAGAGAATGCTTGCTTTGGATAAGAATGCTTGCTTTGCCCAAATGGTTGCATATTCCCGTTTTTTCTCATATGCTGCCTCAGCTCATTTAAATTCTAAAGAGCACAGCCCCACTCAAGCTAGCAAGAGCTTAGGGGGGCTTTTGATAAACATTCACACAAGAGAGAAAGAAGGTAGAAATCTCAGATCCAAGAGCAGGAGCTGCACTGGAGGCTGGCCTCAGTGGGACCCAAAGGTGATGGGGACAGGCGCTCCCACCTGTGTGCCTTTCATGGGCTATGTGCATTCTCTTTTTAATCTCTATTCCTTTTGCTCCACATTCTCATCTGTCCACCAATGCACTTCCTCTGCTTATTCATGGTTTCTGCTTCCTTGTGATATTAGCACACACGTGACTTCCAATTGGCTGCTTTCCTTGCTCCACCCATGACATCTTTTCATCTTGTTGCTTCTGTGCTAACTTGTCCCCTCTTCTCTAAAGACTGTCAGTCATCCTCCTGGAGAAGGCATCCTAATTGGCCAGCTCTATTTTTGGTAGCAGGCTCAGGTTGCTGAACTCTTGATTTGCGTGTCTTTTAGGTGTTTTACATTGTCCAGTCAGCTGTGGCCCTGGGGATGAAGCAGGCTTAGATGTTATAGTTGCTTAGTGAAGGGCTGCAAACTCAGGACAGGTGAGATGGCTCACACCTGCAATCCCAACATTTTGGAAAGCCTAGGCAGGAGGATTGCTTGAGGCCAGGAATCTGAGACTGGTCTGGGCAACATAGTGAGGGCTTATCTCTTTGTTAAAAATAAAAAATGAGAAAAAACAAAAAGAAGCGTTGCAAACTCAAATGCTGATAGGATCTAGGCAGGTTATATAAGTGAACAAATGCAGCTGGGTGTGTGAGATGCAGGTACACATTTGCACATTAACACAGAGTTGAGTTGTATATAAAGATACAGATTTTTTGAGTAAGATGGCTAAAGCTTGTATCCCAGTCTCACCACTTAACAGCTAGGTAACTTGGAAGAAATTACTTTATCTCTCTATGCCTTGGTTTCCTCTCTGTAGAGTGGTTATGAAGACTAAATGAGTTAATACATTTTGTAAAATGGTACCTGGCACGTAATAAACGTGATGCACTTTTAAAGAAAATTTTCATTAACATCACCATCCTTATCCTTGTTTAATTCCACAATGAAGGACTTCCTCCCATTTTTCCATGAAAACATGAAGCTGTATTCATCTTTTTAGTTTTCCCCCTTTATAAGGCTATGAGCAAAGAAAAAATTTTATCAATTGTGACGATATCAGTAAAGCAATAAAAATAGAAACTGGAGGCCGGGCGCTGTGGCTCACGCCTGTAATCCCGACACTTTGGAAGGCCAAGGCAGGCGGATCATGAGGTCAGGAGATGGAGACCATGCTGGCTAACATGGTGAAACCCCATCTCTACTAAAAATACAAAAAATTAGCCGGGCGTGGTGGCAGGCGCCTATAGTCCCAGCTACTCGGGAGGCTGAGGCAGGAGAATGGCATGAACCCAAGAGGCGGAGCTGGCAGTGAGCCGAGATCGCGCCACTGCACTGTAGCCTGGGCGACAGAGTGAGACTCCGTCAAAAAAAAAAATACAAACTGGCGCTTGTCCTCATTGAGGTACGGGCCTCAAAGCAGGGTGGGCACCACCTTGCATGGTTTCTGTCTGAAGGATGGAGCCTCATGCAATAGAGCAGATGGCTGGGATGTCAGAAAGAGGCCCGGGGTCAGTCAGAGTTCGGTCAGAACTGAGCCCATGAACTGACTGTTAGGTCAGTGTGTTCATTGATCTTTTTTTTTTTTTGAGGCAGAGTCTCGCTCCATTGCCGGGCTGGAGTGCAGTGGTGCAATCTCGGCTCACTGCAACCTCCACCTCCTGGGTTCAAGCAATTCTCCTGTCTTGGCCTCCCAACTAGCTGGGACTACAGGTGCCTGCCACCACACCCAGCTAATTTTTGTATTTTTAGTAGAGACAGGGTTTCACCTTGTTGGTCAGGCTGGTCTCGAACTCCTGACCTCAGATGATCCACCCTCCTCAGCCTCCCAAAGTGTTGGGATTACAGGCATAAGCCACCGTGCCTGGCCTCATTGATCTTTCTTACAAGGAGGTCAGATTATGTTTGAAACTTTTTGTTACTCAATAAAACACACTTATAGGTTGGATACATATGGCATTCAAGCTAGTGACCTCTCAGGCTGCTCCTTTAGGAAGAGAGTGTGGGCAGGGCTGGTCCCTCAGAAGAGGCTGTGAGTGGACTTTCTTACATAGATAAATTAGAAAATTGTACTTCCAATGAAGAATATTACCATGAACCTCTCTCAGTATGACACAGGGTGCAACATGCTCCTACCTTCAGGGTTAGCTTGGTGTGTGTTTCCAAGAAAAAACAACTGTGATTTAATTTTTTTTTCTTTAAGAAGAACAAATGAAAATGATGACATTTTTTAGTTCAGATACGTAGCTCCACTAAATGTTCTAACTGCCTTCCCCAAAATTGGTCCTTGTTTTAGAAAATCAAGTGGTCCACTGATTTAGAAGGCAGAAGGGAAGGAGCAGACTTTGGGGGAATAATGAGATTTCCTATATCACTAATACTGTTGATTTACCCAATGTGCAAACGATCCAGAATGTGAGATGGAATGTACTTGGGACTGATGCGGCTGTTAGAAGTTAGTACTTAAACATTCCATTTCAAATATTCTCATTAAGGGTAATAGCAGAAAATTGCAGCAGAGATTAAGCAGTTTTTAAGTGGTAATCCCCTCTGTAGAACTGTTGATTTGTTTAGTTAATGCTAATTTATTTAATATACTTCTACTTTTTGTTGATTTTTAGGTCTGTTGCCACAGTTATTGGGAGTTGCCCCAGAGAAGGCCATAAAACTTACAGTAAGTCTTTTGAGTTGGTGCTTCTTATTAAGGGATTTTGTACATACTCAAGAATCTAGCAGGTATTCTTATAGGAAACAGCAGGTTTGTTTTCTCAGAGGTGCTAGCTAATTTGAAAGCAGGGGAACTCACCACACACATTTTTTCATTATTCTCCATTTAGCAGTGGACATCCAAAAATGTGATAATAAACTTGAGGACTTTTGGTGGTTGCTGCCATCATTGTTGTCATCACAGCAGTAGCAGCTAAATTCCCTTCAGTATCTACCATATTAGGCACATGACGTATATTACGTTTTACTGGTTTAATCTCAAGCAAAGCATGATCCACAGTTTACGGATAAGGAAACTGAGGCCTATCGGGCTTAAGTAGCATACCTGTGTTCACACAAATCATGAGTGGGAGAACTAGAATTTAAAATCACACTTGTCTGACTCCAGAGCATGTCTTTCTATTACACCTGCTGTTTTTATAGGATTCATGGTTAGGGTGTGTTCTATAAAGCCAAATGTGCAGGGATCTGGGTTCTAGTTGAAGTTGATCCTTTATCAGATTATTTGCCCAGTGCTTGGCTCACATTTGACAGATGGTTGATATTCAGTTTAAGCGTTTGTGGAATATACAAATATTTGCATCACTAAGGCCACAAAGCCCCAGAAAGTAAAACTCTAGCTTTAGGTTGGGCTGCGTAGCTTTGGAGCCTGAAATTCTTCTTTTACCATTTTGTTATGTGACCTTGAGATAGCTAATCTTCTCTGGCCTATGTCTGCCAAAAAGATATGACTGTTTCTTAAAATTTCTTGTACTACATACCATTTTGAGAATATTATATTAATTAATTAATGTAATTTATGTTCTTTGAGAATCCTTGAGGAATTTTTAGATATTGAATTTCTTCTAAGCTGAAAAAGTCTGCTCAGCCAAATTTATCTCCATGATGAGTACTGTTTTAGATTAATTCTTGTTAGAAGACTTGAAAGTGATTTTTAATCAAGCCTTATAAAACAGTTTTAAGTTGTAAGATGTATGTTTTTATTTTGTCACTATTGTCAGTGTGTCTCCCTTCTTAAGCTATTCTAATTGCAGAACATATTTTTGGCTTTCATTTATCTTTTAACTTTTCTCCTGAAACATCAGTGATGCATATATATTTTTCATTTTTTAAAACTATTATACTATTAAGAGTACTTCTCAAACTATTTTAAGATCTGTTAAATTGTGCAATTTATGATTACTCCAATAGACTGATAGAAAAAAATAGCATATATTGACAGATGCATATTTATAAGTGTTTAATGACTTTCTTTATATTTTTCATCAGCTTCTATAAATATTTTTCTTCAAGGTGAACGATTTTGTGAGGGATAAATTTATGCACAAAGATGGTTCGGTCCCACTTGCAGCAGAAATTCTTGCTGGAGGCTGCGTAAGTACCTTTTGAAGCTCTCTTCATTGAAAAGACTTGTTTCACATATATATCACTACCATGGTCAACAGGTGTGGACTAAGGCTTCTGTTTAACCACAGATCCTGCACAAGGGCAGAGTCTACTAGGGCACCTCGGCTTTTCCTAGACAGGCGAACCATTCCAGAGGTGGAAGGGTAAATGTTTCTGACCTTACTGCCTGTTAAGTCATGCCTGTTAAATTCGTCATTGCTTATGGTTTGTTCTGCAATGGAAGTCATTTGTGGCAGAAGTGTTTGGCCTTTGAAAAATCTTTGCTAACCTTTTCTAAAGTTAATTTTTAGTACATTCTTTCCTCATGGCACCCTCTGCTGGGTCAGGCACTAAAACTTGTAGTCTGAAGTCAGCAACCGTAGCTCTCTGCTTGGCTTTGCCTTGCAAGTGGCAGAACTGTTCAAGCTTCCACTGCTTTTGGGAGAACAATGCTGGGAAATAACTGGCTGAGTGTGCGCTGCATTGTCAAAAATGCTTGGAATGATTGTTTCCTTATATGGATGAACAACTTGCATCTTGTTCTGAAGCTCAGCAAAACATTGTGTCTCGTTTTATCTCGTACTGGTTTGTTCATGCGAATGTAAATACTTTAAGTAAATTAAACTCTTATACAAAGACTAGTGTTATTTAAAGATAAGATTGGTTAAATAACAGGCTTTGATCACTCAGGCGATACAATATTGGTTTTTTTTATCCGAACCTATTTCTTATAAAAAAGATGAAGTCACTTTTTTAAATTGGCTTACTCTGGGCAGGAAGTAGTATTCCTAAAGTAATTTTTTTCTTGAAGATCCTTGAATGTAGACGTTGGGCAATGTTTGTGTGGAAAGGGCTTATTGTCCTATCTAATGGTGAATGATGGTTTCTTAAATGTAGCAGGACCTAAGAAGTCCTAGCTCCTGGTATTCTTTAGAGATGGATGGAATTTGGCTACTGCCTGACTCTCTGTTTGATCACTGACCTGTTGGAGATGGGCAGGCAGGATCCCCTTGTTCTGTAACTTTAGGAGCGTTCAGGATGGAAAAAAAGGAGCCTTTAATGTCCTAAATATAAAGGGCACACAATAATAATCAAAGAGAATTTTAGAAGTTGCTCTTCCCCATAACTACTCTCCATTTAAAACAACTCTGTAGTTTCCATTTGAGTAAGTAGGTTTTCTAATTTTTGAGTAGGTATATCCATAGGCTGTGCCTAGCCTAGTCCTTCAGGTTGTTGCAGGGCCCAGGATATAGCAGGGTTTTTTGGTAGGTCAGGTGGGGTTGTTGTTTTTTTAAGTTACATTTTAAACTTTCTGAAAAGATATGATTATAGATTTCTGTAAGAATTAAAATGTAAAATTAATTATGTGATACTACTCAAGATGTTGGCAATCATCATGGCATGGTGCCCAGAGGTTTATTTTCTTTTTAATGAAAGCATTTTGCCTGCACATACCTCTGGGTGCCAAGGAGATTGGTTGTGGCACGTATTTTCTAGGTGCCATCTGTAGGTGGTCTTGTTTTTGCATATGCGGCCGCCCATTTCAAACACAAAGCACATTGGCATCAGAAGTGGTGCCTAGTTATGTAAAGAGATGTAGCCCTTTTCAAACCTGATCTAAACACAGGCTTAAAATTGGAGCCACTTAGGCTTTACAGCTACTTAAAATATCTGTGAAATGAGGTTTGCCATCCTTCATCTCAAAGAGGTAGACAGTGGTCCTTAGCTTTTCAAGTCTTCTCCCTTGCCTTTTTCCCCCCCAATCATTACTTTAAGAAGTAAGAGTTTATTTTCAGTTAAGCAATCCTGTAGGTAGCAGACAACCCAGGTCCCTTTAGATCTCTGAGTAGATGAATGGATGGTTCCATTTTCTGTGTGTGTGTTTGTGTGTGTGCACACGTGCTTTTTTTTTTTTTTTTTTTTTTTTTTTTTTTCAGACAGAGTTTCGCTCTGTCACCAGGCTGGAGTGCAGTGGCGGGATCTTGGCTCACTGCAGCCTCCACCTCCCGGGTTCAAGCGATTCTCCTGCCTCAGCCTCCCGAGTAGCTGGGACTACAGGCACACACCACCATGTCCAGCTAACTTTTTTGCATTTTTAGTAGAGACTAGGTTTCACCATGTTGGCCAGGATGGTCTCAATCTCCTGACCTCGTGATCCGCCTGCCTTGGCCTCCCAAAATGCTGGGATTACAGGCATGGGGCCACCCCGCCCAGCCATGCATTTTTTAAGTAATAGCAGCATCTTTCTTTGCAGGCTTTGGCAAAGTCTTCTCTATAATTGGAGTCAGTCACACACCTTAGAGGGTTGTTGTGAGTTCCACAGCCTCATCTGTCCTATTGGGAATACAAAGGGTTTTGTAAGGTTGTGTCACATGAGCGGTTCCTCATCTTAGTTCATCCAAGCATTGCTAGGTGTTGACTTTTAAGTCCCTGGGGAGCTCACCTTGCTTCATGATTACTGAGAATTAGTACACATGGCTGACTTTTGCACTTGTAACCAAAGCTGCTCATTTCTTTGAACAAGGCTTATTCTGTTTTATGATCTGTTTTCTGCAAAAATGAGGAAAGTATGTAGGGAGATCTTTGTCTCATAACTTCATAATGTTTAGCTAAACAGCCTGTTTTATTGTATATATTTTTTTAGAATGAAAGTGTTAGTAAATTTGGAGGGGAAAAAATGATTGTCACTAAAAAGGAATAAAGTTTATCCCATTTCTTATTTATTATTTTTGATATAATAAAGCCTGTAACTGAAGAGATGAAAAAATAATCTTCTGTTTCACTGACATATGTAAAAGGGCTAACTTTCACGTCTAACTTTATTTTTAAACTCATTTTTTGCATTTGAGATTAGTTTTAGTTTAGAGCACTGTTAAAAATTGACTTCAGTTTTCTGAGCATTTTTATAGATTCACACTTTAACAGTAGTGATATATTCAGCATGTTTTAAGACAAAACTCGATGCTGAGACTGGGGTTTACAAACTCTAAATCTGAAAGAATCCTTTGTGGTTTGTGTTTTCTCCCTAACTTGGGTTTCTGCATTCTAAATTAGGGTTGTAGTTGTGGGAGTTCTGATGGAGACTTGGACCTTCAGTCTTCCCTGCATGAGGTATATATATATATGTATACCTTCTGTTTTTTTCCATCTTTTCCCTTCTTGGATCAAAAACTTGGCACCTTTAGAGGGATGTGATTGAAAATCTGTGTTAGTGACCGTGTGTGTCAGAAGACAGAGGTTCTGTTACCACTAGCCACTTCCAGTTAGGTTCCCAATGATTCTGAAAATTGATGTATTACCTCTGAATATATTGTTTTTATTGCTTTTTTGCTGTTACTTTAAGAAAAAAATAAAAAATAATGTATGTAATGCAATATGATCTGTAGGCTGCAGTGCTTCATTCAACAAAGTAAGTGTATGACTTTTATATATCTAGTGTAATATGCATCTAGGTTGAAATCTTGAGGAGCCTGGGATCTTTAGCTTTTGATCCTTTGATCTTTAAAAAAAAGTCACCAGATAAGAAATACAAGTGGTGCAATGACTAGTTTCAAGGAAGAAATATAAATATGATGATTAATTTATTTGGCCTGAAAATAAATCTAATATTACTAAGAAAGAAAGTCATGAAAGTATGAACATCTGTCTTATAAAGCCATATTTAGTAAAAACTGTTTATATAACAAGAGAAAGTAATAGTATTGTGTAGTAATTTTTGGAAAGACAAATTAACATGTTTTTTAAACTATGGTCCTTTGATAATGGGTCCAGGGTATTTTTTCATTGTGATGCACACATGTGTGTGCGTGAGTGTGCATGTTGTAAATATAATTGGTGTTTATAGAAGTTTATATTCATTTTGACTGCATTTTGAGTTGGAAAAACAGTTTATATGCTTGTGTCACTGGTTCTAAAAGGGACTGGTGAGACTAACACTGTTGGGAAAACATGGAATGAAGAGTAATCTTAATTACACTCCCCTATAAATAAGTAGGACCCTAATGCAGTTTCCTGCCTGATTCCTACCATAATGGTGATTCCCATATGCATGATGTGTTTATGCCAGTTTGTCCAGCCACGTATCAAATACTGTTTTTAAGGCAAGGTTTTATTACTCATCTCATACATTACATTCAGTTGCAGTTAATTTATATTTTGAAAAATTTTGAAAAACACAACAATACAGACACAGGTGTGCCTACCACTTAGATTGGTGACAAACTTGACAGTGCAGTTGGAGGCCCTTAATGTACCTGTCCAAATTGCTTTTCATTCCCTTACCTCTGTCTCCCAAGAGAAAACTCTGTCCTGACAGTGGTGTTTTTCATTCTAAGCATGTCTCTCTACTTTTTATTACCTGTGAATATCCTAAGCAGTATAAATGTTTGTTTTTGAATGCCTCATCCTAACCCAGTGCTCTAGGAACACCTCATATGATTCCCAGATTGATGCCTTTGCATTTTTTCCCATTAGTGCAACTCATGTGCTTTGCTTATCAGAAAATAATAGTAAATGGGAGTATTACATTCAAAGTGTTGGAATGCGGCAGATACTGCGTATGTCTGTTACAGATGTGTGGGTTTCTAGATGGACTTATGGTTGGAACAGTGTATTCATTTAACCAAGTTTTTGGTTACTTGGGGTTTCTCCCTAGACAACAGTCATTTCTTCAGTCTTATGATTTAAACTTATACATGATACTTAGTTTAAAAATGTTAACCCTCCCCACTGCCAGCATACGCTCCCTATCTACCTATCAGCCTGCCTTCCCATCATCCCTCCCTTCTTCTTCTGCTGCCATGGTTCTTACCACCTTCAAACATTCTGTATAACTTACTTATTTTTCATGATTTTTGTTTATTTTCTGTCTCCTTCATGGTAGAGTACAAGTTCTGCAAAAGCAGGGATCTTCTTATTCATTGATGTATCCTGAGGACTGCAGGCATTGCATGGTAACCTGTAGACTCTTTGTAAATATTGGTTAAATGAAAGAATTTTAAAGCTAAAATCACTCAAAAGTGATCTTGTCAATCTTCACAGCCAATCAACGACAAATCTGATAATGGACTCATTTATATCTTTTCTTTAATGTTAGTCAAACCCCTTCCCATCATTAACAATAAAACTTATCACCTGTCTCTCCAAGCCATACTTAATGATAATTCCCAAATCACCAAGAATAGAAAGCATATAGATGGAGATCATTTTACAAAGTGAAAGTGTTCCTTTTAAAACCTTGCCATTCTAATTTTTGAGAATTGCCAACAGGGATGCTGCTGCTTCTTTTGTGTGTGTGTGTGTGTGTGTGTGTGTGTGTGTGTAAAGTTAATCCTTTTGAAAATCATAGCCATTTGTAGTAAAAATAATCACATCTAACAAGAGGCAGTCCAGTTTCCTGTAAAGAACATGGGCTTTTAGTCGGTTTGGGGTCCCAAGGCCTTCACCTGCCAGATGTGAATCAAGGATTAGACAACTTAGTTGACTTCTCTGAGTTGCAGCTTTCTTGTCTATAAAATTTAGATAGCAACTTTCTCTTTCAGTTATCTATTGCTGTGTAACAAACCCCTCCAAAACTTAGTGGTTTAAAACAATAATCTGTTCTTTTTCATTAATGCTGCCTCCTTTCCGTGGTTTCTGTCTCTTTCCCATGGTTTCAGCTGGAGTGGTGAGGCAGCTAGAAGGTCCAAAATGTCCTCACACAAATGGCAATCAGCTTGGAGCTCAGCTGGAGCCATGGCTGGGGGAACAGGTTCTCCACATGGCATATCTGCGTGAGCTTCCTCACACTATAGTGTCAGACTTAAGAAGGTGAGTTCTGAGAGCAGAATAAGAAGCTGAGAAAAATCTCAGGCCCAGTTTTTGAGGTTATGCAACATTAATTTAGCCACAGTGTGTTTGTTAAAACAGGTTATAGGCCAGCCGGATTCAGTGCCAGGGAAAATAATCTACCTCTGAATGGGAGATGTGGCATTGATGTTGCAGCCATCTTTAATGCACCACAGTTACCTTGCCTGATTGTGGGAAAAATTAAATGAGATAATATGTATGAAAGAATTAAATCATGACTTAAGTACTAGTCTTCCTCCTCTTCTGGTGTCTACTTTTTAACTTCTAATATATATATATATGGAGAGAGAGAGAGGATGTTGTGAAAATGAATGTTTTAGTTTGGCTTTTTGGGTGAAGGGGAATGGAATAGGTGTATTGGAGTTTGGATATGGCTGTTGAGGACCTCAGCTACCTCAGGTGCTCCTGAAATCTCTGGTCTTCTTTGTGAACCTGCTTATTTGCCATTTCTCTACTGATTGATTTCCTCTGCTGGGTAACATAGCATCTTTATTCTAAAAATGACTTTAATTTCATCCTGTGTCCACAGTGCATGCCAATCCCAGTTCCAAGGCTTTCCTCCTAACAGGAATGATCTCAGTGTTTCTCCATCATTGAGGAGGAGAAGTGTTCTGATTATCTATTGCTGCATAACAAATAATCTGAAAATTTAGTGGCTTCAAATAGATACTTATTATTATTCTCTCTTGTGGTTCTATGGATTGACGGGGCTCAGCCTGGGAGGGTTGTACTTGGGATCCTTATATGGTTATGGGCTAGTGGCAGCTGGGGCCAGACTCATCTGAAGGGTCAACCGGGATAGATATCCAAGGTGGCTCACTCTTGTAACTGAACAGCTGGGGCTGTGCTCCAGAGCACCTGCTTGACTTCTCTGTGTAGCTTGGTCTTTTCAAACATTGACAATTTGATTCTGAGAGGGAGCCTCCCAAGAGCAGGCATCTTAAGAGTCCTGGGCAGAAACAAGACTTCTTATGACCTGACCTTGAAGGTCACTGCCAGTGCATTCTGATGGTCAGACAAGCCAGTTAGGCTGGCCCAGACTCAACAGGAGAGAAATTAGACCCTACATCGTAATAGGAATAATAGCAAAGGATGTTTTAACTGCCACTGGAGGATTCAGTAAGCTGTGTTGTGGGCTGGGAACATCTTCATTGCCCTTCACCTTGTGAAGGTTTCATAGCCCATCTCATGCCTTCTCTGAGGGTCTGTTGCTGATCCTAGAACCCATTCATTCTCTAGATTGCTTCTGGTAGCAGGGGGCAGAAACTCACCAAAGTTGGAGTTAATCAAATGAAGGTTTACTTTAAGGGTACCCATTAAATGAAACTGAAGGCTCTTGAGAATTGAGGCAGCATTAGGAACTGGCTACTCTCTCCATTTTCTCTACTTGGCCTTTGTCTCTCTCACAGTGACTTTGCATCCCTCTGCACATCTTTTGACTATTCTAATCCATAACTTCTTCTCTTCCTGAAGAATTGGTGTTGACTTTCTCAAGAATTCCCTTCATGTTCTTGCCAGCCACCTAGCCTTTCTCTACAGTAGGAGACAGCCTCTTTTCATCCCTTGCCCCAGCCCCAGCTAATTAGCTTAAGTTGTTCAGTTTTGTTTTGTTTTCCATTTAATTATTGAGAGAGGAAATCTGATTGGCAAACCTCATCTTTGTGCGCCAGGCCATACATATGGCAGCCTTGAGTCATGGCGCCACCCAGATATTAATGACTTTGCTTAACATTTCCATTTGTTTCAACTACCTGTAAGTGTCTTCAAACCTTTCTTGTACTGTTTTGTTTTTAGCTCTGAATTCTGTAAGTTTGCCCTGAATAGTATTGTGTATACTTTGGTCATAAAATATACTCAAAGTCACCATTCCTTATGATTGAACTTGAAATCCCTTAAGATTTCATACTCACTCATATCAAACCAGGAAGAAAATTTCCTCATATAATGAATACATATACTCTGACAATCAGAGCTGATGAGACAGATTGCCTGAAGTGGATTTAAGTCTTACTTCGCGATCTTTTTCTTCCCAGGATTTCCTGTGGATACGTAGCCTCATAGTGTGGTTTTCTTAAGGTAGAATTTTTATTTCACTATGCAAGTCTCTGCACATATCTTACTTATAAATATAAGATGATGTGAGGCTTAATCATTAGGTTGAGTTTTTATGAAGTCACTCTTGTGTGACATGTGAATTAATCAAGATACATTATGCATTATAGTGATGCTATAGCAATAATGTTAATTTTTTTAATGCTTGTATCTTTACAGTCTTTTGTAGTTCAGTGAAAATCTAGTGATTATATTGTTTTCAAATGTTATTATTGTTATTGTTTGGAATATTCCCTGGGAGAACTTTTTGCCTACTCCGCCAAAATGTAAGACCATATTAAAGATTTTCTTGATTTGTACTTGCACTTTATCTCTGCCTTCCATCTCCTCTTGACTTGGAGGGTTGGAGACTGTGTCTGGTATTATATGACCTGCTGTCTTTGTCAACCATGGTCACTGCTTTGCCACTTGAGGAGATCTTCCTTCATAACTTTGTGCTGACAACTAATTGCATCTCACAGACCTTGAGTAAATGGCTGAACTGAGACATCTATAAATATGGATGACAGGGCCTGTGTTGCACTGTTACAGCTGTGTGTCTAGCATTGTGTCTGACATATGGAAGAAACTTAAAAAAAAATCTGTTGAATGAATAAATGCTTGACTACAAGGTGTGGGTCATAGATTTGGAAAGGAAGGGTAGTGACTCTGTATACCATGTTACTATTCATTTAGAGACTGATGGCCAGCAAAGAGGAATTAACTCCAAAAATTAGTGGGAGAGTAGGGGTGCAGGAATTGAGGGAATAGCTGTAACCATGGCTAGGTGTCTGCATATCCAGGATATTTCACAAGAAAGTATTCCATGATCACCCAGTAATAGAACCAACCTTTATAAGGCTCCTATTTATTTTATTTGACTTCATTTCTAAGAATGACAAATAAATAATCCCCAAATATATTCAGAATCTTAAGAACAGGATGAAGATAAACAACTTGGAGCATTTGGTATAGCTTATTTATTATGGCTTGTATTTTAAGTAGAAAAGACTTTATTGAATGACTAACATGAAATTATGTCAGAGTCATGAAGGAATCATAGAAAAGAGGAGCTTTAAAAAAGGAGGAGCCAATTAATAGCCAAAAAAAAAAAAAAAAATGCTAACCTCATGGCACTATCTAAATTGGCAGATTTCTGAAAAGCCAAGAGGCAGCTCCATCGGTTTTCTCAAAAAGTCCTCCAGGCAATGGGACTAAGGCATTGGTCTTGAATAGAGTTCCACTGCTTGCCTACTCCAATGAGAGGCTCTTTCTCCAGATGATTTCAACTTGGACTGAGGGCAAAATTAAAAGAAATATCTGATGGTACTAAGGGCTCATGGGTGCTATAGATTGAATGTTTATTTTCCCCACAATTGCTATGTTTAAACCTAACTCCCAGTGTGGTGGTATTAGAAGAGTGGGACCTTTGGGGGTGATTAGGTCATGAGGGTGGAGCCTACAGTTTGAGATTAGTGCCCTTATAAAAGGGATCCCAGGGAGGTCCCCACTCCTTCCTCCATGTGAGGACACAGTGAGAAGACAGCATCTGTGAGCCAGGAAGCAGTGCTCACCAGATTCCAACTGTGCCGGCACTGTGATCTCAGATTTCGAGCCTCCAGAACTCTGAGAAATGAATTTATGTTGTTTATAAGCCACGTAGTCTATGATACTTTGTTACAGAAGCCCGAACAGACTAAGACAGTTAAGGATAGCCTCCCTGGCTAAGGGCTGCCTTCAGTGGCTCAGAAATGTCATCTTATTAGAGGAAAGTCCAACTTTCATGCTAGACACTGGGCCAGCCAGATACTTCCTTTCTGTTTTTCTCCCTTTACCTTCTCTGGGAAAGTCTCAGAGTTGTTTGACTCAACACAGTTCAAATATTGGGCCATCTTTCTGGATTTCTAGTAAATAGGGAGGAGTTTGTTACGATAGGAAAATCTGAAGAAAGACTGGGCCATAGCTTTCATACAGTTAAGGTACTTTAGACATTGAAGGTCTGTAAATCATTAAACTATTCTGGTAGTAGTAGTCAAAATACACATGTATAACAGGCAGACCCCAAATGTTAACATATTTGACAGGCCTGTAAGTTAATTGCTTTTTAATGTCAGTCAAATGGATTCCACTTTGGTTTCTTGGCCAGGCTTCTATGGGCCCATTAAAACCCCATGAAGCTGAAAACATGAAACTTAATATTTGTAAAACATGTAAACAGAATAGCCTTTTTCTGCCTTACCGTGTGGTTAAGAAATTAGGACTAGGATATTTCAGTTTGGTATCTTTCTCAGAATCCAATTAGAGTAAGAATTTATTTTATTATCTTTTCAATATTGTTAATAATCTAGTAACACATTTTTCACTTAAGAGTTTTATTTTCATACCAAATCAAAAGAAAAAAAAATTCTATATTGCTTTATGTTTAGAGATGTGCATTTGGTCAGACAGTCTAACTTAGTGTATTCGTTTGGTCAGGCTGCCATAACAAAATGCCTCATACCACAGAGCGGGAGGCTTAAACAACAGAGACTGGAAGTCCGAGGTTAAGGTGTTGGCAGTTTTGGTTTCTTCTGAGGCCTCTCTTCTTTTCTTGCAGATGGCCGCCTTCTCACTGTGTCCTCACGTGGTCACCCCTCAGTCCATGTGTCGTCTGTGTCTTAATCTCTAATTATAAGGGCACCAGTCATATTGGATTAGGGCCCATCCATTTGACTTCATTTCTTCTTAATTACCTCTTAAAAGGCCGTAAGTCCAAATCCGGTCACATTCTGAGGTCCTGAGAGTTAGGACTTCAGTATACAAATTTTGGAGAGACGCAATTCAGCCCTAATGCTAGGGTTTAAGAAAAGGTCTTTCTTTCAGTTTGTGAGGACTCAGGTTTCTGATTGCAGGAGGGTGATGATGTATCTTGTGAAGGCAGTGAGCCCAACACACTTCCCTTCAGAGCTCGACAGGGTGAGTGGCCTTCCGACCTCATGCCACCTCATCTTTGCCAGCTTCTTTGTGAGGTTGCTGAATGCCGTCTTCAGCACTTGTGAACAGTTTTGAACAGCACTTGACTGCAATTTGGCAATGTGTTTTAATTTATTCCATCCACTGCTATTTGCTGAATATCTCTTTTTTACCTGTGAGCTCTGCATACAATAATAGTTGGTTACATACAAATTATTTTCATGTCTCTATTTAACATTGAGTTAGTAAGAAAGTAAATGGAAAATATGTTGAACCTTAGATTCCTTTACAAGTCTTTATTTTCTAATTTATTCAAATGTCAAACACTGTCATCACTTGTGTATTCGTCTTAATGAAACATAAATCACTAGACATTTATTACTATATATCTTGTTTGTAGTTACAATTGTGTTTGTGTCCAGATAATCAAAATAATGTATTTGGGTTTAAGTAAAAGTCTATTCTATAACTTTATATTAATCTATTTTTGACACGTGTAAGCACGCATTTTAGAATGTCAGTGTGCAATTAGATATTCTTAGCACATGTCATTTGTGAAAAGCACTTTAAATCTAAGTACATTCAATTGAGCATAATTAAAATATCAAGATACATATTCTTCATATACATTTTGCCTCTTAATTTTTTAAGTAGCTATAAGTATCTACCATGTGAATTCAAATTAAAGGAGGGTGATTAAATTACAGTTATATTTATTGCTTTTAGTTTAAAATATAGTTGAAATTGCGCTATATTAAAAAATATACTGCCATGTTTTCTGTGGACAGCAGACTGATGATGGGTTTAATTTGTTTTAATGCAAGACTATTAATAGTCTCTGAATATTCTCAAGACTGTTGACTAGAATGATTGGGGGTTGGGAGGCGTAAGAAGGCTTGTATTTTTATCTAATGAGTTCTTTTGACTTGACTCCTGAAGTCTCAAGAAAATGTTCAGGAATACTACCTCATTTAATAAAGAAGCATTGGAGAAAGCCTTGTTTTGTTGATACAAATGAAAGGAAATGGATCATGGGGAAATATGAACTGGAGCTCCTGAACCCTTATCCTTTAGATAATGTATTTAGGCTACTGATATTTCCTATCATTGTGAAAATGAGCAGACAGCCTTGGTGAGTCAGTTTTAAGGCACATGTAACTGTTAAACCTACTTGTCCACAACTGTTGGACCTAAAGTATATTATGATTTTAGTGAAGGCCATTGTTCTTGGAGTACTTAGAGAAAATGGGGCTGTACGTTAGAACTCTGGATTGTGTTGCCTTTCTAAAATATTTGATTTCTTAAAATTCTGTTTGTTTGTTTGTTTGTTTGTTTGTTTTCCAAGATAGAGGCTTGTTCTGTCGCCCAGGCTGGAGTGCAGTGGTGTAATCTTGGCTCACTGTAACCTCCGCCTCCTGGGTTCAAGCAATTCTGCCTCAGCCTCCCAAGTGGCCAAGACTACAGGCACGCACCACCATGCCCAGATAATTTTTGTATTTTTAGTAGAGAGAGGATTTTGCCGTGTCAGCCAGGCTGGTCTCCATTTCCTGACCTCAAGTGATCCACTTGCCTCAGCCTCCCAAAGTGCTGGGATTACAGGTGTGAGCCACGGCACCCAGCCCTTAAAAATCTGTTTTTAAAAAATAAATAGCTATATCACTTCCCTGTGCCAAACCAGAAGTGTCAACAATGAAGTCATTATGTAACATGGCAAGAGGGATTCGGGTGGCAAAACCGTAAGGAGGAGAAGAAGAAATCAAGCTTATAGAAGCATGTAGACACTGAGTGAAAGACGCAGTGATAGGAACCACAGTTTGGTTTTTTTGCAGACTAGCCCATTTCAGAGAAGGCGGTATTAGAAGAAAAAACCTATAATTTTACTGTGAGCCGTGAGGACCATTTCACATGAAAAAAAAACAGAGCATTTGGAAATAATGATGCTTCGTATCAGTAGAATGCTGTGCGTTTGAGAAGCTTGGCGCTTGGACTTCATGCTGACATGGTTGTAGTCACAGTCCTATTGCCCTTTCTGGTTGCTCTCAGCACTCCTGGATGCAAAGGTGAATTTATGAAGATCATGGACTTCCGATACAAATTACAGCAGCCAAAACTGTCATATGGAGATGTGAACTTAAGATTGTATTGGTAGATAGGTGAAGCACCCATTGCTCCTATCTTGAAATGACTATGCTATATTTAGACAAAACCTACATCAGTATAATTATTTTGCAAGCCCATTTGAAGAAAATTAAAACTGTCACTAGTTATATATTTTTGAGCCTAAAATATTTCTCACGGCTGGGCATGGTGTATCATGCCTGTAATCCCAGCACTTTGGTAGGCCGAGGCAGGTGGATCACTTGAGGTCAGGAATTTGAAACCAGCCTGGCCAACATGGTGAAACACTGTCTCTACTAAAAATACAAAAATTTGGGAGGCTGAGGCGGGCAGGTCATGAGGTTAGGAGATTGAGACCATCGTGGCTAACACAGTGAAACCCCGTCTCTACTAAAAACACAAAAAATTAGCCAGGCGCGGTGACGGGTGCCTGTATTCCCAGCTACTTGGGAGGCTGAGGCAGGAGAATGCTGTGAACCTGGGAGGCAGAGCTTGCAGTGAGCTAAGATCATGCCACTGCACTCCAGCCTGGGCGACAGACGGAGATTCTGTCTCAAAAAATTGGCTGGGCATGGTGGCGAGCGCCTGTAGTCCCAAGTACTTGGGAGGCTGAGGCACGAGAATCTCTTGAACCTGGGAGGCGAAGGTTACAGTGAGCTGAGTTTGCACTACTGCACTCCAGCCTGGGCGACAGAACAAGACTCTGTCTCCAAAATAAATAAATAAATAAAATATTTCTCAAGGATTCAGATTTGGGGATTTTACTGCCAAGTAGCCTGGCTTTCTCATTATTGATTAACCTACAAAGAAAAATTTGATATATCTGATGAAAATCAGTTATATTGTACCTACAAAAACATCTCTTCCATATTACTTGATGTATTTTAATGTCACTGAATCCATTGGTTTATCTTTATCTCTTAGAAGCTCTTAAAGTCACAGGAATTCTAGTCCATATGATCAGATTAACCAAAAATTCAGGCAGCTACTCCGTTCAAACAGGAAAGAAAAAACTGAAAATGAATTGTTGTATTGAATCTGCTTTTTCACAAGAGACAACTAGGCGTAATGGTTCTGAGCGTGGGTTAGAAATTGGGCAAGTCGCGTTCACATTCTTTTACTACCTTGAAGAGAAGTCTCTGCCTCCATCTCATCTCTAGAAAGATGGGAATAATATAGCTTGTGTCAGCATGATTGGGGGATTGAAGGAGATGATGTCTGTGAAGAGTTTAGCACAGTGCCTCCTACATCAGAAGTGCTTGACACGTGTCTGGCTCTTGCTTCTCCAGGAAGGAGAGGAGGGGAGAAGAGAGAGTTTGCAGGGCCGTAGTTATTCAAGTAGTTACAGCTATCTCTTCTTTCTGGTCACACTGCTGGGTAATTTGTTCTTGAAAAGTGTCTCAAGATGACTGCTCCCACTTAGTAGCTGGAAAATCACATCCTTCCAGAAAGGGATCTAGAGGGCAGACATGGGTGAAGTGTACATTGTTAGAGGGCTGACTGGAAATAATCAGTGCAGAGATCACTGTGGGCAGAGCCACAGCCTTCAGGTCCTATAAAGGGCAGAACGATAGGAATAATCTACTGCATAGGAAAACCAAAGAAAAGAAGGAGGACGAAAAACACTCTGGGGAGGAAAAAATAATTGGGGTTCACTACTGGGATATCTTTCCCTCTGCTAGAAGATCCTTCATACATAATGAATCACAGTTTGGAAATGGAGCCTTTGAAAAAAAATCCTTACACAACTGGTAAGAGAGAAGTCTCATACCAGCCACTGAATTTTTGCAGAAATTTGGGCCTCCCTCCGCAAGTGTACTTTCAGACTCAAATTCCTCCAGCATCCAGGACCTCTTGATTAACTATGTACTCTCAATAAAGAGAAAAAGATGAGACCTCTGGGAAGCAAGAATTGGTAGAAGCTGGGCCTGGTACAGTGGCTCACACCTGTCACCCCAGCACTTTGGGAGGCCAAGGTGGGTGGATCACTTGAGGCCAGGAGTTTGAGACCAGCCTGGGCAACATGGCGAAGCCTATCTCTACTAAAATTACAAAAAAACTAGCCAGGTATGGTGGCGTACACCTGTAATCCCAGCTACAGCAGGAGGCTGAGGCACGAGAATCACTTGAACCCAGGAGGCGGAGGTTACATTGAGCCAAGATTGTGCCACTGCACTCCAGCCTGGGTGACAGAGAGAGACTCTGTCTTAAAAAAAAAAAAAAGAAAAAGATGCTGAAATGTATCAAAACCAGCCTACTCGTCATCCTCTTTTAAAAGAAAAAGATGAGTAAACCATCGCATTACTCATTAGGATGTTACCAGATATGTGAGTTGGTCAGAGGGACTCCTAGCTACAAGTAGAAGGAGTCCACTCTACCATTGACTGTGTGCAAAGTAGCACATTTTATCTACCTTTTTAAGATACTCGGCCGGATGCAGTGGCTCACGCCTGTAATCCCAGCACTCTGGGGGGCTGAGGCAGGCAGATCACCTGAGGTCAGGAGTTCAAGACCATCCTGGCCAACTTAGTGAAACCCTGTCTCTGCTAAAAATACAAAAATTAGCCAGATGTCGTGGCACGCACCTGTAGTCCCAGCTACTTGGGAGACTGAGGCCTGAGAATCGCTTGAACCTGGGAGATGGAGTTTGCAGTGAGCCAAGATCATGTCACTACACTCCAGCCTGGGTAAGAGAGTGAGACTCTGTCTTAAAAAAAAAAAAAAAAAAAAGACACTCAGTGACTCTGTGACTCTACGTATTTGGATCTTTCCATTTATCTAGTCTTGTGCTAAACTTTAAAAATTTCTGACACTTTATAAAATGTGTGTAAATGTGTACTGATATAAGATCCTCTACACGATTTTTTATTCAGAATATTCCTGTCTTCAGACATCTTCAGGAAACCCTGTTGGGGTTTTGTTTAGGAGGATTGCTTTGAATTTAGATTAACTTAGGAAAAAGTTATAATATTTGACTGTTATAATCATTTTTAGGAAAATTTGCATTTTAAATTTATAGCCCAAGTGACGTATTTGCAACATTGAATCTAATGATACTTATTTCTCTTTCATTCAAATGTTTATGTGCCTTTAAAACAATACATTTTTTCTTCATTTTGATCCTATATATTTCATGTTAAGTTATTCTTTATTAATGCCACTTGTAAAAGAATAAAAATATGTAAGATTTCTTTTGGTGTACCAGTTCTATTGTTCTCCTCTAATAAAGATATATAATGTTTTTGAATGTCGGGTCCCCTTTTGAAAAATGCTACAAAAAGTTTGTTTACACTGGTGCTAGTATTCAATACTAATAGAGTGGGCAATAAAATGTTCCTCAGTTCCTGATAATAGCCTGGGTGAGAGTACACATGGCACTGAACTTAGTAATTTATCTTCTACAGTCGTGGGTGCACACAGTGACTCTTAATAGAGAACCCGCTGTGGTGCTGCCTGCAGCTCTGGGTCCCCTGCAGCCAGGTGCAGGTATGCAGCCCAGTGCAGATGTGCAGCCCTAAGCCCTGTTTAAACACATGGCCACCTGCTGTACCTTCTAACCTGTTTTGAGTTGAGGAACAGAATGTGTGAGCCTATGAACTCACCTCTGTGGTCATCAGCTGCTTCATCTTCTCTTCTGTGTTACAGATCACAGTAACTTAATCATAACTTCCTATGGAGAGCCAGAATATTATTTTACTATTGATTCTGAAGGGGTCTTTTGTTGCTGATGTGGTTTATGCATCAGAACTTTAGTTGTTCTTGTGCCAAATTCGATTCTGTTTGATTTTTTTAAATCTCCAAAGCATAAATAGTAAGGACAACTATGATTTGTCAGTTTCTGCTCTGTAACAAATTTATCCCCCAACTCTGTATGTCACTAAAGCAAATGCAAACTCTTCATGTTCTACCTTTCACTCCTCCATTCAGAACTTGTACTGTTATGCGTAAGCACAGCATAATTATCCCTAGTAGTTTTATCTTTTCACTCTCTTCCCCCTAGATATTTTCTCCTTAATTACCCTAAATGAATTGTCATTGTCTCTTGATTGCTCTCATAAACTACTGTCATTTTCTCACTTTCCCTTCCCCTGCAAGTAGACTACACAGCTCTCTCATTCCCCAGCATTCTCGTTCCAATCCTAGGTCACCCCATGTGCTGGACTTTGCCTCCCTGTGTCAGTAGACATTGTTGGTCCTTTCGCCTTCTCACTTCTGGAAGCCCTGTTCTTAACTCTTGTGCCTGGATTGCTGTACCACCGGTGTATAGCAGAGGTTTTTCATCACTTCATGGTCTCTCGCCACTTTCCATTTTTCTTCTTCATCCTCCCACCTTATCTAAACCCCTGCCTTCAGTTATATATGTGGAGTGATGCCCTCATCTGTGTCTCTCATCCCTCTTAACTCACCCTTCCACTGCCTTCTGAATGTGTCATTATTCGTCTTTCCAACACTTTGTTCCTATTACACAGCAAAAACTTGGATCCTTTCTTTGAGCTTACCCACTCTTTTTGCCCTATATTCAGCAGCCAAATCCTGTTGGTCTCTGTTGCATCCATTACCCAGCCACCTCTATTCAGTATAGATATGACTGTTCTAATTCTGGCCTTTTATCACTCACCTAGTCGGCTAACAACCTAATTGTGATCCCTGCCTCAGGCTCTGCCTCCCGGATGAGCCCTCTCCCCTCTGCTCCCTAGGCATCTTCCCAAGGCATAGATAATGCTCAGACCTCTACAGCTCCTAAGCTGTGTTTACCAGCTCTCCTGCTGCTACATAGTCGCACAGACCATCTCCAGAATGCAGCCTGTTCTAGGCAGCATCCTGGACCTTCCATGAGTTGGCTCCAGCAATCTTATTTTCAGCCACCTTCTTTCATACCCCTTCTCCATGCCATCTAGAGCAAAAGGCTGCCATGATAAGAACTGTAAGTGTGCCGCTGGCATCCAGCCACTTGAGCTTGGAATCCAAGGTTCACCTTCCTAGCTGCATGACTCCAAGCATGTTAAATAGCCTCCTTTACTTTTTGTAGCCTCAGTTTCTTCACTGAAACCAGGATTTTATTTATTTATTTATTTTTATTGAGACGGAGTCTTGCTTTGTCACTCAGGCTGGAGTGCAGTGGCACAATCTTGGCTCACTGCAACCTCCGCTGCCCGGGATCAAGTGATTCTCCTGCCTCAGCCTCCTGAGTAGCTGGGATTACAGGCACCTGCCACCATGTCCGGCTAATTTTTTTGTATTTTTAGTAGAGATGGGGTTTAGCCATGTTGGCCAGCCTGGTCTCAAACTCCTGACCTCAGGTGATCCACCTGCCTTGACCTCCCAAAGTGCTGGGATTACAGGCATGAGTCACTGCACCCGACCTATTATTTATCTTATTACTTACCTTATAATATTATGAAGACCAAAAAACAATTTTTTTTTTTTTGAGACAGAATCTCCCTCTGTCGCTCAGGCTGGAGTGCAGTGGCACGATCCTGGCTCACTGAAATCTCCGCCTCCCGAGTTCAAGTGATTCTTCTGCCTCAGCCTCCTGAGTAGCTGGGATTACAGGTGTGCGTCACCATGCCCAGCTAATTTTGTGTATTTAGTAGAGATGGAGTTTCACCATATTAGCCAGGCTTATCCTGAACTCCTGACCTCAGGTGATCCACCTGCCTTGGTCTCCCAAAGTGCTGGGATTACAGGTGTGAGCCACCACACCTGGCCCAAGAATTCTTATAGAACTCTTACCACAATCCCTGGTACTTAGTAAGCTAGAGGAGCCTCAATAAATGCTAGAGGATGATGATGTTGATCTCATCATAATTATCATCCTTATTAAAATTTCGCTTGGCAGAAGTGATGCTGGGTATATTACCCATATAAGTGTGATATGCCCTTGTCACTGTTCCTTTGTGCCTTTCTCTGCCTGGACTACCAAAATCCTAATCACACTGTAGTCCCCAGCTAACATGTTACCTTCTCACTGGCTTAATCACCTCCCAGCCAGGAGAGCTCTTGCCCTCCTTTGAACTGTCATATCAGTTTGTCTGGACCTTGGATCTTATCATATAATTATCTGTTCTCATGTCCCATTTTCTGTATTTATGAGGCATATAGTTACTGAACTCCATTGAAAATCCTTTCCTCTGCTTGCTGGCTATATAGCCCTGGGTACGTTGCTATATTAGTTTGCTAGTGCTACCAAAACAAAATACCACAAACTAGGTGGCTTAAACAACAGAAAATTTATATTCTCACATTTCTAGAATCTGAAAGTTCAAGATCAAGGTGTTGGCAGGGTTGGTTTCTTCTGAGGTCTCTCTCTTTGGCTTGTAGATAGCCGCTTTTTCCCTGTGTCTTCTCTTTTGTGTCCTACATGTCTGTGTCTCAGTTTTCTCTTCTTGTAACAAACCAGTTGGATGGGATTACGTCCCACCCTAAAGACCTCTTTTTAACTTAATTTCTCTTTTAAAGGCCCTGTTTCCAACTATAGTCACATTCTGAAATATTTGAGAGTTAGGACTTCAACTATGACTTTTGGTAGAACACAGTTCAGCCCATAACAGTTGCTTTAATCTTTCTGTGCTTCAATTTCCTCTTATGTAAAATCTGCAAAAAGTACCTCTTGAGTGGACTGAAAATATGTAATATATGCAAAGCAACACCTTAATACCCCATAATAGATGTTTAATGAATATTCATGACTTCTACCCTTACTACTTCAAGCTTCTTGAGAATGAGAATAAAGCATCTTGTGTCCTTGCAGTTCTAGGACAAACTTTGAATTGCTTATAAATATTTGGTGAATGAAAAATCAAATAGCAGAAGTGAGTCTATAATAATTGTATGCATTTCTCTTTCTCTCTTAGATGGATCCAGATACTAGATGATAACTAAGATTTCAATAACAAAGAGTATACCAGGAAACATGTAGAAAAGTCAGTGTTACCGCTGTAAATATAATATGCCACACTGAGCCAGTTCAGTATGGAATATTTTCCCATGTCCTACTTGCCACAGACTCCAGTAAGTCATAGGGAAATGATTTGTGACAAAATTGCACACACACAAAAAAAACAGTATCTTCACACAGCCAGAGCTTTCAAGTGATGAGGGACGCAAAGACATTGTGCACAATAGGTGTTCCTGTCCATTGTCTGCCGATTCAGCTATCTTTGATCTCTGCAAAAGAGGAACCATGGGTATGGTACTGTGAATGCATAATAGACCAGGAATTGGAAGAGCGGCACGCAGTGTGCTGCTCAGTGATCAAGTCGTGGAGAGACCCAGACACCATGCATCTGATGATAAGCATCTTCTCTTGGTGCCTTGGAGTCTCTCATTTCCTTCCAGTTCGACTCCAAAGGGCCTGTTTCATCTTCAGCACCTTTACAATGTGCCACTTTGAGTCTGTAGGTTCTTTCTTTCAGAGGCCACCACAGATAATGGGTACATCATTATGTTTTCTTGATATCACTACATTCTTTCTTCCCCGTGCATCTGCCTCCTGCAGCTCTCTGAAGTGGATTTGACTCCTCATCATCCCTAGTGATAACTAACTCTGCTTTAAAAGAATTGTTATCTGTTGGTTGGCTTGGAGTCAGGGAGTTGAGTGTAAGTTCTTGTTTTATTGTATATAATGCTAGCAACTTTTACCAGTGTTAGTAAAGATAAGAGATAATAAGACAATTCCGTACCTAAGAATTGTACCCTTTCATAACAGCACCACTTGGATATGTAGAAAGAGTTTGTTGTGAGATCAGATGTAAAACAAATAAAAGTTATTCGTGAAATGATATGGAAGACTGGGATTAGAAACTGTGGCATTCAAGAAGCCAGTTAAGCTGATTCTCAGAATTGACAGAGATTCTAGAGATGGTGTAGTGCAGATGGTGTAGTGCAGGGATTCTCAGCCTCACTGCACATGGTAATCTCATAGGAAAATTTTAGCAAGGACAGATGCAGAAATTCTTATTAAACTGTCAGGACTGAAGTCCAGAGGTCACTATATTTTAAAAAGGTCTGCAAGTGATTGTAACATGCATCTATGGAGGAAAACATCAGCGTAGGAGAAAAAGGGAAAGAAACCAACTGGAGTAAAGGCTCTGTCTTGAGCACTGTGCTGGCTCCTGTACATTCTCCATCTCTTTTTATCTTCATAGTAAGTGAGATGGTTTGACAAATAGGGAGACCGAAGCTCTGCCTTCATGTGGGACACTCAACTGCCTCCTTCCCTGCTGTTGGCAGTGCTTGGATGAATATGCATTGTATGCCTCTTCTCTCTTCCAAGAAGACTGGTTTCTCTGATTACTTTGCATTTTACCCTGGATAGAGATGGTCTTACCCTCTTTTGAGCTTCAAAAAATCAGGCTTCAGGCTAATTCCAACCTGGTGAATCTTTCTCAGCAATTCTACCCCCATAAAACAATCTTTACATTTTAAATTTCTATTCATTTTTCTAACTATTCATAAGATTTTCGTATGAAGAGTTCTGGTTCAGAAACACAGAGAAAATCCTTACCGTGCCTCTCACATGGTTACTTGGTTAGGTGTGTTTCAACTCATCATTCTGCCAACCGTAAATAGCTGAGTCCATATCACATGGGAAATGTAGGTGCAAATTCACAAAACACTCACGGGCTGTAAACAACCAGGGAGTTGTTCTTCTCATGGACCTGCAGGTTGCAGCAGCAGCATCTGAGCAAAACAGAGCTGTTCTGAGCAGTAGGGCGGGGAGCAGCACGTCTTTGTGTGGACCAGAATGCACCAGCCTGTGGGTGTATCATCTCACACTCTACTTCCTAGACTAAGGCCCTTTCTTGGGCCTTTCAGTGAATCCAACCCAGGTTGGTATTTTGTGTTGTCCCCCAACCCAAACAAAAAATTCATTTGCACTTAAGGAAGAACAAGAGTGACTTGATTAAGGTATCAAGTTGGTAAAAATGGAAAAACAATTTGATTTAGAGAGTTAATGAACGAACATCTTTCTTTGATTCTTTTCATTAACATTACACATATTAGGTAAACTGTGTATAGGTGTTTATTTTTCTTTATGGAAGTCACACATGATCTATATAGAAAAAATTTCAAATACATCAAAAAAAAAAAAGGAAAAGAAAGATACTTGTAATCCCACCACTTCAGAAGCACCACTTTGGTGTATTTCTTCCACATGGTGGTAGGGGATGGCAGGGGGAAATGTGTACCAGTATTTTAAACATATGAGCATTTTTACTTAAAAGTATATATTGAACATTTTTCACTGTTGACTGCATAGTATCTCCATGCATGAACATACTCAAGTTCATTTAACCCATCCCTTACCATTAGATATTTATGTTGTTTCTAATTTTTCTTTCCAGCTTTTATAAATAATACTTCAAAGGCCATCCTTGTAGCTAGTTCTAATTAGTACAGTATAGTTTGGATGATATAAAAATTTCATATATGTGTGACAAGGAATAACAAGTTGAAGTACAGTAAGAAAGAATGTAATTGCTTGTGATAAATATAGGCTTAGCTTCAAAATAGCTAGCTTAAAATTTCCCTTATAGTGTACTTTAAAGATTTCACTGATGATCTTGGAGGTGAGGCATCTAGCCATTGCTGGAATGAAATAACACACGATGTTCAAAGTTTGGTTGGTAATTGACTTAGTGCATATTTTTGCTACTTTCATATACCACTTATCTCATATGAAAAGAGCAATTCTGTACACAAGTAATACATAAACAAAAATTTTAAGAATATGTAACTCCATAAAATGAGATTTGATGATTGACTTGAGTTTCTAAGAGAAAAAAATAATAACTTTCATCTAAGTTTACGTGTTCGCTGGCAGTTTTTGAATCGTTGCCAGAATCATGAAATTCATCATTCAAGAGCCTTTGTCCTCCTAGTCCCCGTTCTGTTCTGTGTCTCCTCATTTGGATACGTTCTGTGTCTCCTCATTTGGATACGTTCTGTGTCTCCTCATTTGGATACGAATGCTTTTCATTTTATTACTGCCTTTGTGCCCTTGGCTTTGAGTCCTGTGGTGGCAGTTGTTTGTGCTTCAAGGAGCATTTGTAATTTCAGTGTGAGGACTTGGGGAGGTCAACAGAAATCTCTGGTCTTTGCCCTCCTTCAGCCTCCACATTAAGGACATAGGGCTTCTTCCTAGGCAGTAACTGTATTTTGATTCATACTTGTAATCCCTAACCGTTTTGATTGATGGGACAAGGGCTGAAACTACATTCTCTTGAGGATAGAATATTTTTATCCTTGAGAATAATCATTCATCTCTTCCTGACCCACCTTACCATTTCTTTGCTTTGATCCTAAATCTTTTTTGTTCTTTTTAGGCTGGAGGCTCCCAGGTGATTTTCACAAATCCTTTAGAAATCGTCAAGATCCGTTTGCAAGTGGCAGGAGAAATCACCACTGGTCCTCGAGTCAGTGCTCTGTCTGTCGTGCGGGACCTGGGGTTTTTTGGGATCTACAAGGTAACTTTTTTTTTTTTTTAGTCATTTATTTGATTACTTTCTCATCTCCTAATGCAGAAACTATTCTTCAACATGAAATCCATTTTTTTTTGCATTTCTACACCTGGAGAAGATGTTCTACCCAAGCTGCAGAGGCACCTTCATGCCAATTAGAAGGAGGTGCCCCTTCCTGCCATCTGCCAAAAAACTATCCTCATCAATACACAAATCTAGGATGACTATGATAGGAATCGTGCCCTCTAGAGTTGTTCAGTGCAGCTCTTTGCAGCAACACTGGCTAGAATTTTATTTGGATTTGTTATTGATACGCTGAGTTCAGTTCAAGGAGAAACCTGTATCATAATTTATTTTCTGATCCTATGCATATGGTCCGATCCATGTTTTCTCTATATATGTATGCCTTGTCTTAATTATTATAAATCTTAATCATTTTTCATTTAGAAAATGTTTTTTCAGAATGATTACAAAACCAAACTTCTAGATGATTCTTGAAATTTTTTATTCATACTGCTCTACCAAAAAGTTATAATGGAATTTACTAGAACTGTCTGCCTATATGCCAACCTATAAGGCTTTATCAAACATAATGTATACACAAGTTTTCAATGAAGAATTTTTTAAAAAAACATTTTACGCTAGCTTGACTAAGTAAACCTTTAGGGATATGGGAGAAAAATAAAATGTCTACTTAAGATAGTTTCATTTATTTACACAGAAATGTATACAGTCACATTATATAAAATTAATACTGCTTTGTTTCTATAAACACATATCAAGAAATATTAAAATTATTCATGAATTTTGAATCAGCATCTTGAGCTCCATTTAACCCACTTTTTAGGTCATCTGTTAGCATGGTTTTGCAGAATACATTGTCTTCATTTTTATCCCAAGCTTTGTAATTTGAAGCATTTTTGACTTTTATGTATGATATTGTTCCTGCAAATTTTATCCCATAGACACATAATATTAAGACAGTCAATTGCTTTTTTCCTATTCCCAGTTAATCCTGAATGGATATAACTGGTCCCCATAATGTAACAACTTACCATATTGCTAGAGTAAACTTGAAATGACTTGTTTTGACATTTGACACAGTATTTGTGAGATCCTCCTCCCAGAAATACTTTTTTACTCTTTTTCTTTCTAACCTGAGTTTTGCAAGTGACCTCAGTAAACATCCAGAATTAGTAATAATTGTGGCTGTCTCAGGAGAATCTCCCTTCCCCGAATGGTACTCTGCTTCTCCAGGTCAAGTGATTGGAAAGAGTACTCCATGATCTGAGACTTTGTGAAGATTGAATATAAAGTGATGCCCTCTTTTCTGGGATTAATTTTAGCAGGGGAAAATTTTGCCTTATATTTAGGCATATGTGGTACTTAGGAATAAACCTGCTGTTTTTTTAAGTAGAACTTAAAATGCTCAATCTGTGATTCTACAATATAACACAATGTTCTATAGCTATTTTGCTTACCAATTTATTACCCAGCTGTAAAAAATAAACACTGTTGTCATGAGGCATAGCATTGATCAATTTGAAGAAAAATCATCTTTTCTAAATTTTTAGGCTCTTGCAGTCTGTAATATGATGTAGCAGCATGTCATTTTGACAAGATGCCAGGAGTCTTTCAATGGGTTGTCTGGTAAAAAGCACTTAGGTACTGTGGCAGTGACTGTTATTGAAATGTCTAGATGAGTAAAATGGTAGGAACTTGTTTGCTGATACAGAAACAGAGACTGTTAAACTACCTGCAAATGATACAATACTGGGACTTAGTGCTTTTCATCTTCACATTATTTAATAATCTTAATCCCCTTTAACACTTCTTGGAAGTAGTTGGTATCCTGGTTTTGTAGTTCAGGTGAATAGAGGCTGCCAACCATGGTATCTGAGCTGAAATTGAGGCTCAGAAGTTTCTTGTTTCCACTTTTGTGCTAAAATTGCTTTCCTGAAATGAGCAGGATTGCTCAAGTTTGAGCAAGAGAACTCTCCCATATGAAGTTAGTTTAATTACTAGTCTAGTAGTTTAATCTAGTTCAGAAGCATTCCACAGGGCTTGGTGCTCCCTTCTAAAATGCTGTTTTTGGTGTACTGGTAATTACCAAGAAAATCAGTAATGCTTTGAGCTTCTGGAACCTTGATTTTGTTGCAAGAAAGTGACCTAGTAATCTCTATCTTCCTGTTGGTCATCAGTATCAGCTACATTCAGAGACCCGGGAGTCAGGATTTCATTCAGCAGATGTTGACCTCTGTGGTTTGGTCTCCTTTCAGTCTGATTAGCTCTTGTATTACAAGTCTGGTTGGTCCTCATTTATATATTCCCAGCATTCTGTCTTGGGCTTTGTTTCATGTGAACCTCTCTTCTCCAGCCCCACCCCACTTCACCTTTACGTGGTCAGACATCACAGCAGGTTAAGATCCATCTTTCTAGGGAGCATCACAGCATTAGCATTGCTTTGTAGTTTAATGTGTTTTTGTTTCAGGATAGCACTTTTTAGTAATAAAGCTTTTCTGTTTCTAGTCCTGGTTGGCTAGAAAAATGCAAATGACTAGGGGTGACCTCACACAGTACTTTTAAACCTGGTATGTGTCCCTCCAGGTGGGTCTTTAAAAAGAAGAACCACTGTCCTAGATTTAGTTGAGACAGGTAATCTTTCTCCTTCCCTCTGTTCTTTTGTTTCTGTTGTTAACATTACAATGCCAGACCCAAGAAGGGTGAGTGGTTGGCTCTGTCTGTGTGTTTAGGCCTGCTGAGCTTTAACCTTACCTAAATTGGAAAATCAGGCTTTCTGTTTTTCTTCTGTATTGACTTGCAAAATAAGCAAACTATTCTGACTTCCCAGTAAGTGGCAATTAGAATACTTGTTTTAGAAATACATTTGCAACTGAAAAAAAGTGGAAAATGGTAAACATTTTGCATTCCTAAAGTAAGAAATAGTTTAGCACAAATATAGTAAACAATGTAAATAAAGCCCCCCTCTAAAATGCTAACATTTAGAGAGATTTAGTTATAGCACAGAGGATGTAGGTGACTGAAGTGAAGGCAGCATAATTAATTGCCTTTGAAAGAGCTATTTGAATGTAATGTAGCTAAGAAAACAAATCTGCAATGTCTACTTCTTTTTAAAAAGAATTATGAGAATGTATTTCCCTTTCCCTGCATAACTTCTGTTTTATTGCATAAACCCCTGGAGCATAAAAATAAAAGTCAAATAAACTTAACATAGCAAAAAAAGTTGTATCCATCTACTTTTGAACATTACCTTTTCCGTAGGAGCTGTCAGAGCGTTAATGAGGGGACAAATTATACTTTAGGAATGGAATGAAACTTATCATTTAACAGTAAATGGCAGCACAGCTAATTAGGCCAAAAAGACGCTTCGTTAGGAAGCAGTGGAACTGTCCATGTCT